>NC_000014.9:106580717-106883718 GCF_000001405.40 Homo sapiens
GCCATATGATTCTGTAGCCATCTGGGCATTGAATGTCTTTTATCCCGCACTTTCTCATCCTTTGATGTTATAAAAAATCCTCTAGCCATGCGTCAGCAATCAGGAACTTTCTAGCATTCTCCAACTCTGATGTAATTGTGTTGAGTGTCCCAAGACCATCCTCAGGCCCCTTAATCAGTACAAATAAAGGACACAAGAAAAGCTGTTATTCTCATGGGTGCAGCTTTATTATAGCGAATGAATATGAATTAAAATGAGCAAAGGCACCAGGGAGAAGGCCCTGAGAATCCAGGCATGAGCTCCCAGGTGTTCTTTCCCTGAGGAGTCTCTTGTCCCCAGTTCTCCCAGCAGTGATGCATGACAACATGTGTGAAGCATTGTCCACCAGGGAAGCTCACCTGAGTGCTTGTGCCCAGGGCTGTTTATTGGGCCCATCACAGATGTGTGTGACACCTGCACAATTGACCTCCAGTGCTCAGACGCCGGCCTCTTGAGCACTAATAGGCATTCACCATAAGTCATTATGAAAACAGCTAGTATAGCGTGCACCCAGGCTACACACACAGAGACACAGACAAACACAAACAAAAATACATTTTAACTAATAAAATAATCACAATATTAAGAGAGATAAGAGGAATGTTTTGGAAGTGATTTCTATGGTTATGACCTTGATGATGGGGATAACTTTGCAGATGTATACTTACTCCAAACTCAATGAGTTAAGTATGTTAAATAATGTGTAGTTTTACAGATGTAAACCTTATCTTAATCAAGTGGTTTAATAATACTACCAGGAGGAGTATGCCAAAAAGGCAGATATCATCTCCCAGGAGCTGAATATGGGCCTAGCTTGAGAAAGCACTTTTTCAGGAATGTTCAGGGTTTGCACAACCCAAGACTGCTCGGTAAATCCTTTCCTGTACACAAGTCCAGGTGAGATGGAAACAGGCTGTTGGAATAAAAGGCAAAGCTCAGAAGAAAAGAGAGAGGAAGTGGTGGACAAGGTATGACCCCATGTAGGGTTAGTGTGGATGGGAGGTGCTGCTGAGAGCCTGTGGATGGAGAAGAATGTGGACCAGGGGCAGGAGGAAAAAAGGCAGAGGAGGGGTTCTTCCTGAGCCAAAGCAGATGTTTCACGGAGAGTGTGGGCAGGGGCATGCACAGGCACAGGCAGGTGCCATGGAGTAGGGGAACCATTGGGGTATAGACCCAGGACAGAGCATAAAAAAATACAGACATTCCCAAGGGAGAAGGCACAGAAACAATGACTGACAAGCCTCTATCTTGGGCTTCCATCCATATATCAAAGACAAAGTTAACTGGTTTTCCCACTCGATAGAAATGACTGAATCTCACAGTCATTTCTGAAACACACAGTTATTGGTACTCACATGTTCTGGACAAAATGTTGACATCCCAAAATACACTAGTATAGAAAAAAATAAGAATCTGCTTCTAACCAGTTTGTAAGTGTTCAAGAGCAATTCAAGAGATTCTGACATTAGATTTATGCAAATATATGGTAACAATTTGTCTCTTCAAACTTATACTCCAATAATAATAAGAAACAAGTGACAACAATTGGCATTGTACTATTATTTCTATCTACAATGATGGTAATTTTTGAGGCGTGATAACCTAAGTGTCCTAATTCTGAACCCACATTTAGAACTGAGCAGAGATCACTAGCAGCAGAAGTCCCCCACATGGAGACACACCTGACTCAATAAAGCTGCATTTAGGGGTCTCTGCAAGCTCCAAGGTGTGGAGAAGCAGCTCCCACCTCAGACAAAGTTGGATCAATTTCAGCTCTTTCTCTGAGGAAGGTGAGGCTTACTGTGTGGGAAGGACCAAATTTGCTCTACTGAAGACCTCTGCACCTGAACCAAACCAAAGTATGTGATCCCCATGTGGTTTCAGCCTGGATTGAACAATTGCTTAGGAGAAGGGCATGGTCTGACAAACCCCCACTCAGAATTAAGAAATAATGCATTTATTCAGAAGAAATGGGGACATTACAATTGTTTACAGACTGTTTTCTTGATCCTCTGTGTCATCTGAGAGAAGCAAGAAAAATCATGGTTTCTATATAAAAATGCATAAACAGTGTATTGGCTCTGAGACTGCACCTCCCATTTCTTCAACATCAGGGAACCCATAGACCAGGCATCCAGCTGCTGTTCTCTGACACCCATCACCTGGTTAATGCAAAGACACATGCCCTGGGAGCTCCTCCCAGACAGTGATTACATACAGTGGAGATTCTAAGGCATGTCTGCTGCTGGGACACAGGAGTGATCCCTGATGGGTGGGTTTGGCCCAGGAAGGCATCAATGGCTTTACTAGGCTTAGAGAGGGCCATGGCATAATTAGGAGGTTTTATCAGTGTTCCCTGATTTTTTATGTCTTTGTTGTCAGATGTGCATCCACGTCGCACAGTTTCCACAGCCTCCCTGGCCTCCTGTGACATCTTCTGCCTCAATTAATGATGTATTCTTCAGGGGTATATGAGAATTTTTTTTTCTAGTAGTAATCTTTTCCAATCCAGAGGCCTCAGTGGTAGGCAGAGAACCATAAATATAGAGAGGCTCCCAGGAGAACGCATTTGATGCAGAAGAAGCCACAGAACCTGACAGGAAAGCAGCCCTTGAACTCCACCTGCCCCTGCCCTGGGCTGCTCCTGTCTTCTGTGGGTGCTGAGTGCCCCCTTCAGCCAAGCCACCCCCTGTGTCCTGCATGGCAGTCTGTCTCTGAGCCCACGTGGACTTCCCATCACGATGTTTCCTGCACAGTTAAATGCTGCCATGTTCTGGGTTCTCAGGCTGATCATTTGCATGTACAGCATGTACTTGGTGTTGTCTCTGGAAGTGGTGAGTCTGCCCCTAACATAGTCTGCATTGTATTGATGACTTTCACCACGCCATATAACTGCAACCCATTCCAGCCCCTTCCCTGAGGCCTGGCAAACCCAGTGAATCTCATAGATACTGAAGGTGAACCAAGAGGCTGCACAGGAGAGCCTCAGGGGCCCCTCTAAGTGTACCAAGTCTCCCCCAGACTCTGTAAGCTGGGCCTCACCCTGGATACCTGAAAACACAGAGATATTCTGGTTAGAAACTGTCACATAGCCACTATTTCTTTCACAAACATCCGCTTGGCCTCCCAAGATGTGCTGGAACTCAAGGTCACCTTTGAGGGCCTTGGTCTACTGTGAGGTCATTACCTTCAGGAATCTGCAGCTGTAGGGAAGGATCAGGAGAGTGACTTCTAACTTTTTGCTCACCAGTCCTGAGTCACAGAAATTCAAGTGGAGAGTTTCACATGTTTAATTCTGTGAAGGCACCAAATAATCTGAAAGAATACAAAAGCACACATACAAGCATTGATGAAAACAAAAATTAACAATTTAAATTTTAAAAGTCACATAAAAAATCACTGGCATTTGGATTTAATTTTCTTTGAAAAATTAAAGGCAAATATTTGTAAAACTGTTATTTTTAAATCATATGGGAATATATTCTTAATTAGCCTATATACTGTCAACGATTGCATGTGTGTGTATTTGTGTGTGAGAGAGAGACAGAGAGAGAGAGATGGAGAGAGAGAGAGAAAGAGGGAGGAAGAGAGAGACAGAGAGAATATAGACAGAAGGAGAAACAAAAAAGGAGATAAATCTTATGTAAAAGTATTATACTTTATAAGGTCCTTGAATAACGTGAGAGATGTTGTCTTTAATGGTCACATAAGGTGGAAACTACAAATTCTTACACTAGATATGATTATACACGTATATAAATACCATTTTCTAATTATATTAAACACACACCTCAGCATAGGCATAGTGTAGAGTATCTAATGGTGAAACGTGAGGGTGACAGGAAACCCGTTCTCCAGCTTGGGCCCTGTTTTCATGGAGCCTGAGTGCTCTTTGGTGGTCCTGGGCCCCTCTCCAGGGAAGTTTGTGTCTGGGATCACACTGACATCTCTTCTGTTCCTCTCACAGTAATACAAGGTTGTGGCATTGTTGGTCACAGAACTCAGCTAAAAGAAAATTTGGTTCTTGGACGTGGATCTGGAGATGGTGACTGAGCTCATGAGGAGTGGGTTAGAATTTGTGCTCCCTCGTGACCTATGCCCTGATCCACTCCCTTGACTGAGGACTGGCGGATCCAGCTCCAGCAGGAAGCACTAGTTGTGATGGAGAATCCAGAGACAGCACAGGTGAGGGAGGGGGTCTGTGAGGGCCTCACCAGGCCAATAAATGACCATGAAACACAGTGGTTGGTGTGCATGGCTTCTGGAAAACACACTGAAATTCCTACATACACACATTTTAGTAAGAATGAAGAATTCACTTTTGTTCAATTTGTGAGATTTATAAACAATTCAGTAGATTCTGAGAATAAATTCAGGCACTATGTGGTAAACTCGCAACCAAATTAAAAAGAAATGACTTTCAGGGGCATGGACATTGAATTGTTTTCTTTTACTATAAAGAGGGTGATTTTCAGAATAGAAGTGAGGCATGATAGCCTAATAGTGTCCTAATTCTGCACTCACAGTTATATCTTAGCAGAAATCGGAGGCCGTGGAGGTCACCCCTCCTGAATGAGAAAACACCCAAGTCTATAACACTGCACGTGGCAGTCTCTGCAGGCTCTGAGGTGTGCAGGACCAGCCCCTACCCCACACTCAGGAATAGTTGAAGTCTCTGCTCTTTCTGTGGGGGAGGTGAGGCTTAGTGTGTGGAAAGGTCCAAACTTACTCTACTCTAACTCTCTGAACATGGACAGAAGCCAAAAATATGAAAATCATGTGGACTCATTCTAGATTCAACCATTCCTCATGAGAAAGGTGACTCTACGGTGGGACCCTGCGCAGAATTAAGGATTAACCATTTGGGGTAATTGTGGAAATTATAATTATTTGCTGACTGCATGGTTGCTTCTTCTATGTCTCCTGAGAGAAGCAAGTAAAATCGTGGTTTCTACATAAAAATCCATCAACAATGTCTTGTCCCTGAGAATGCACCTCTCATTCCTCCAGCATTAGGGAGCCCATGATCCGGGCACCAGCTGCTGCTGTCTGACGTCCATCACCTGGTTTGTGCCAAACACACACATCCTGGAAGCTCATCACAGACAGTGATTGGGCGCAGAGGAGACAAAAAGGCACGCGGCTGCCGGGCACATGGCGGATCCCTGATGGGCACCCAGAGCTCAGGGACTTAGTTGGACTTAGTTTAGACCACATGGTAGTTAGGGAGCTCCATCAAACTCCCATTTCTCCGTCACTGCTTGTGAAACTTGAATCATAGGCAGACAGTGTCCACAGCCTCACCCAGCCTCCTGTGCACTTTCCTTTCTCCATTAGTGACACCTGCCTTAAGGGCGTTTGATAGTGGTTCCTCCTGTAGTAATAAACTTTACAAACTTAGAAACCTCAGTAGCACATCACTGTAAATACAAGAGGCTCCCTGCGGAACTGTTAGATGAGAGGAAGCCACAGACCCTGAAGGAGAGCAGCCCTTGACCTCCACCTGCACCTGCCCTGGGGCTGCCCCTGTCCTCTGTGTATCCTGAGCGCCCCCTTGTGGCTCCAGATGCCCCTGCAGGAGGTTTGTGTCTGGGCTCACACTGACCTCCCCTCACTGTGCCTCTCACACAGTAATACACGGTCATGTCCTCAGCTCTCAGGCTGTTCACTTGCAGATAGAGGGAGTTCTTGGCATTGTCTCTGGAGATGGTCAATCGGCCCTTCACAGAGTCTACATAGTATTTCTCACTTCCGTCACACTTTATGTCGGCCACCCACTCCAGCCCCTTCTCCGGAGCCTGGCAGACCCAGTGCATCCAGGAGCTACTGAAGGTGAATCCAGAGGCTGCACAGGAGAGTCTCAGGGACCCTCCAGGCTGTACCAAGCCTCACCCAGACTCCACCAGCTGCACCTCACACTGGACACCTGCAAACACAGAGACACCCTGGTCAGAAACTGCCGCACACATCCACTGTTTCTCTCACTCATATTCACTTACATTCAACTCATTCCCCATGAATCACCTTTCAAAATAGCAACAAGGAAAACCCAGCTCAGCCCAGACTCCATGGTGAGTCCTCTGTGCTCAGCCCTGAAGACTAAATGGAAAGACCTGGGAATCCTGGAGCTGGGGCTCCTCTCCCAGAGCTGCAGGGTCAGGGCTGGGCTGCTTTTCATCAGCAGAGGTTTGGCTCTGTTTGCATGTCTCCTACTATATAGCAAGCTCTGGGGTGGGAATCCTGAGGAGAGTGGAGAGCCCAGAGCAGGTGAGTGTGTCCTGGGGGAGTTTAGAGATATTGATACAATTTTTGAAAATATAGTTTCTTATTATAAGTTTGTTCTGTGATAAACTCTTTAAACCTACAACTGTATTTGTAATTTTTATTTTAAAGTAATTTTATTGAGGTACAATGGACCTATGAAAACTGCCCTTATTTAAACTTAGCAGCAATCATCTTATTTTATTTTTACATATGTGGAGAAATCACGGTATGTAGTATCAATGTTATTTCCACGTTACAGATGGAAAATTACCAGCAGAAGCACAGATGGGTGGTACAATGTCCCCAGAGCTCACATTTGCAGAGTAAGCCTGGGTATCTGGGCCTGTGCTTCTCACCACCGGGCCTGACTGCCCCCGAACCAAGCCCAGCACAGCGTGGGTCACCCCCAGTGACATTTTCAGAACTTCCTTCCTGTAATGAAAGCATGGTTTGATGTGTATGCACTATTGTGTTTACCTAATGAATGTAAGAGAACACATTTTATGCAGTTGTATGTTCATAAATGTCAGACATTCCTCATGTTAGTGTCTATTTTCCATCAATCTGTACTGAACAAATTATCCATTCATTTATTTGTAATACTCTCAATGAGACATTATTGCCATACATTAAATATTGCATAAAGTGTTTGATTTAATAAGTACTCAAGCTGAGCCTGGTGGCACACAACTGTAGTTTCAGCTACTTAGATGGCAGATGCAGGAGGATCGTTGGTGACCAGAAGTTGGAAGCTACATTGAACTATGATCCCACCACTGCAGTCCTGCCTGGGTCACAGAGTAGGACCACATCTCTTCAGAAAAAAACAAACACAACAAAATGTAATTCCACTCGTGCTCACCTGTGCATCCCCAAAAACCATCCAGATAACGAACAAATAAATTACACTTAAAAGTTTCCTTGTGTTACTCTACAATTCCTCCTTCCCAATTATTTTTTTCCCTTGCCATATTCTGAGTCAATCCTTCATATTGAATACTTTGGTTTTGAGTTTCAAGAATTTATTATACAGGAATTATATAGTATGTGTTTTATGTGTGTGGCTTCTCACTCATTATAACTACTTGTGATTCAACCACATTGAGCATCAACAGTGTATTGATTCTAGTGATGGCTATGATTACCGTAAATTAGCATGCCATTACTCTTTATCTATATATCTTCTTGATATTTGCATTGTTTCTAGTTTCTGAGTGTTAGAAATAAAGATGCTACTCAGCTTGGAGATGTAGGCATCCCATAAAAATTTGTTATTATTCTCACAACTACTAAAGCTTACTGATCTGCAAATTAGCACATTTTCTTAAATTCATCAGATTTTTGATGTTATAAGACAAACAAGATATCTGAAATCTGAAGAGAGATAAAGACTTGCAGGGAAATAAACAGGAGCAGACGATAATCTTTTCTGGGACAGAGGCTGCCAAATATCATTTAAGTTACGATTAAAGTAGACATATTCATTGGATGGTTTAAATTTGAGTGTGATAGAGAAGTTATTGTTTAAATTCTCAGAGTGTATACAGTTGAGGAATTCCTCCTGCTATTGAAGCCTTTTTCTTCAGTACTGGGGACACATCACAAAATGCTCCAGCCTCTACCCCTTGGGACGGTTGTGTCAGGGTAAGCAAAACAGCAACTATAGCTGAAATGCATCCAGACACACCTCCTCATCAGCACTACATTGCAAGAGAAATTATCTGCAGCGGTAATGCCAGGAAAACCAGTGTTCTAGAGACACTGGAGAGATCAATAAGAACTGGGAGTGAAGAGAGGAATGCACCAAATCCCTGTCCAGGCCCACCTCCCATCTTCCCTTAGGAGTAACAGCTTTACTAAAAAGAAAAAGATAGTAAAGAGGAAACCAAAGAAATCAATGGGAAGACATAGTGGCTGCTGAATGAACATATGAATAAAAAAAAAATGAAGAGGCTGGGTGCAGTGGCTCATGCTTGTAATCCCAGCACTTTGGGAGGCTGAGGCGGGAGGATCACCTGAGGTCTGGAGTTCGCGACCAGCCTGACCAACATGGAGAAACCCCATCTTTACTGAAAATACAAAATTAGCCGGGTGTGGTGGTGCATGCCTGTAATCCCAGCTACTCGGGAGGCCGAGGCAGGAGAATCGCTTGAACCCGGGAGGCAGAGGTTGCGGTGAGCTGAGATCACACCACTGCACTCCAGCCTACACAACAAGAGTGAAACTCTGAATCAAAAAAAAAAAAAAAGCGACAGCTATTATTATACTCACTAGTAGAAGGTTAGAATATTTTGGTCTAATATCTGTAATAAGGCAAGAATAAAGCTTGAGGCATTTCACTTCCAGTCCTCAACATTTGTTACAAACACAGAGTAATAAATCCGAATGGTATCAGCATAAATGCATATAGAGAGCTTAGATATAAACCCACATATTGATGGCGAACTGATTTTCAGCATGAGAAACATCAACATACAATGGCTAAATTATGGTGTCTTCCAAAGAGCATGTTATGAAAACTGGATTTTCACATGTGAAGAATTAAGAATTTTAGGTTAGAATAAACACAAAAATTAACTTTAAATGCATTAAATATTTCAATGAAATTCCTGCAACTGTAAAACTCCCAATCCTCAAAAATTAGCAATCTTTTTCTGGATTTTACATTCAAAGCACATTTAAAAAAAAGCAGAATTGAACAAGTTGGACTAGATTAAAAAAATATTCTGCAAAGCAATGAAATAATTCCAACTCACAGAATTGGATAATATATCATGTATCTGAAAAAAGCGTTAATATCCAAAATGTAAATGAAACTTCTACAACTCAATAGCAAAAATAAAAAGCATAATTTAAAAATAATCAGTTTTACACCTTTAACAATGTAAGGACCTAGAACTCATGTTAAATGTTTTTCTCCATGGGTAATGGTCTGTTTTATGGTATACTTGGCTGGAAAATACTTTGTAGTTATTTGATCAGACACTAATCCAAGTGTTGGTGTGAATTTTTAATAGAGGTTATTAAAACTGTGATCAGTTGACTCAATGTTAGGTAGATTATCATTGATAACCAGTTTGGCCCTGATTCCATCAAAGCTGATCTGGAGAAGGTAAAATTCCGTGGTTAAGCAGCTTCAACTCGTTCTGAGACTTCCAGCCTGCGCTTACTGATGGCCGACCCTGAGGATATTGGATGTTTCCAGCCATCCCCCCAAATTGTCATCCCCTACATCTCACAGGAAAGTGGTGTGACCCTCTACAGCTTGTCACACCTGAATATCAGACAGAAAGAAATTCTCCAAAATCAAATAATATGTATTTGAAAATGAGCATTCCAGTGGGATTATCCCTGGGCATATTTAGGTAGGTAAAGGAAGTCAGGTTAGTAAAGGTTGGTAAAGGTTGTTTTAAAGGATAAATGAGAGGACTTACATGAGCTGTTCTGAGGCAATTATCCTGGGGGTAGAAGAATTAATAACAAGGGTGGAATCAGTTTAAGATTGTACTGGGAGTTGCAGGGCAGATATCCTCACAATATTAATTCTCTTATTGTTGTGGTAGCCTTTGTTGAAAGTTGTGGTTGTGCAGAGTAATTTTATGGTAGTTCTTGTTATCAGGGATGTGTGCATGAGAACCCTCTATTCATGACCTTCTCCAGCTTCACCTGTAAAGATTATAACACAAGTTGTTCTATTTTTATTCTGACAACGTTCACATCCTCTTCCTCACATGACTAGTGCAGAAAGTTACTCTGTGAAAGTTTATCAGAACAAAATTAGAAACACATCCACATCCCATGTTAACCAAACAAGCTTGTCCCCTTCAGTTCTCAGTCGCAACTTGCATTTCCAGATAAGTCTCCATGCAACACAGTGGAGGGCCCTGAGTGACGAGGAGTGAAGAAAGTCCCACCAGCCTCTCCCGCGTGACTGCAGCAGCCACAGCCTGAGACCCACCTGAGCGTCAGGAAAGGGCTTGAGGTCCGGAATTTTGACCACAGGGAAAAATCTTCCTTTTGCAGAAAGCAGGAAAAGCAAACGGAAAAATGAAAACAACGACTGAAAAAGGAATTAAATGGATTAGGAACAAAAGAATCACCAGATCAGTGCTGATGCTGATTTGCATATTTAGTGTCAGGAAAAGGTTCAGAGGTGAAACCTGTGATGTCCTACATGACACTGATCCTGGCCTACCCTCTATTGTCTGTGATCAGTGTAGGGACCAGCCCCACAGGGTCAGTGGGTTTCTCCCCGTGTGCGGAGACGAGAGAGCATAGAAATAAAGACACAAGACAAAGAGATAAAAGAAAAGACAGCTGGGCCCGGGGGACCACTACCACCAAGATGCGGAGACTAGTAGTGGCCCTGAATGCCAGGCTGCGCTGATATTAATTGGATATAAGACAAAGGGACAGGGTAAGGAGTGTGAGCCATCTCCAATGATAGGTAAGGTCACATGGGTCACGTGTCCACTGGACAGGGGACCCTTTCCTGCCTGGCAGCTGAGGCAGAGAGAGAGAGGAGAAGGAGAGAAACAGCTTACAATATTATTTCTGCTTATCAGAGACTGTTAGTACTTTCACTGATTTGCTACTGCTATCTAGAAGGCAGAGCCAGGTGTACAGGATGGAACACGAAGGAGGACTAGGAGTGTGGCCACTGAAGCACAGCATCACAGGGAGACTGTTAGGCCTCCGGATAAGTGCGGGCGGGTCTGACTGATATCAGGCCCTCCACAGGAGGTGGAGGAGCAGAGTCTTCTCTAAACTCCCCGGGGAAAGGGAGACTCCCTTTCCTGGTCTGCTAAGTAGCAGGTGTTTTTCCTTGACACTGAGTCTACCACTAGACCATGGTCCGCTTGGCAACAGGCGTCTTCCCAGATGCTGGCATTACTGCTAGACCAAGGAGCCCTCTGGTCGCCCTGTCCAGGCATAACAGAAGGCTCGCACTCTTGTCTTCTGGTCACTTCTCACTATGTCCCCTCAGCTCCTATCTCTGTATGGCCTGGCTTTTCCTAGGTTATGATTGTAGAGTGAGGATTATTATAATATTGGAATAAAGAGTAATTGCTACCAACTAATGATTAATGATATTCATATATAATCATATCTAAGATCTATATCTGGTATAACTATTCTTGTTTTATATTTTATTGTACTGGAACAGCTCGTGTCCTCGGTCTCTTGCGTCGGCACCTGGGTGGCTTGCCGCCCACAATCAGTATCCATAAAGACTGTTCTAGACGGGGAACCTCACTGAGGTCCCTGTCCTTGGTCTGATAGGAGGAGACTCAGCAGGAAGCCCTGAGCTCACTCAGACTCTGATCGTGGTGACCATGTTTGAGGACTTTTCATCCCAGTAAGCATCAATCCACATTTTGTGCGAGTGAGAACTGCTCTTCATATTAAAATAATCTCTTTCAAATACTTAGAGAAGACGTTCATAGGCACAGAATGCTAAACTTAGAGAGGTTCCCTGGGGAACCGTCAGAAGAAGACAGAGTCCCACATCCTGACAGGAAATCAGCCTCCATCTGCACCTGCCTCCGGGGCTGACTCTGATCAGTGGCTCCTGAGCGCCCCCTGCCGCTGATTTCCCCAGCGTTCCTGCAGGGAGGTTTGTGTCTGGGCGCACAATGGCCTCCCCTCACTGTGTCTCTCGCACAGTAATACACGGCCGTGTCCTCGGCTCTCAGGCTGTTCATTTGAAGATACAGCGTGTTCTTGGAATTGTCTCTGGAGATGGTGAATCGGCCCTTCACGGAGTCTGCGTAGTATGTGCTACCACCGCTATAAATAACTGAGACCCACTCCAGCCCCTTCCCTGGAGCCTGGCGGACCCAGCTCATGTAGTTGCTACTGACGGTGAACCCAGAGGCTGCACAGGAGAGTCTCAGGGACCCCCCAGGCTGGATCAAGCCTCCTCCAGTCTCCACCAGCTGCACCTCACACTGGACACCTGCAAACACAGAGACATTGGTTAGAAACTGCCACACATATCCACTGTTTCTCTCACTCGTGTTCACTCACACTCGATATCTCTAGTTCTCCATGAATCACCTTTTGAAATAGCAACAAGGAAAACCCAGCTCAGCCAAAACTCCATGGTGAGTCCTCTGTGTTCAGTGCTGATCACCGAATGGAAACACCTCGGAATCCCAGTGCTGGGCTCCTCTCCCAGAGCTGCAGGGTCAGCTGGGCTGGTTTTCATCAGCAGAGGGAGGGCCCTATTTGCATGTCCCCGACTATATAGCAAGCTCTGGGGTGGGACATCTGAGGAGAGGCCGGGCTCCGTGCAGATGAAGTGTCCTGGGGGAGATTGGTATTAATTCCATCATTCAGGAAAATATAATTGTATATTACGTGATTGCGCCTTGATTAGCATTTAGCTCTCACAATCTGATTTTATTTTTACATATTTACACAATATATTTAAGGCAGGTTTCAATGTTACATTTTACAGGAGATAATTTGCACAGAGAACACAGCAGTTGTGCAGTGTGTCTAAAATTACACATCTAAAAAAATGAGTCCTATTACCTGGGCCTGTGCTCTAACCACTGGAGGAGGCAGCTCCCCTGAGACAACTCCAGGGCAGTGTGGACTATGCCTAGTGAAGTCTGCAGGATTCCCCATCAGTTATGACAACTTTCTGTAATTTATCTAAATATGTAGAGAGAACCACGGCTCATGTGTGTGTATTTTCAGAAGTCAGTCATATTTCTTCTGTCAATATCAGTCTTTTTATTGCTCCATTTTAGCAAAAATATTCATTTATTTCTTTGTTATTGCTTTATTCAAGTATAAAAATAAATAATTAATTCAAATTTATAGGGAATGATTTGAAAAATGTAGAGCTATGTTTGCAGCCATTCACTCGGCACTTCAATCAACTTTTGAATAATTAAATTAATCCCTAAATCTTTTTCTTATTCCTCTGAAACTTAAATCACATCCGCATCATTCCCAACACCATTTTCTCAGAAAAATTTAAGTCTTCTTCATTTTAATTTATGGTAGTGGCATCTTCTAATATTTCTACAATGAATTATATAAAATTTACTCTTAATTCCTTAGCTTCTTTCACTCAGCACAATTCTTTGAGAATTTAGCCATGATTTTTATGATTGAGGCATGCCTTGATTTCAAGCTGCATTATATACCAGTACATAAATATATGTCAAACTATTTAATTGTTCACCCATAAGAAAATGTTATTTTTTCTCCCAGTTAATGGATTCTATAGAGAAAAGTAGCTACTCGGCACGGGAATTTAAAAAAAATGAGTAAACAATGATCTTATTCTGAAATCATTAACAACAAACCTGAAAAACCACTAATAAGGAAAAAGCATTCAACATATCTGAGTTGATATTACAGAGAAAAAAAAAAACCCTTAATCTGTGGAGAAAGGGGCCTGCAGAGAGAACCATATATTAGTGTTCCTGGGACAGATACCAACTGGATGTTATTTAAGCTAAGAACCAGCTGACTTGAAAATATTCAGTGAGTTGCTGGAGGATGCATGTGCTCATAGTGTTAGACTGTGAAGCTCCTCGTGCTTGCAGGCTTTTCCTACAGAATTATTATTAATTATTATGGCTTCGCTTTATGCAAATGATCAGACCAACCATAAGACTAAAGTTTATTTTGCAAATCACTCAGTCCTATAATGATTAGTTTCTGACAAAAATCAGAACTGGAGAGAGAAAAATTATGTTTCAAAACATATCATACACTTGTCTTTAAATTACAGTCTCTTCAATTGGTTTTTCAGGTTTGTTGTTAATGAGTTCAGAATAAGATCATAGTTTACTCATTTTTTTACATTCCCATGCCGAGTAGCTACTTTTCTCTATAGAATCCATTAACTGAGAGAAGAAATAAGTTTTAAGTATTTGCCTCCATTTTAGACTAACTCTGCTTATCGCTGTGAACCAACCAATGATCTCTGGCTGCAGCTCAGAAGAAACACAGGCATGGGCTATATAAACATCTGGACGAATATTTTAATTCTGAGCAATTATCCTGCAAATCATGCCAGGTGACTGGAATAAATAGGGTCCCCCTAACCCGGAGGTTTCTTTGTTTGGGAAAATAAGTCCAAGGGAGGTAACGAAAGCCAAGCCCCATGCACCCAAATCTTAGCAGGCATAACTACAGCCACCAGTTATCTGGGTGTGTCAGCAGCCTTGGAATTTTTTTTCAAACTGTCCTTACCACCTTGTTTGGTTTTGATACATGTCTTCTAATAACCCGGTTTGTCTCTTCTCACCTTCAGGCATCAACTCCAAATGGTCATCCAAGTGAAGCCTGGGATAATGGCTCCCTTTTACTGGGTCCCTTAGACAGACCTCAAGGGAGATCTTCCCAAAACAGCATCCCCTGTCAGCTGGGAGCAGTTAAGGTTGGCCTTTGTATTCTAACGGGTTAGATGCACTTATTCAAAGAGGAAAATGATAGAGGGAGGAGGCAGATAACTCTCCTAGGCAGACAGGGGAGAGTCCCCATAGAATGTCCAACCCACTAAGGTCATTGTGCACAGGGCGCTTGCCTAGACATGCCTGCAGTGAAAATTGTTAGTATTGTATCTTATCACTCTGGTAAAATAGCCACACATAATAATCCAGCTGCGTGAAGATAAAAAATAACTAGTTTGAAATTAGAGCAAGTCCCAAGTAAATCAAAGTTAGCATGTGGTTCATAATGTGATAGACAGGAGACATGGCTGAATATGAAGAATGTGTTCACATCTATTTTATGTCAAGATCAGGAAAATATTTTGTATATTACTTAGGTAAGATTCCCACTGAGATCATTGATTTAAGATTATATATTGATGGATAATACCTCAATAATAAAAGTAGAGGTTATGAACCAGTAATTTGTATTACTAGTACAAACTTCCATTTAGTATATATTATTCTGTGTGTTATGAAATCAATTCAGAAGGCAGAAAACTTTGCACTTATCACAACTTTTTAATAAATTAAAAATTAGAATTAAGTAACTATGTTTCTAGATGGTGCACAACTTTGGAATATTTTTGCAAACAGAGAGGGTTCTTACATCTTCTGGAAATCCTATCAAAATGGACAACAATGGAAGAAACTTTCAGATGAATTTCTACCAACTAGAGATCTGATTAATAGAATTTTAAAGCAAATGCTAACACACAAACAAAAAACTAACATAGAAGCTAAAAAAATAGTGATTTAATACACCAAACACTCTACCTCATTCTAGTTTATAACATAATCTAACCGTGGAGAGCACTGTCATTGTTCATACGAGACAGAATCAATACCACTCACAATCTTCTGGGAACGTTTAAAAAATGTCTTCTTTACATTAAAATTATCAAATCTTTAATAAAATGTAAAACTTGCTTGGCCAAGGGTTCTCCCACTAGCACTATGAAACCATGGTCCACTCCTCAGGATGCATCAGTTATTACCCTATGACTTGGCAGCTAAAAGGCCTATATGTTTATAGACTTTACCCCAGAGATCATCCTTGTCCTACTGCTTGCATGTGTGGTACCCACTCCAACCACGAAGAGTTTGAGGCGGCCTTTTTACTACCTCTTTTCCACAGACTCTTGTGATCTTCAACAAGGAAACTGGAAGGAACATCAGTGGACAATACTGCTCTTGAATCATATTGGAAGGAATCTTGTCAGATCCTTTTAACTAACTCACTGCAGAAAACATTCAGGCAGTTAATTATTGGGTTCGTATTTTACAATTAAAGAATAAATTCAGGCCAGATGCACTGGATCATCTGTATAATCACACCACTTTCAGAAGGGAAGTGAGGGAAATCCCATGAGACCAGGCAATCAAAACCAGCCTGGGCAACACAAAGAGACCTTATTTATATGAAAAAATAAAATAAAAAATAAGGAGGGGATGAGTGGCATGCCCCTCTAGTTCTAGATATTCAAGAGGCTAAGATGGGAAGAATATGAGTCAGGAGTTCAAAATTACAGCGAGCTATGATCACACCACTGCACTTTAAACTGTGTGACAGGGTGAGAGCCTGTATCTAAAAGAAAAATCAAGAACCAGTTAAGAATTTCACATAACTGTAAAGCTACTCAAATAGGAAATGTTAAACTGAGCATGTTCATAGATTCTCTGGCGTTTCTGATGTTTTTAAGCAGATGGCTGACCTAAGACCTGCAGAATGAGCTGGTAGTCCTTGATTGTGAGAAGCTTCTACCCAAGACATCAGACCAGGACCCTGTTTAATTCCCCTTCCCCTCCTTTTTTTCATTATCCTTTGCTTATATTTCTAAAGTCATCTCATTTCTGTAGACCTGCGTGTTGTCCACCCACACTGAACCCTTATCTTCTTTCTTATTAATTATTTTTATTCCTGCTGCATAGAATAAGTTGTCACACTATTTTTGGGTGCATGACTGCTGATGATTTAAAGCATATTCCTCCATCATCTCCTTTTTTGCCACACAAGGTGGCTCTAGTTTGAAATCACAGGAGCTTCTTCATTCGATGCCAGGGGGAGTTTCAAACCCTGCAAACCCCTTTCTGTGAGTGGGAAGCCTCACTCTGCCCCCAGGACCAAACCATCATAAAAATGCTGAGCCAGTCTCCTTTCTTCTTCTTTCAAGCTGTTTCAGATTTTCCTGGGAGACCTGCCCTGCACTCACCAGACACCTATAGAGTGCAAATAATAAACTTTTCCATATTCACTTTCTCTGAGTGTGTGACTTCATCAGACACGACATTCAAACTAAATCTTAGTTGTAATCTCTTGGCTTTGTGTGGTGTCAACTACAGCTGAGGGTGTGAGCTTGGTGTCACTGGTTCTATCAGCCGGACACCCTGGGTCCCTGAAACAACTCCAGGACAGAGCTGGACATGTGATATAGATTGATTTCGTATCCCCATCAAAGTATCATCTCAAATTGTAATCCCCACATGTCAGGGGAGGGACCAGGTGAGAGGTGATTGGATCATGGGTCCAGTTTCCCCATGTTGTTCTCATGGTAGTGAGTGAGTTCTAACAACCACTGATTGTTTAAAAGTATGTGTCACTTCCCCCCTCTCTCTCTCTCCTGCTGCCCTGGGAGATGTGCCTTGTTTCCCCTTCACCTTCCACCATGATTGTAAGTTTCCTGTGGCCTCCCCAGCCATGAAGAACGGTGAGCCAACTAAATCTCTTTTCCTTGTAAACTACCCAGTCTCAGGTAGTTCTTTATACCAGTGTGAAAATGAACTAATACCACATGACTGGTGGAGTTCGATAAACTTTTTTAGTGACATAAAATTATGCCATTATTTTTCTATATTCTAGCATTTCTCTAAAAATACAGAGATGCCCAGGGCTCATTTATGTGTATATTCAAGAGTCTCTGACTTTTCATGTATTTTATTTATCTCTGTCTAATTCTTTTGATACCAAATTATACCTACTATAATTAGTACTGTCATTAATGGAGTTAAATTAAAAATAATAATCTCCATATGAAGTGTTCAATTTTACAAATGGGTCATAGACATCATCACTAGCAACATAGATAACAAGTCAATTCCCTCAAAATTTTGTCTTGTACTATAATTCCTCCTTCCTAGTCCTTCCCCTCTCCTACAATACTCACAGTGAACTACTGATTTTTATGTAACTTTAGATTACTTTTTGTTCTATAGAATTTATGAAAGTTGTATCTTATGTATGCACTTTTGTTACTTTGGCTCATTTTACTCATCACAAGTACTTGTGAATTTAACCATGCTGTTGAGTGTACCCAACATTAGTTGATGGTAGTAGTGGATAGTATGTCAATGAATGACTTTTCCTCAATTTGTTTACCAGTTAAGCTGGTGATTGACTTTTGGGTTGTTTTTAATTCTAGGTATTATAAACAAAGATGCTACTCAGCTTAGAGAAGTACACAGCTAGGAAACACATTGTTCTTATTGTTACAACAGCATAAATAACGAAGCTGGAAAAGCTGCACATTAATCAGGTTTATTGAATATATCAGGTAATAAAAGTTATAGATTTTGGTGTGTTGTGGGGTGGGTGTATGTAAGTTTCTGTGTGAGAGAGAGAGAAGAAGGGAGAAAGGAAGGCAGAAAAAGAGAGGAATCTGACATAATTGACCACAATTTATGAGATTCTCCAGTAATTGCGGGGAATTAGTCCTTATGGACAAGGCTGATGCACCTAGCTATGGACACCTAGCAAGAGGACAACTTGACACAGCTAACTATGGTTATGTATTTATATAAATATCATTTTCTAATCATACACTCTCATGCGTTAGAATAGACAAAGTGGAGTGTGTCTAGTGGTGAAATATGATGGTGTCACAAAACCCCTCATCCAGCCCCTTTCAACCCCAGCTGCACCTGCCCTGAAGCTGAGCTTTGAGCCTGCTCTGAGTCCCCACAATTGTCCTGAGTCCCCTGCTGTACGGAGCACCTTTTGGGGTCCTGGTTTTCCTCCATGTTTCCTGAGAACCCTTGGCTACCTGAGGGCATCTACAATGGCCTTGAGTGCCCCTTGGTGTCCTGAGGAATCCTGGGGTCCTGAGTAACTGTGGCTGTCCTGTGCACCCCCACAGGGAGGTTTGGGTGTGAGTTCCCACTGTGGTTACCTTACTGTGTCTTTTGTTAAAAATACATGGCTGTGTGCTTGCGGCTCACTTAGCTCGGCTGTAGGAAGAACTGCTTTTTGGACATGGATCTGGAGATGGTGACTGGACTCTTGAGGAGTGGGTTGGAATGTGCACTCCCTCATGACCTGTGCACCGGATTCACTCCAGTCCCTTCCTGGGGGGTTTATGAATGCAGCTACAGCAGGAAGCACTGGTTGTGATGGGGAATCCAGAGACAGCACAGGTGAGGGAGAGGGTCTGTGAGGGCTTCACCAGGCCAAGTGGGCACTGAGAAACACAGTTGTTGGCATGCACAGGTTCTGGAGAACACATTGAAATTCCCAAATACATACACTTTTATGAGAATAAAGGGCTCATTTGTGTTCAATTTGTGAGTCTCCTAGAGTAATGCAGTGGATACTGAGGTTAGATTCTGACAAATTTATTGTCACATTTTTCTCCATACTTGGAACCAAATAATAAAGAGAAACTAATGTCAGGAGAATAGACATTGAACTATCTCTGTTCATGGTGATTTTCAGAATAAGACTGAGATGTGATCACCTGAAGGGTGTCCTAATGCTTAACCCACAATTAGACCTGAGCAGCAATCACTGGCGGTGGAGGTCACCCACAAGGAGAAATACCTGACTCACTGAAGCTGCACCTGGCGGGGGGGGGTCTCTGCAGGCTCTGAGTCGTGCAGGAACAGCTCCTCCCTTAGACTCAGAGTGAGGAAAATCTCTGCTCTTTCTCTGGGGGAGGTGAGGGTTAGTGTGTGGAAAGAACCCAACTTACTTTAATAAAGATCTCTGTACTTGAACAGAAACAAAGAATGTGAGAAAAAACTAATTTCATTTTAAATAGAACAATTTCTCATGAGGAAGGCAATAATATGTCTGGATCTTACACAGAATTAAGAAACAATAAATTTGGGGTAAAGTTGAAAATTACAATTTCTTTGCAGGTTCTGTTCCTAATTATCTATGTCATCTGAGAAAATGAAGTAAAATCATGGTTTTATATAAAAATTCACAAACAGGGTGCTGGACCTGAGAATGCACCTCCCATCTCTCCAGCATCAGGGAGCCCAATAGAACAGGCAGCCAGCTGCTGCACCGCACTCTAACACCCGCCACCTGGTGTGTGCCAAAGACACCCATCCTGGGAGCTCCTCCCAGACAATGGCTGTGCACAGTGAAGACACTGAGACATGGCTGCTGCTGGGACACATGGGACATCTCTGATGGACAACTGTGCTCAGGGAGGCACAAATGGCCTCGTTGGACTTAGCTTAGACCACAGGATACTTAGGGCAGCTTCATCAAACTCCCACCCTCCTCCAGCACTAGTGGTGAGATTGACCTTCTGGGGTAACAATGTCTACAGACTCCCTGGCCTCCTGTGCATTTTTATGCCTCCAATACTTACATCTGCCTTTGCAACAAATGAGAATGTCCAGAGACCTCAGGGGTGGCCACAGAAGCATAAATGTAGAGAGGCTCCCAGGGAAACTGTTAGATGCAGAGGAAGCCTCAGACCCTCAAGGAAAGCAGCCCATGATGACCATCTGCACCTGCCCTAGAGCTTCCCCTGTTTTCTGTGGGTCCTGAGTGCCCTTTTAGCCCAGACTCCTCCCTTATTTCAGGAAATTCTGTGTCTGTGTTCACACTGATGTCTTCTTACCTGGTGCCTCACATACAGTAACACACAGCTGTGCCCTCTGCTCTCAGACTGTTCATTTGCAAACAGAGTGAGTTCTTGGCATTTTCTTTGGAGATGGTGAATCTGCTCTTCACAGATTGTGCATAACATATCTGACTTCTATCGTACTATATATCTACTACTCACTCCAGCCCCTTCCCTGGAGCCTGGGAATCTGAGCTCATTCAGTAGCTACTGAAGGTTAATCCAGAGTCTGCACAGGAGAGTCTCAGGGATCCCCCAAGTTGTCAAGTTGTCTTTGGTTTTCTTCAGACTCCACCAGCTGTACCTCACACTGGACACCTGCAAACTTTGTAGGTGTCCTGGTCAGAAAGTTCCAGACATATCCACTGTTTCTCTCAAGTGTATCCATTCACACTCAATCTCTCTAGTTCACCTTTTAAAACAGCAACAGTGAAAACCCAGCTCAGCCCAAGCTCCATGGTGGGTCCTCTGTCTTTAGTCCTGATCACCAAATGGAAACCCCTGGGAATCCCAGGGCTGGCGCTTCTCTCCCAGAGCTATGGGGTCAGGACTGGTCATCAGCAGAGGGAGAAACCTATTTGCATGTCTCCTACTGTATAGCAAGCTCTGGGATGGGAATCCTGAGGAGGGGCAGGGCTCAGAGCAGACAAAGTGCCCCCGAGATTGGTAGTCATCTTATCACTCAGGAAAATATCATTATATTATGTGATTGTGCCTTGATAATCATTTAGCAGTCATCATCTTCTTTTTGACATATTTGTAGAATACATTTAATGTAAGTGTCAATGTTGCATTTTAAGGAAGATAAATTACATACAGAACAGAGTGTTTATACAATGCATTCAAAGTCACACAGCTGGACAGAGTTAACCCCATTATCTCAGCCTGTGCCTCTGACCACTAGAGGAGACTGCTCCCCTGAGACAACTCCAGGGCAGTGTGGGACACACCTAGTGAGGTCTGCAGGATTCCACCCCTGCCAGGACATCTCTGTTTTCTTTTAGTGTATTCAGCCGTTTACCGGAAGTATACGGAGAGAACCAGTGTTCAAGCCTGTGTACTTTCAAGAGTCTGAGATGTTTCCAGTGTTCATACCCATCTATTTTTTGTTCCTCCTCAGTAAACATATTCATGTGTTTATTTGTTACTGCTTTTTTTAAGTACAATTAATAATTAATTCAAATCTACACTGCACAATTTGGAAAATGGTAACGTATGTGTGCAAACTTTAATCAGGTTGTGTACAATTAAGTTAACCCCTAAATCTTTCTGTCACTTCTCTGTAATTTCATCTCACCAGCCAATTACTTTCAACACCCGTTTCTCACAAATTTCAAATCTGCTCTGTTACTTTAGAATAGTTGGACCTTTTGCAGTTTATACAATTAGAAGTTTATGAATTGCACTCTTAATTCTTCAGCTACTTTCACTCAGCAGAGTTATTTGAGAATGTAGACATGCTTTTATGAGAATGAGGATGCCTTGATTCTAATTCTGCATTGTACTTTAGTTCATAATCATATGTCAAATTGTTTAACGTTCACCTGTAGTGGATATGGATATTTGATTTGTTCCCTTAGTTTCTGGCTTTTATATAGAAAGTGGCTACTCAGTGTGGGAATGTGAAAAATGAGAAAACTATGGTCTTATTCTGACCTCATTAACAACAAACCTGAAAAACTGAATAAATGAAGAAGAAAACCTTTTAACATATCTGAGTTGCTTTCACAGAGCTAACGAGAAGACTGAAATGTGAGGAGAGAGATGCCAGCAGAGAGGAGTGGGGCCCACATGTTGGTGAACCCAGGGCAGGTGCCACTGGATGGCATTGAGAGAGGAACAGGCTAACCTGGAAATATTTCGTGAGTATTTTTTTTGGATGCATGTGCTAATGGTATTGGAGTGTGAATCTACTAGTCCTTGCAGGATTTTCCCAAGAATTCGAAAAATCTACAGTCAACTCCCTTATCTGCTGTCCTGTGGTGCTGACAGGAAGGGAGGAACAGCGAGGACTGTTGAACGCCTGGATCCACCTCCACTGTCTCCAGGGGAAATCCAATCAAACCTGTGACCTATGGGGTGTGGTGGAGTCAACAGAAACTAAAGAAAACAGAAAATTCCCAAAGAACTACATCTAGAAGAAATTCTTAATCTGCAGGGTAAGTTCAATGGAGGAGAAGCTGAGGACACTGGTGAGAAACCATTGTGGTTGGGAAGACACTCTACCCCTGGGGGAAGAGGTACAGACAGGAAAATTGGGAGGGTCACCCCCAGAACTATGATTTTTACTCATGCATAAGAAGGAGGCTGATTCAGAAGGTTGGAGAACGTCCCCATTTGTTCAAGCCCCTTCTCCACATGGTCAACAAGTCTTCAGAATAATGAAGTAGCTGCCCCAGCTCCATTCTGACTTCTGTCATATGACAGTTTTTTGTGGATTTGCTTTCTGCTCTCTCATGATTTGTTTCTTCTCTCAACTCATAGCTCTATTCTCCTGTTAATTCTCAGTTTATTGAAGAGGTTCATATTTAGCTTAGAACATTACAATTTTTGGAAGAAATTTTTGTCTTAAACACACCAAATCTAATGAGCTCTCTCCAGGGATGCCCATCTGCTTTTTTGTCTTCCTTTCCTATGGGATATGGCCCTTTTTTCTCCCTGAGTCCAGCTCTTATATTCATATGCATAAGGAGTCCAACCATCACACACCCAGGGACATCTTGGAGGAACGGACGCTGCCATCCGTCTCCTCAGCCTTCATGTGCACAGTGGCCACTCTCTCAGCTGTTGTATGTGCTTTAGGGCTTTCCATTTAAAAGTGTCTTTCACTTTCCCCCCAAATAAAGTTCCTGGTCCTTAAATACCTTGATGAGCTAGTCTTCTTTTCTGTCCCTCTGTAGTTAATATGGTTTTATTCCATTAATATTCACTGGGGACATCAGTGAAAAGGGAAGTGACCAGCCATCCCATCCATTGTCTGACTTCTACCTGACGGACCCACCCATGAGCTTTACTCCACTGCTCTGCAGCTGATGGGACCATCTGGACCTTTATTAATAAGAGATGTGTAATTTATTAGAGAATGACTGAGATCAGCAGGTGCCTGAGTGCCTCAGAACACAGGTGTGTCCTGCAGTAGAGTGTGTGTGACTGAAATCACACGTGTGTATAACTCGTGGCCTCAGCCCAGAAGGTGATGGCAGCTTCTGGCCATTCGTAGGTAGCCCGATGAGGGGTGTCCAGAGAAGGATGGATGCAGGATGTGGGTTTTAGAAAGTGATGTGGGGTTGGGGCCACTGACGGCCAAATTTTATTTTAAGTCTATTCTGTCCTTGGCACTTGGGGAAGACTGGGAAGAAAGGAACAAAACTCAGACCCCATGTAGCTCCCCATTTAGGAAGAGATTCAGTGCAAATTTAGAAAGTTGAAGAAATAGACTATACTGCAGGGATCATTTCTATAGTCGGTTTGAGGTGGTTGAAGAAAAACAGTGACGTTGGTGATGTTGGTGTGGTTTTCTGTGACATACTAAGGAGACAACAGAAGATGGGCAGTGACCAGTCTCCATCCAGCTGGTACCCCTTGTCTATGTGTTATGTCCAAATAAAAGATAAAAGAAAACATTTGTGACACACACACAAGGGCTGGTTTCAGAGACCTTGCTCAAAAATGGCCAACAGGGTCATGACACATTTTTATATGAGAGCTACTATTTTTACCTACTTCACGTGGAAATCTGAGAGAAGTGTCCAGCCTCAGGGGGCTGCTCCTCCCTCCACGAACCAGAGCTAACAGAATTACGTGGTATCAGTCTGTTTGGATCTTCATAAGAAGACAACAGGAGTGGGTGGGTTAAACAACAAATATTGATTTTCTTACAATTCTGCAGTCTGAATGTGGAAGATCAAGGAGCTGTAAAAATTGGTTCTTAGCGCGGCTTCTTCCTGGCTTGCACAGGGCCACCTTCTAGTGCACTACGTCTCCTCACGGCTTCTTCTCTGTGTGCACGCGAAAAGTGAGAGGTCTCGGGTGTCTCTTCCTCTTCTTATAAAGACAACTGGTTTATTGAATTAGGGTCTCACACTTTGACCACATTTAACCTTAATTACATCATTAAAATTCCGGTATAGATCCATTGGATTTAAGGTTTGGGTAAATGAATTTCAAATAGGCACAATTCCATTGATGACACAAATCAAGAGATGGTGAGAACCATATATATATACGGTGTGTTTATATATAATATACATATGGTGTGTATATATATATTATATATATCGTGTGTATATATATAATATATATGGTGTGTATATATAATATATATGGTGTGTATATATATAATATATATGGTGTGTATCTATATAATATATATGGTGTATATATATGGTGTGTGTGTGTATGTGTATATATTTATACACACACACATATACGGTAAAATGAGTCACGCAGGAACTTGTAGGAAAGTTCCTAGTAATTGGTGAAACCTCAACAGTAAACAGAAAAATTGTCTTCCTCCTTTCTTGTCTGCCACAAGGATGTGAGGAAGCAGAACCACAGACAATAAAGAAACAGGAGCCCTGGGGACATCTGAGTGCTGGCGAGGAGGGAGATCACTGAGCTGATGAGGAAGCCCCGCCCTCCCTGCACCTGCTCCTGACCCGGCCTCGGGCTCTGTGGCCTCGCGCGCCCCCTGTTGGTCCTGAGCAGCACCTGTGCCCGCCCCCTCTGCCTATCTGTAGGGAGGTTTGTGTCTGGGCTCACACTCACCTCCCCTCACTGTGTATCTCGCACAGTAATACACGGCCGTGTCCGCGGCGGTCACAGAGCTCAGCTTCAGGTAGAACTGGTTCTTGGACGTGTCTACGGACATGGTGATTCGACTCTTGAGGGACGGGTTGTAGTAGGTGCTCCCACTATGATGGATTTCCCCAATCCACTCCAGCCCCTTCCCTGGGGGCTGGCGGACCCAGATTCACCAGTTACCACTGCTGATGGAGTCACCAGAGACAGCGCAGATGAGGGACAGGGTCTCCGAAGGCTTCACCAGTCCTGGGCCCGACTCCTGCAGCTGCACCTGGGACAGGACCCCTGTGAACAGAGAGAACCACGGTGAGCCCTGGGATGAGAGGCAGCATCTCATATCTTCAGGTCTGGATCCCTGAGGCACTCACATCTGGGAGCTGCCACCAGCAGGAGGAAGAACCACAGGTGTTTCATGTTCTTGTGCAGGAGGCCCATGAGTCTCAGAAAGTATTTCCCATGTGAGCTGGATCCCAAATTTAAGGAAATGTGTGCTGGTTTCCTGTAGGTGCCTAAGTGAGGATTTGCATGTGGGCGGTGACTTTGTATGGACAGGTGAAAAGGGAGGAGGGAGGCCCCAGTCTTTTGGGCTCGCCCTGGGAGTAGGAAGCTGGCTGTGCCCTCTGAGAACTCAGTTCTCTTCCTGTGGCCTCCCCTTACCAAGCCCATAGTCCTCTTCTTCCAGGTAGGGAAATGTGCTGAAGATGCTGGTCTGGGAGATCAGTGTGATCTTGGATCAGGGACAGATTTTGGAATAGGTTCAATGCTGTTCTATCCTTGAAGATTTATATAAAACAAACCACACACCCAGGTCATCTAAATTGTCATTTACCCCTTCAGACACATTGAAACAGCAGTGGAGTGTAATAATCACAGTGAATTCAGACCCTGGATCCATGCAATGTTTATTGTAGTTCAGAACATCCATCATGGTTAGAAGGATGCTCCCTGTCCCACGAAGTGGGTTATTTTTAAATAGCCCCTGAGAGCTGCCCTTCTGAGACCTTTTGAAATTTGGGTTTCTGCCTGAGATCTCAGGAGAAGGTAGTGGAATATATCTCTGTCCTTCTCAATGTGGGATCCTGAAGATGTGGCCTGACCTCTAAACACTTCTGTGTGAAAAGATGTAGATTGCGATAGCAGTGTCAACTTCAAACATAAACTCTATAGTACATCATCACTGGATGATAGTCTCATCACCAAGATTAATGCAATTACCTTTCCTGGGAACCAGAGAGGACTTCTGGGACCCCTCCCCTCTGAGAACACAAGGAACTCTGGTTCTTCCCTGACAGGTCACACCTGTGAAACATGGCTGGACAATGACACTTAAGCCCAGAGTCCTTACACACATATTTACCAGTTCAGATCCATCTGTCTCTGAAAGACTTTCTCCTCGATTCAATTGCATGAACATACCCTAGGATGTGCAATATTGCACATTGGGCCTTTGACATTACTTTGGTTAATTGTATAATAAATAATGTATCTCCATGGATGTGGGTAACAGGAGAGTCAGCAGAAATTGGGAGTGTTGTAAAATCAGATAAAACTGAGCTCTCTTCTTAGGACCTGAACAAGTGGGCTGACCTTATGTGAGACAACAGGGGGAACCAGGTGAGCCAGGTGAGCTCCTTACATACCAGGTGGTCTCTGGGCCTATTGTCTGAATAGATCCAGAAAGATCTTCCTCATCCTCAGAAGAATTATGAACATTGAAAGAAATTGAGATAAATTTTTATTTACAGAGATTAATTCATAGGCTTGTAGACATCTACCTGTGTGGAGTACAAGGTTGCTAGGATATGCTCATACACAGACCAGAAATAATTATATTTTGTGGAAAGTAACCAAAGAACTTCTGAATTTGTAGGTATTGCTTGCCACAAATGTGTCAGGTCACTAGATCATGTTATGATGCTAGAGGTAAAAACTTCTCAACATTGTCACCGAGACAAAAATGCAAAAATGTAAAAATTCAATAGAGATTCCCTTGAAAATCACCAGTAATGAACAGGCTGAAAGAAATCAACCATTATGGAAAGAGTGGTCATTAAATGAAACAGTAAATTCCATGCTGAGGTGAGAAGGAAGTTCCATCTGACAGCTCATTTTCACCTTTGCAAAGACTTCAGAGCACAGACTAAGAGCAGAGCGTGAACTTAGGGCAAACAGAAGCCAGATGTTTGAGGAGGTTGGAGAGTGAGCTGGAGTCATTGTGAGCCATTCAGAAAAGCAGAGTGTTCCAGGGTGTATTGAGTCCTCCTGAGTTAAGAGGTGCTGAATATATGCAAGTTTCACTGCCCTCATTGCATTTTATTCTCCAGACTCTCTTGGATGTCCAGATTTGAACACGTGGAGTGTTGATGGAACTCATGATAACTAGGAACTTTTCAGTGAAGGTGTAGGTAACAATGTGGGTATAATTAAATTCGGTTTATGAAAATATTATTATCCGAAATGTCAAAGTCAGTACCTATTAATTTATCTTTCTTTTGTATTTACAGGCAAGACTTGTTTTGTTGCCCAGGCTGGAGTGCAGACTCACCTATTAATTTTACAGCATAAAAATGATCAGCCCAATTTATGTAGTCCTATTATCTCTATCAAGGATATTTAGGTCCATGTGGCCTGCGACATAGCTCTAGTCACTGAGGGAAAAGCGGTGGTTTGTTGAGTTGATGCTGCTTCTTCAGAGCGGAATTTAAACAATCAACTCCTCACCTCACCCAGTCTATTTTTACAATTTTGGATGACGCTTGGGAATGCAGTTGCCATTTCTTACATAATGGGAGTTGACTGTGCCGTGAAGGTAACAGGAAGATGTGTAAATTTAAAGCCTGGTTACATAACCTGCTGAATTTTAAAAGACTAGAGCCAATCACGTTCTGACATCTTGTTTAATTAGTTCTGAATTTATCTTTCGTTGGTTACTTCAAGTTCCCCTAATTCACTTTCTGCTACAGTAGTCACATACAATAATCTTGATATAGTAAAATAAAAAATAACTAATTTGAAAATGAACCCGACTTCCAGGAGAGGTGAACATTTCTTTGGGGTGAATGGTGGGAAGGGTGGAGACATGGTTGAACACTGAGGTTGTGCTCACAATTGTTTTATTTTAATTAGGGGAACTTCTATATATCCCTTAAATTTATAAGACACTCCCAATGAGAACCTTGAAGTCAAGTAATTAGTTGATAGAACACAACAACAACGATGCTGAAGGTTATTGAGCAGGAATTGCTATCACAACGTTAGCCTTGCTTTACAACACATTTTTCTACCTGATGAGAAATTAGCCCAGGTGCGCTGATGAGAGCTTGTCAGTTAACCAAAGACCAGGAAATGGGTACACGTGTTTCTGGAGCAGGGCATGGCTTTGGGATGCTTTGTTAACAAAGTGGCTTCTCACGTCTTCTGGAAAACCCATCAAAATGGGCAAATTAAGGACCTCTTAGGAGCACCCGTCTATCCCACATTCCTGGCTAATATTAAAGCGGAACTCAATGCAAACTTAGATAAAATGGAAGTTTAGAGACATGCTGCACCACTGCCTCAGCTCATCACAGCTGCCTCCTTCCTCAGGGTTTCTAAAACTCTCGGGATGTGGGTTTCCACACGGTGTACCTCACACAGTAATAAATGGCTGCATCCTCAGTCTTTAGGCAGCTAGTCTGCAGATCCGCCGTGCTGACAGAGGTGTCCATGGAGAAGACAAACCGTGTGTGAATCTGTGGGCATACATTGGGTTCACCAGGGTAGGATGATCCATCCCATCCACTCAAGCCCCTGTCCTGGGGTCTGTCGTATCCAATTCATACCATAGGTGATGACAGTTTAACCAGACACCTTGCAGGAGACCTTCGCCGAGGCCCCAGGCTGCTTCACCTCAGGCCCAGACTGCACCAGCTGCACTCGGGAGTGGGCACCTGTGGAGAGGAGACAGCAGTGGGTGAAGTCTCACATGACTGGCCTGGTTTCTCCCTCAGCCCTGGGACTGGGGAGTCCCTTACCTGTTGCTGCTGCCACCAAGAAGAGGATGCTCCAGGTCCAGTCCATGGTGAGGAGCTGTGATCTAGGGGATTCTCCCAAGGAGGGGTGTGGTTGTTGGGTGATGCTCTCACGGCACAGAGATATCTGTATTAACCTTAGTGATTTGCATATTCACGAAGGATGCTATTGAATAGCCCAATTCCTGAGCCAGGATGAGATAGAGCAAATACATGACAGATGGACGACACAATTGTACATGCTGAGGGTTCAAGCCGTAATCCTGTTAGAGGCGATGCGACCCCTACACATCCCTGAACTCTGTGTTGACAGAGCTTCCTCCACTGGAGAACAAGCTCCCTCAGGACACGCACCTCACTTTGAACCCACATTCGAATGCACCAGGGACAACTTGAGCCATTTCTAGACCTTAATATGTGAATGCGTTATTTTGGGAATTAGTATGTTTCTCCAAAAATTGCACTTATTTAAAAGAAAGGATCTCTTCTTGACCTCCAGCTGCTTACTATTAAGATATCTAGGGGAGTTTGAAATCCCCATTGTAAAAGTGGTTGTCATTACAACATCCAGTTTGATAAATGCTCACAATTGAATAGGATATTTATACAAACAACAGCAGCCCTTGTGAAATACTTATTTTAGATATTTTCAAAGGAAGTCCCAGGCCCTGAGAGGAACCCCTCCCCAGCCTCCTGTGCACCTGCTCTGGGGCGGGAGACTGTGCTGCGTTTATCCTGAGCACCCCCTGCAGCCCAGCCCCTACCATGCACGAGGCTTTCTGTCTAAACTTACAGAGTATATTCATACCAGTGTCTCTAGCCCAGTATAAAGTGGCTGTGCCGTGGCTCAGAATTCTCCTTTAATGACAGCATGTGCTTCTCACACCATCTTTTGAAATAGTGAATTGCCCTTAGGAAACCCAGAGAACTCTGCAGGGAGACCTGAAGAAAAGATCTCAGGCATCACCGGGGAGCCCCTTCCTGGAGCTCTAGAGGCACTGAATCACTGGACACACGGTAAACCCAAACACTCTTCAGGGGTTTGGGGAGATTCTTGTTTCCTTTAGGGTCAGGCAGTTGATTATTGCACCTGAGACTACCTGCAGGTGCAGGTGCATGTGGATAGAAGCCCACTCCAACTCTAGTATTCAAATCACACCTACACACACACACACACACACACACACAGTGGCTAATTTTTACATTAATTGGCCCCATGTTTTTCCTTTTTTTCTGGTATTCATGTCATGGAAAGCACTCCCTACACTGACACTAAGGCTGAGTATGTGTTTACTTTCTGCAAATAGAAGTAAAGTAAACAAAATACAAGTGGACACCCGGGAAGTGCATGCACATTGAATTCACCTGGTCTCACTTTGGAACCCTGAAGATGCTCCATGAAAAGTAAATTTGAGGCCAATGAGGGTGAAATCATTTCCTTGGTGCTGAAGTTGCTGGTGTCAGAGGCTTCAAATTGCCATATTTTCTTTAACATTTTTTCTCTGACTTTCCTCCTCAGATAGAGTTTGTGCATTGCCACGCTCTCATATTTAATCCATATTGACTAAACTGGTGAGACATAATGTGTGGAACACGGAAGCATTACATGTTCTTACAGTTGCATTTTAATTCTGTGGTGATCTTCTTTCTCTGGGCTGTGCCCGATACAGGAAGTCTCCAGGTGTGAAGCTGATTTTTGCTCTTTTCTGGATGGAACATCACAGGAAAATTTTCTTAAATGTACCCCTATTGGCTAATTTTACCCATTTTCATGATAAAGTTAGGCTGCTGGCAGGGGCTTCTAATGGGTATGGATTACCTTTCCCCACATACATAAGGGTGTAAAAATGCCCTTTCCCTGGGTTGTCTGTCTGAAGAAGGTCTGAGTGATTTTATCAGAGATTTGGTCTCCTGGCAATAGAGCCATGAAGGGATCTGTGTGGATTCTCACCCTGAGGACCTGGAGGTTCCTGGAGGAAAGGGCAATAAGAGTAAGGGGGGTGGAGCTCCCAGAATCTCTCACCCTCATGCTAGTCCAGACATGCCCTTTATTTATATTTAGTTCAGGTTTTCATATAACAAACCACGCAGCCAGGCTCATTTAAATTATCCATACTCAGTCCATATAGGATCAGCAGCTGAGTATAACAATCACATTGAACTCAGACAAAACTGGGCCCAATCCAATGTTTACTGTAGCTCAGAACAGCTTTACTGACTCACTGAACTTGGAGATTATTTCTTCCCTGAAGGAACTGTGAGGGTTGCTGTGAAGCCTCTGCAGGGTTGGATTTTTTTTTGCATCAGCCTGTCATGCAGGGTATTCTGAATGATGTAGACCTTTACACTTAGATGGTAATTATTCCTAGTGTTGTGGAAATGGCTGGCAGTCCTCAATTCCGTTAATTCCTTTGGTTCATCTGAGTGTCTACAAGAATCTGATGAACCTCAGGACTCTCCTTCATAGAGGACTGCAAAGATTGTCAATAGACTCAGTGCTATGGACAGAGGGAGCTAATGGAAGATTCTCAGTCCACTGATATGTTGGGTGAGCAACTTAGGACACATCCAAGAATGAACCATTTTTGTCAATGCCAATCAATATTAAATTCAAAGTCAAGATTTTCAGTAAACTGGAGTGTAAAATTTTCATGATTCTGGACAATGGGGTCTCAAACTTCATGGTATGCAGAAGAAATGAGCTCATCATGGTTAGACAGAAGCTTCTTTACCTAGGAAGTTAGTTTTTCAAACTAAAGCACCAGAGACATGGTTTCCTGAGATCTTGTGAAAATTTATCTACTGGAGAAAAAAATCAGAAAAACTGATCTCAAATAATTGAAAGAAACCGTATAAGAAATTTTTAACAACACAGCCATGAAACTCCAGCCATGAAACTCCAAAAAACTCCAGTCAATTTTTTGGTTCATGTCTTACAACTCAAGAAGCAATGAAGAAATCTGCAAAATTGGAAGCTTTCTCCAACAGAGATCATTTTCCCTAATTGAGCAATAGAACAGTATTTATAAAGAGATACTTTTTCATGGGACCTCCAACTTACACAGATTTCTGTGACCTGAAGAATTTTCCCTAAAAGAATCATCCTCTAGACATCTGTGTATGCAAAAATACATTGTGTATATTTGTGTATGATTAATCTGTAAAAGCCTTTGGCATATTGAACAAACTTCATGTAAAGGTGATAACTTTATCACTTACTGTGCACTCACACTTTACTTGTTTCAAAAGTTCATCACCCTTGTGATGCAGCAATAGGTGCGTTTGAGAATGTGCTGTTGCTTCAAGTGAACACATTCTAGATCCTCATTTGACTTCGCGGTTTCATATTGAGTATCGACATACCTATGACTGAAAGCCCAACATTTTTATCCAACTGAGTTTCCTTTTATGATATCATTCTGAACCCTGCTAACAGCCTCCATCATGCATGCTTCCAATCTTTTGCTTTTGAGGGAGTAAGGGATAAAATTAATCCTTGCTTTAATGTGAGACGCTTTCTTGACTTCTATCATATTTATTAGAAATTCTCATGGAGAGCCATAATCAAACATTATTTGTTTATGGATCATACCTCAAAACTGAAACTGTTTTTCATAATGGCTATACCACTCTATATTTTCACAATTATGGAAAGCAATATAAAGGCACCAAATGAATTAAAACTGGAAATGTTATATGACCAGAAATTCTGCTTTTAGAAATATACCCAAAGCAGATGAAATTACCACCTTGTTAAGATAGTTGAATCCTATGTTTATTGAAACACTATTAATCTTAGCCAATATATGGAAACAATCTGAGTGTCAGTAGATAGACAAATGGATAAAGACAATGTTGTATTTATACACCATAGAAAACTATTTAATCTTGCAAAACAAGAAGATGCTGCCATTTGCCACAAGATGGATTCATTCCCATAACCACTAACAGGGCACACCATCCATTATAGTTCCTCCCTAGGGGATGGCAGATCCTTACTCAGTAGTAAACACTGGCAGTGATGGGAAGTAGACTTTTATGAACTATTGAATTTTTCAGCATAACATATCAAAGTCTTAAAATATTCTGCTGTGTCCGCATGTGATAAAGTGGAGTCTAATATTAGAGGTAAAATTAAAAGTGCAGGGATCTTCTAGACACCAAGTCATAGCATGATCATGTCTGTGTACTTGAGGGTGTGGACCATAGGTCATGAATACTAGTTGGAGTGGTTTTGACAAAAGATGTTCCAGGGATAAAACTTTCTTCAACTGGCCAGAGGCTGCACAGGTGAGGCAGAGGGTCAGTGAGGGCACTTCCAGTCTAGGGCTGACTCCTGTAGCTGCTCCTAGGACAGGACACTTAGAGATATAGAGTCTCAGTCCCTGTCAGTCACGTGCAGTCACAACCATCCCTATAAGTCAGGTCTGACATCTGAAACACTCAACTTGAAAGCAGTCACTGGGCAAAGGAGAAGAAATAACAATGTCATCACCTTCATGAACACAACTCTGCATTCCTCTCAGATCTTCGCCTTCTCTAAGGACAAAGTGATTGGCTTTTCCATTCCCAATGTTGACTCTGAAGGCTTGAAGAAAAATCTTGATGTGGCACAGCTTTGCCTTTGCCTTTATAAGAGAGAGACTGAGGTCAGACTCCCCTGCATTTGAAAGTTTTATTGTTGTCTCTCTTTCTGGCTGAATTGAAGTACTGCCTTGCCAAAAACCACAGCCATTAAGGGTGATGAAGCCTTCTTGATTCTGATGTTTCAACTTGGGACATACGAACTTCTATATCAATTGATTCATGCAAATCTCAGGAGAATAATTACAAAATAACTCTCTAATTCATCAGTATTACTCCAATACTAGGCTGTTCTTACTGCCAAAAATCTTCTGGAAAGGTTGATGAAGAAATACATAGTAAATTCAATTTTAAAATTAAAATTATCAGAACTTTCAGAAACCCCTGAACACCCTTTGCCAAAGGTAGTGCCACTAGTGTGTATAACCTCTAGTTCACTCCTTCAGGGACACAGGCATAATTACCCTATGACTTATATCTGAAGGTCCATGGATGATTTATTTTACCTCCCATATTAGACTGTGCTATATTACATGCAGAACAACAAAATATTTTAAGAGATTGATATTTGCTGTATTAGTCTGTTTTCACACTGCTAATAAAGACATACATGAGACTGAGTAATTTATAGAGGAAAAAGTTTAATGGACTTACAGTTACACATGGCTTGGGAGGCCTCCACATCATGGTGGAAGGCAAGGAGGAGCAAGTTTTATCTTACATGGAGATGGCAGCAGACAAAGAGAGGGCAGGGAACTCCCGTTTTTTAAAACCATCAGATCTCATGAGAGTCATCCACTATCACAATAACGCACAAAGAAGAACTCCCTCCATGATTTAATCACCTCCCACTGGGTTTCTCCCACGACACGTGGGAATTGTGGGAGATACAATTCAAGATGAGATTTGTGCAGGGACACAGCCAAACCATATGATTCCAACACTGGCGCCTCTTAAATCTAATGTCCTTACGTTTCAAAACCATTCATGACTTTCCAACAGGCCCCTGAAGTCTTAACTCATTTGAGCCCCAACTCAAAAGTCCACAGCCCATGGTCTTTTCTGAGACAAGGCAACTCCCTTCCATCTATGAGCCTGTAAAATAAAAAACAAGCAAGTTACTTCCTAGGTACAATGGGGGTTCAGGCATTGTGTAAATACAGCCATTGCAAATGGGAGAAATTGGTCCAAACTGCAGGCCACGTGCAAGTCTGAAATCCAGCTGGGCAGTCAAATCTTAACGTTCCAAAATAGTCTTCTTTGACTCCATGTCTCAAATCCAGGTTACCGGATGCAACTGGTGGGTTCCCATGGTCTTGGACAGTTCTGCCCTTGTGGCTTTGCAGGGCACAATCTCCCTTCTGGCTACACTCATGGGCTGTCACTGAGTGTTTCTGGCTCTTCCAGGCACACTGTGCAAGCTGTCAGTGGATCTACCATTCTGGGTTCTGAAGGATGGTGGCTTTCTTCCTACAGTTCCATTAGGTGGTAACCAAGTAGAGACTTTGTGTGGGATTTCTGACCCAGCATTTCCCTGTCGCACTGGGACTAAAGGCACGTGCCACAACACCTGGCTAATTTTTGTATTTTTCGTAGAGATGGGGTTTTGCCATGTTGACAAGGCTGGTCTTGAACTCTTAACTCCAAGTCATCTGCTTGCCTAAGCCTCCCAAAATGCTGGGATTACAGGCCTGAGCCTCCGTGCCTGGCCAAGACGAATGTAACTATGAAATTTAATGATGTATTTGAAAACTTGATGGTCATACAAGCACACATACATACACAACAGCCCAGCAAAGACACATACATGTGCCCATGCAAAAGTGAATGTATATCTAAACACCAAAACAACGCACCTATTTGTTTCATTTTTTTTTTTTTTTTTTTTTTTGAGACGGAGTCTCGCTCTGTCGCCCAGGCTGGAGTGCAGTGGCGGGATCTCGGCTCACTGCAAGCTCCGCCTCCCGGGTTCACGCCATTCTCCTGCCTCAGCCTCCCAAGTAGCTGGGACTACAGGCGCCCGCCACTGCGCCCGGCTAATTTTTTGTATTTTTAGTAGAGACGGGGTTTCACCGTTTTAGCCAGAATGGTCTTGATCTCCTGACCTCGTGATCCGCCCGCCTCGGCCTCCCAAAGTGCTGGGATTACAGGCATGAGCCACCACGCCCGGCCTGTTTCATATTATTCTAATTATTTAACTGAATTTAAATTGTGTTTACAGTTTGAGATTGTAGTACAAAATGATGCTTTTCTACGTGTATGTCTGCCTCTACCAATATTAAAAAGACAAATATATTTAAATACGTGTTTTGGTAAAAATGTATGTAAATGCCATTCTTGTCAAATACATCACTTAAATGTGCAATGGAATTTATTTTAAATATCTTCTGTTTTTAATAAATTGAATAACCAATAAGACAAACGTCACCTTTAAAATTGTATTATATTATTTGTTGAATTTACATTGTAGTTTTCAAACTAGGCAGGAAAAATTGTTTTATTTGAAAAGTTTTGAAAGAAAACTTTTTTGGCATGAATATTCAATACAAACTCTAATCTTAATTGCCAGTATTCCTTTAAAATAGAGAAGATCCAGCAATATGAAACTGAACACAGCCCATGATTTCCAGGACTCACTCACAATGGCATCTTCCTAGAGGGTGGTCTTAGAGAGTCTAAGCACATGGGGATTTGAACGTCATCATCAAAGCACTAGTGAGCCCCAGGGCTGAGCACACACAGGGAAGCAGGAACTGCAGAGCCCACTCTGTGGTACTTAGGGAAGGGAGGGGATGGGATGAGTGTGATGTGTGCAGGACCCTAGAAAAGGGTGAGGAGGGCAGAGAGTCTGCAGGTAGACGAGCATATTCTAAGGAGAACTGTTATCCTCCTAAACTTGGTTGGCTTCAGTGGTTATGAAGAGAAGGGAACTGTTCACCAGACTTGGAGGACAGAAAGTAAAGGGACTTTCTTTATCCTGCATGGAAACTGAGAAAGAAAAAGACTTTCAAAGAAAAAGGGAAGATGAAGAAATAGTCTGAAAAACAGGACACCCGAAGCGAACCAAAGGGGAGAACAAGAGCGTTTAAAGAGGTGTTTAATTTCCAAAAACAGCAAATGAAAGAAAAAGAAACAGAACACCATGCATATGCTGAGTTACAGTTAGAAAATATATACAACTGATTATTACAGCACAAAGACACAAAGCTCTACTTATTGAAACAGTTTGTATTTTTAAGAAAGGGTCTCACTCTGTCAACCAGGCCGGAGTGTAGTGGCACAATCACAGCTCACTGCAGCATCAACCTCCCAGGCTTAAGGGATCCTCCCACCTCAGACTTTCAAATAGCTGGTACCAGAGGTAGCACCACACCTAGCTATTTTCTTTTTCTTTTTCTTTTTGTATGGAAAAGATCTAAATGTGTTGCCAGGCTGTTCTAAAACTCCTGAGCGCAACTGATCTGCCTGCCCGAACCTCCTAAAGTGCTGGGATTAGAGGTATGATTTTAAAAATTTTACTATTTTCAAGATAGTATCATTTTACATAAATAAAATATATAAATAACCAATTTTAAAAATTGTCCTGAGGGAACATTGCTACTATTACTCGGAAAATCTGCAGAATTAAAAGTTGAATTAAATCCCTGTTCTAACTTAATGTTTTGTAGGTAAAAAAAAATCATGGATTTACAAAGAAGAAATGGTGAGAGATCCTGGGGAAGACTTTTGCTTGACCAGGTCGGGAATCACCAAGGTTTAAAACGAAATCACAGCCTCTCAGGCTCCTGATGTGGAGCTGCTTCCTAAGAGAACCCCCGTGTACTGAGCGCCCCCTGGTGGTTCTGAGTGCCCCTGGTGTCATGAGCGCCCCCTCGTGGTACTGAGGGCACTCTGATATCCTGAGCACCCCTGATGCTTCTGAGCGCCCCCAGGTGTCCTGAGCGCCCCCTGGTGGTTCTGAGAGCCCCCTGATGTCCTGAGCACCCCTCATGGTTCTGAGAGCCCCCGATGTCCTGAGCACCCCTCATGGTTCTGAGCACCCCCAGGTGTCCTGAGCTCCTCCTGATGGTCCTGACTGCCCCTTTGTGGTTATGAGGAGCATCTACCATGCAGTTCCCTCCTGTCTCTCTGCAGAGATTTTTGTGTCTGGGCTCACACAGATATTCCCTCTCCTGTGTCCCTCACAGTAATACACAGCCTTGTCCTTGGCTTTCAGGTTGGTCATTGTAAGGTAGACTGCACATGAAAAGGTGTCGCTTGGGACTGTTAATTTATTTGTACTCATGGAGAGTAACTCTGAGAACTCCCACTTGATCACTCACTGTTTCCACCCACACCAATCCCTGTCATGAAGCCTGCTGGACCAAGCTCATGCTGTAGCCAGTAAAGGTGAAATCAGAGGCTTTGCAGGAGAGTCTCAGTGAACCACTGGGCTGTACAATTTTCTGCCTCTGACTCCATCAATAAACTTCACACAGGACTTCTGCAAACACTGAGGAAATGGAAGAACGGCCCCATGTGGAACAGCCGCAGCTGGACCTGATTCACAAGGGACACTAATATTGAGGGTGATGAGAAGGGAAGCCCAGATCAGTGCAGACCCCATGGTGTGGACACTGATCAAGGGAATATACATGGGGTGGCTCCTCACCAGGGCCTGAAGGAACAGGGGATGAGCTGCCTTTCATGAGGAGGGGAGGGGACACATTGCCATGTCTTTCCTTTTGTGGTCATGGGTGCACTGCTCAGCATTGCTCATCCTTCCTCTGTGTCTCCATTTCGGAAGGGCAGGATCAAAGGACTCCTGGGTCTGGATGCACAGGGTTAATCTGCTTATTACTCTTTCTTATTCTCTCGTATGGACAGTGTTCGGGTATCTTCATAGTAGCAAACATTATTAAAAAATATGTCCAGTAAGAACATAAAAATACATTTCCAGAGAAAAGGGATAAATTTCTCACAAAACAGTTAAATATTGGATATAGGTGCTTGTGTAAGGAAACAGTCAATGTGGAAATCCACAGACTTATCTGACTGAAGACATGTTTGCTTGTCTGAGACAAGAGACCACATGATGCAATGTCTGTTTTCTGAGGAAATAGTAAATGTAAGGACAAATGTTGTAATCTGAGGAAAGAGTCCACGTGGGGACATGTGTGTTTGTCTGAGGGAAGAATCCACATGAGTAAAGGTGTGTTTGTCTGACAGAAGAGCCCCCATGTTGACAGGTGTGTGTACCCATCTGAGGGTAAATGCCCATTCAGGGACAGTGTATGCCTGACGTGTGCTGAAGCTTGTAGAAAATCTTTCTCAACCAAGGAAAGAAAAGAATCCTATGAGTTATTTGCTTGACAGAAGGAAAAAAATACTGGATCACGTAGAAATTTTTTTTTATTAAAGGTCTTTAGTGAATGGTAACATCTTACATGCAAATGAGGAAAATGCCTTCATTCTTTGTTGCATATGTCTCATGATATCCCCACCCTCATCAAATAAGTTATTAGATAATTTTACACAGTCTTGTTTAACCCTGGGGTTAATGAACTGCTAAAGTTTTTTTACAAAAATTGTATATATTTAGGTTTATATTTTCTGTCACAAAAGTATGAGCTTAGCCAAATTAATTGTGTTGTGTCTCAACCATTGTATATCACTAAAAACAATTTTACTCTTCTTAAACAGTGCCATTTTTACTTATTTTATACCCACTCTCTAAATTCCTTGAATATCCTCTATATGTTTACCGGACTATAGTTTTGGCTTTGAAAGAATTTCAAATAAATGACATTATACATTGTCATTGAAATGACTTCACTGAGGAGAGTGGAAAATGAAGTTGCTGACCTAAGCAACTTTGAAAATGAAGAAATTCTATAAGTTTACAGTGTAAAGAAACTGCACATAAGCAGTCTGTTCTAGTAGATAAACATGTTTCCAACGAGCTTTACATTTCTGATACTGCTATGCATGTGTCCTGAAATTGTGCAGCTAAGTAATAAAATGGCATATGGTGGGATGGGGTTCCTCACTTTGCAGTGGGTGGTTATGGACAGTGAGGGAAGGAAGGCTGGAAACATCCATATGGTAGCATAGTTGGATGGAGACACCAGTGTGTTCTCATTTTTAATGTAATCACATTACAGAGGATTAGATACATAAATAGTTTCGATGTGTCCATAAACTTGGGTTCCTATAAACATGCCCATTTACTAGGCCAATTGGTGGAGATATCCTAGAAGAAGTACTGATACCACATTAACAACACACATACCCAGGATCACATTTTTAAATTTCAATACTGTTCTTTAACATGAAAAACAAGCAGTCTTTAGAAAAATGGCTGATTCTATGTACAAAAAAGGTAACGTAGAGAACAAGCTTAGAATTTATTGTAATACTTGGAAACAGGGAAATGTCTAAAAACAAAAAGATGAGGTGTGCTGTAAGGATGCAGGATCCAAACTAAATGAGCTCCCAGCACCTAATAAAGCTGTGGTGTTTTGAACAATAAAACAAGTAATGTAACAAGGATCTTCTTCGGAGTATGAAATAGACATCCATAAACCAATAGGAACATCAATAGATGACTAAATAAAGAAATAATGGGAAGGACACATCTCCTTACAGAAGTATTCCAAATGTCTCAGGTGGATAGTCCTCCAATCAGGTAGGGAAGGTTAAACACTCATGAGTTGATTGTGTCCTAAGATTAGAGACATGGAAAAAATAATGACTATTGTGTCTTTTACAATGAGATTTCAGATATACTGCCAAAGACATGATCTTTAAATGAATAAAAATGTACATTTTTAAAATCTAAATTTGTACATACACAGGCACACACACACACAAACATTTTTCTGCAATACACAGGGATAAGGGAGTAAAAGACAACTGCAGACTTGGAGAAAAAAATTCCAAGATGCATATTTGTTAAATGAATTATTTTAATTTGTTAAATGACTTTTATAATCAATATGCAAGCATACTTACAACTGATAAAAAATGCATTTAAAAAATGAACCAAATATCACGAGAGGCATCTCACCAAAAATTATATAAAAATTGTTAAATATGAATTTTTTAGGGACATGTGCATTTAAATAAAAATTAGATACCGTTACTCACCTATTAGAATGGTTAAAACACACAACACTCTTAATGACAAATGACAACTTGAATGAGGAAAACCAAGAACTATCATGCATTGACGGTGGGAATTCAAAATGGGGCATGCACAAAATAAGATTCTTTTTGGCATTTTTTAAAAATAGAGATAAAAGTAGAGTAAAAATGTGATCTTGTGTCTGTGTTCCAAAATATTTACAACACTGATTCAGAAATTGATGTTTACGAAGATGCCTTCAGAGGATGTCTATATCAGCTTTATTAATTTGATTCATATTCCAATCCCTGAAATAGCTTACAGAATAAATGTTGTATGAAAAATCTCTCAATTAAAATTTCACAAATACACATTTATGTTGTTCCTCTTCTTTAATGACTTGAAGTCGTTTTCTAAGAAAATCTTCAATCTAATAACCTTTGTCATCCCCTCCATGCCAGTACAGCTGCCTCCTTCCTGGCGTTTCTGACACTCTCAGGATGTGGGTTTTCACACTGTGTCTGCCGCACAGTAATACACGGCCGTGTCCTCGGATCTCAGGCTGCTCAGCTCCATGTAGGCTGTGCTTGTGGACATGTCCCTGGTAATGGTGACTCTTTCCTGGAACTTCTGTGCGTAGTTTGTGTTACCACTGCCAACGACGATCCATCCTATCCACTCAAGGCGTTGTCCACGAGCCTGTCGCACCCACTGCACAGCAGAGCTAGTAAAGGTGAATCCAGAAGCCTTGCAGGAGACCTTCACTGAGGTCCCAGGCTTCTTCACCTCAGGCCCAGACTGCACCAGCTGCATTTGGGAGTGGGCACCTGTGGAGAGAACACAGGAGTGGATGAAAGCCACCTTGACTGGACTCAATCCCCTCCTCATCACTGGGACTTGGCATCTCCTTGCCTGTCGCTGCTCCCACCAAGAAGAGGATCCTCCAAATCCAGTCCATAGTGAGGAACTGTGCCGTCAGGGGCTTCTCTAGCGGAGGGATGTGGTTTCTGGATGATGCTCTCAGGGCTGACAAATATCCATATTTACCTCAGTGCATCTCAGGTTATTTGCATATTCATGAGTCAGAGCATTTCATAGCTGAAGACCCTGATTTGGGATAAGAAAGGGAAGGTAAATGACACATCAGCCTTACAAGAGTGGGATGCTGATGCTCCAAGCCCTAATCCTCCTTGAGGAAATGCATGCCCTGCTCCATTTACAAACTTTTGGTGGCCAGACGTCCTTTCACTGAAGACCAAGCACCCAGAGCACATGTTCCTCCCTGTGAACCCATATTTGATTAGCGTAGAGACCACCTGGATGATTTCTGGAACAATCACTCTCCATGACACTGAGAAGGTGCCTTGACCCCATCCTAGTCCCATCAGGCACCAGCACAGCTCACTGGTTACTCTGAGAAAGTGACTGCTGATGTCCCACGTGAGTGTCCAGCAGGTCCCCCTGAGATCATCTGGGCGCTCCTGAGACAGTGTCTCCAGCACCTGCCTGGAATCCTGATCCACCATGATCCTCAATAGAAACACTCCTGGTTTACAGATTTGCCCTGTGATGTACAATTAGAGCTGAATTTCTCATCTCATGGACAACAGGAATCAGAAGACGTAAGAGAAGTTTGGGGTTCCTGATGAACTCACTGCTCCCAAAATAATCGCCAAGGAATTTGTGTTTTGGATAAGTTTGGGTTTTATTTCCTACTCCATTTAATAGAATTTCATGAACTGTTTACTTACTTTCAGTTCATATCCATAGATCCTCATCTTTCCATATTGATTTCTGACTCACTAGGTCTGTGCACCTGCCACACTCTCAGATCCACCACTGCCCTGTCACTCACACAATGTAGGCAACATTACTTAACACTGAAATCTGAATTTTTTATTCATAGGAACATAGTGACTCCCACAATTCTGTATCCTTTCAATTAGTGAAACCATTCCTATCCTTTATATCCTCACTATTAAGATACTTGCAGTCCTCGGAACCCCACAATTCTGTATCCTTTCAATTAGTAAAACCATTCCTATCCTTTATATCCTCACTATTAAGATACTTGCAGTCCTCGGAACCGACTTTAAAACACAGTTCTGGTTGCCTTCAGTTATAGGAAAGGCTCTGACGGAACAGGATACTTAAAGACACATCAGCAACTTCTTGAACACTTAGGATTTTTTTTGTTGCCAAAGGAAGACACAGGCGCTGAGAGGGAACCTCGTCCCCAGCCTCCTGTGCACCCCTCCGGGGATGGAACCTGTGCTGGGCGGCTCCTGCGCGCCCCCTCCAGCCCAGCCCTTGCCTTGCAAGGAAGTTCCTGTGGGGCTCATAAAGCATTTTCCACCAGCTTCCCTCGCCTAACATGAAATGGCTTTGTCCTGGTTTAGAATACTCCTTCAGTGACAGCATACGCTGCTGACACCATCTCTTCAAACAATTGATTAGCCTTACTAAATCTAATGAACTCAAAGCAAGGATGCTATGACACAGGAGGGAGCCCCTTCTCTGAAGCTCCAGTTGCACTGAATCAGTGGATAATGAATCCAAAATCTTACAGGAGATTTGGGTGTGCCTTGGTTCTTGCAGTTGAATGTTGCATCTGAGATTTCCAGCAGGTGCAGATGCTTTCAGATGAGAGCACACTTCATATCCACTATTCCAATAACACACGTTTTCCCTTCCTTCTTGTGCCTCATCTGTAGAAAGTGCCTCCCACATTGACACTAGGCCCAGGTGTCTGACATTTTTCTCCTAGAGATCTAAAGCAAACAGGATACAAGCGGAGACTTCGGAAGTGCATGCAGGTTGTTATTTTGTTTGTCTCAGTTAAGAATCTTGGAAAGTCTTCATGATAAAAGAAGCTGAGGTGAATGAGGGAGTTTCCAAGATCTTGTTTTTAAAAATGTTCACGTCAGAGGCTTCATATTGCTCTACTGTCCTTGTCTAACTCCCTGCCATTGCTTTTTTAGTGTCCCTATGTTCTCCTCAGAGACTGTGCATTGGCACACTCTCATATTTAATCCAGAGCCATCATCCTGGTTAGAAAGGATTGTGCAGTGCGGGTCAGCACTGCTTGTTCTGACCATGGAAACCTAGAGACTCAATCAGATTCCTTTTCTGGGCTGTGACCTTGACCAGGCATCTCCAGGGGAAAAGCTGAATTTTCATCTTTACTCCTTTTTGTGGCTTCAGTTTCCCTGGACTATTTGCTTACATCTTACCCTATTGGCTAAACTTACTCATTTGTATAATAATGGAGGAAGTGGGGAGGGATCTGGAATGGGCAGATTTTTCTTCCCTTCACATAGTATGAGGTTCTGGAAAAGTTCTTCCCTGTAGGATCTTTTGGAGAAGGCTCCTGATATATTTTTCAGTAATTAAACTTCCCCAGTTATGACCCATAGGAAACATATTTGGATTGTATTTTTTAGATTCTGGAGATTTCTAGAGGGAAATTCCAGAAGACTGAGGAGAGTGCGGCCCTCTGGAACTGTCATTTCACCCTAGTCCACATCTGTCTTGCAGACGTCTATAGTGCTAACCACGTAAGTGCCTTCAACAGCTTGTGGCTTCTGAAACTTCTCTTCCAGTTAAGCAACCATCAACTGCTATTCTGGACATGCCCATCTCTCTAGTTTTTGGGGTGGTAATTTAAAAAATGGAATTTCATTCATTTGATGGATTCTAAAATGTATTGAAGATCAGATTGTGCAGATGACTCTTGGCATAAGAATGAGGGTGATGACTTTTGTAATCTTTACACTTTGGAGCAAAGACCAAAAGTACAACCATAGGTCCTTTTCATGTGTTACTGGAGGCAGGATTCTAACCTGATTACATAGATGTGGCACCTGGTCTGACATAAATGAACAGGCAAGAAAACAAGAAAGGACATGGCACAACGCTTATGAAAAAGTCTCTGCAATTTTAATTTTCTCATGAGGAAGCGGAAATTGTGAAAGTGTAACAGTGTGACTGGTCATTTCTCAGGTGATGTGTTCTGGAAAGTTTCTCCAATCCTGGGCTGGATCCAGTAGGTGTACTCAGGCACCCAAGCCTGAAACAGGGACTCTTATTCCTTAAACAGAAGACATTCCAATGAGAAAGCTGTTCTCAGGTGAGTTGCAGAGCATGGAGGAGGAGATAGAGGCGTCCTTGGCTTCCCAGAATTGCTGAAACTTGAAGACCAAGGCCAGGATAGATAAGACCTTTCCCAGAGAAGCAAAAACTAAAGGAGTTATTCAACGCTGGGCCTGCCTTAAATACCAATCAGTGCAAATTTAGAAAGTTGAAGACATAGAGTAATGTTGGTGTGGTTTTCTGTGGCATACTTAGGAGACAGCAGAAGATGGTCAGTGGTCAGTCTCCATCCAACTGGTACTCATTGTTCATCAGTTATGTCCTAATAAATGATAAAAGGCAACTTTTGTGACAAAGCCCCCAGGGCTTCTTTAAAAGACCTTGCCCAGAAATTGGCCAACAGGGACATGACAAATTTTTATATCAGAACTACTATTTTTTGCCTACTTTATGTGGAAATCTGAGAGATGTGCCCAGCCCCAGCGGGCTGATTCTGCATCCAGGGGACAGCGCTAACAGAGTTATGTGGTATTAGTCTGTCTGGATCTTCATAAGAAGACAACAGGAGTGGGTGGCTTAAACAACAAATATTGATTTTCTTAAAATTCTGCAGTCTGAATGTTGAAGATCAATGTTCTGGCAGGGTTGGTTCTTGGTGAGGCTTCTTCCTGGCTTGCACTGGGCCACCTTCTAGTGCATTACGTCTCCACATGGCCTCTTCTCTGCCTGCACGTGAAAAGTGAGAGGTCTCTGGTGTCTCTTCCTCTTCTTATAAAGACGACACGTCTGTTGAATTAGAGTCTTACACTTATGACCACATTTAACCTTAATTATTTCATTAAAATTCCAATATACATCAATTGAATTTAAGGTTTCTGCATATGAATTTCAAAGAGGGCACAATTCAGTTGATGACACAAATCAAGAGATGCTGAGAAGCGTTAGAATATATATTTTTTAATCAGTAAGCTATAATGGGCCATGCAGGAACTTCTAGGAAAGTTCCTAGTAATTGGTGAAACTTCAACTACAGACGAAAATTTGTCTTCCTCATTTCTTTCTTGGCACAAGAATGTGAGGAAGCAGAACCACAGATAATAAAGAAAGAGGACCCCTGGGGACAGCTGAGGTGCTGGCGAGGAGGGAGACCACTGAGCAGATGAGGAAGCCCCGCCCTCCCTGCACCTGCTCCTGACCGGGCCTCCTGCTCTGTGGGCCCCGCGCGCCCCCTGCTGGCGCTGAGCAGCACCTGCGCCGGTCCCCTCCGCCTCCCTGCACGGAGGTTTTTGTCTGGGCTCACACTCACCTCCCCTCACTGTGTCTCTCGCACAGTAATACACGGCCGTGTCCGCAGCGGTCACAGAGCTCAGCTTCAGGGAGAACTGGTTCTTGGACGTGTCTACTGATATGGTGACTCGACTCTTGAGGGAGGGGTTGTAGTTGGTGCTCCCACTGTAATAGATATACCCAATCCACTCCAGTCCCTTCCCTGGGGGCTGCCGGATCCAGCTCCAGTAGTAACTACTGATGGAGCCACCAGAGACAGTGCAGGTGAGGGACAGGGTCTCCGAAGGCTTCACCAGTCCTGGGCCCGACTCCTGCAGCTGCACCTGGGACAGGACCCCTGTGAACAGAGAGACCCACAGTGAGCCCTGGGATCAGAGGCACCTCCCATATCCCCATGTCTGGATCCCTGAGATACTCACATCTGGGAGCTGCCACCAGGAGAAGGAAGAACCACAGATGTTTCATGTTCTTGCACAGGAGGTCCAGGACTCTCAGAAAGTATTTCCCATGTGAGCTGGAACCTGAATTTAAGGAAATGTGTGGTGGTTTCCTGTGGGTGCTTAAGTGAGGATTTGCATGTGGGTGGTGCCTTTGTATGGAGAGGTGAAAAAGGAGGAGGGAGGCCCCAGTCTTTTGGGCTCGCCCTGGGAGTAGGATGCTGGCTGTGCCCTTTGAGAACTCAGTTGTCTTCTTGGGGTCTCCCCTCTCCAAGCCCAGAGTCCTCTTCTTTCAGGTAAAGAGACGTGCTGAAGGACCTGGTCTGGGAGATGAGTGTGATCATGGATCAAGGACAGATTTTGGAATATGGTCAATATTGTTCTACCCTTGAAGATTCATATAAATTGTCATCTAAATTGTCATTTACTACTTCAGACACATTGAAACAGCAGCTGAATGTAATAATGACAGTGACTTCAAACAATCCTGGATCCATCCAATGTTTATTGTAGTTCAGAACATCCACCATGGTTATAGGGAAGCTCCCTGTCCCTGGAAGTGGGTCATTTTTTAAAAGCACCTGAGAGCTGTCCTTCTGTGTCCTTTTGAAATCTGGGATTCTGTCTGAGATCTCAGGAGAAGGTAGTGGGACATATCTACATCCTTCTCAATGTGTGACCTTGAAGATGTGTCCTGGCCTCTAAACACTTCTGATTGAAAATATGTAGATTGGGGATTGCAGTGAGAACTTCAGACAAAAACTCTATAACAGGTCAGCACTGGAGGATAGTCTCATGAAGATCATGAAGATTAGTGCGATTACCTTTCCTGGGAACCAGAGAGGAACTCTGTGACCCCTTCCCTCTGAGAGCACAAGGAACTCTGATCCTTCCCTGACAGGACACACTTGTGAAACATGGCTGGACAATGACACTCAAGTCCAGAGTCCTTACCCACATATTTATCATTTCAGATCCATCTGTCTCTGAAAGACTTTCTCCTCCATTGAATTGCATGAACATACCCTAGGATGTGTGGTATTGCAACTTGGACATTTGACATTAGTTTGGTGAATTATATAATAAATAATCTATCTCCATGGATGTGGGTAACAGGAGAGTCATCAGAAGTTTGAAGTGTTTTAAAATCAGAACAAACCTGGGCTTTCTTGTTAGGACGTGAACAACTGGGCTGACCTGTGGGACAACAGAGGGAAAGAGACAGACCCCACACCAGAGCCAGGTGAACTCCTTACCTACCGGATGGTCTCTGGGCATTTTGTTTGAACAGATCGAGAAGGAGCTTCCTCACACTCAGGAGAATTATGAACATTGAGGGAAATTGATATAAGTTTTTATTTACAGAGAATAATTCATAGGCTTGTGGACATCTATGTGGGTGTGTGCAGGGTTGCTAAGATATGCTTATACACAGAACAGAAAGAATTATATTTCATGGAAAGAAAAGCAAAGAGCTTCTGAATTTGTAGGTATTGTTTGCCACAAATGTGTGAGATCACTAGATCATGTTATGATGGTGGAGATAAAACTTCCCAACATTGTCATGGAGACAAATTGCAAAAGAGTAAAGATTCAAGTGAGATTCCTTTGAAAAATACCAGTAATGAACAGGCCAAAAAAATGAACCATTATGGAAAGAGTGCTAAGAATTGGGGTTTGAGAACCTCTGCCTAGATTTCAGAAGGTGTATGAAAACACCTGGATGTCCAGTCACAAGTTGGCTGCAGTGGTGGCTCATTCATGGGGAACCTCTGCTAGGGCAATGAGGAAAGGAAATATAGGGCCAGAGCTCCCACACAGAGTCCCTACTGGGGCACTGCCTAGTGGAGCTGTGAGAAGAGGGCTGCTATCCTCCAGACCCTGGAATGGTAGATCCACTGACAGTTTGCACTTTGTGCCTGGAAAATCCACAGACACTGAACACCAGCCTGTGAAAGCAGCCAGGAGGGAGGCTGTACCCTGCAAAGCCACAGGGGTGGAGCTGCCCAAGACCATGGGAACTCACCTGTTGCATCAACATGTCCCGGATGTGAGAAGGGGAGTTACAGGTGATCATTGTGGAGCTTTATGATTTGACTGCCCTGCTGGATTTTGGACTTGCATGGGGTCTTTTTGTTATGGGCAATTTCTGTCATTTCCAATGGGTGTGTTTACCCAATGCCTGTAACTTGCTTTTGAATTTACAGGCTTATAAGTGGAAAGGACTTGCCTTGTCTCAGGTGAAATGTTGTACTGTGGACTTCTGTGTTAATGATGAAATGAGTTTAGCCTTTGGGGAGCTGTTGGGAAGGCATGATTGGTTTTGAAATGTGAGGACGTGAGATTTGGGAGGGAACCTGGGGTGGAATGATATGGGTCGGATGTGTCCTCACTCAAATCTCACTTTGATGTGTAACTCCCATAATTCTCAATGTTGTGGGAGGGACCAGTGGGAGGTGACTGAGTTATGGGGGTTGCGTCTCTCCTGCACTGTTCTCTTAATAGTGAATGAGTCTCATGAGATCTGATGGTTTTAAAAAGGGGAGACCCAGCACAAGCTCTCTTCTCTTGTCTGCCGCCATGTCAGATGTGCCTTTCACCTTCCACCATGATTGTGAGACCTTTCCAGCCACGTGGAACTGTAAGTCCAATAAAACTCTTTCTATTGTAAGTTTCCTCGTCTCTGGTATGTCTTCATCAGCAGCGTGAAAACAGACAAACACAGTCAGACGTGCTCTACTCAAGGTCTCTGCACATGGAGGAAAAACAGGGAAATTGGAAAATGCATTTTCTTGGTCTGTTGAAAAATACCTATAGAAAACACAACCTTGTGCCAGGACATTATGCAGAATTCAGAAATATTGGATTTGGAATAAATGTGAAAATTACAATCATTTATAGATGCACATTTGTTCATTTATCTTCAAATGAAATAAAGTAAAAGCAGGTTTTCTGTGTAAAAACCCACAAAGAGTGTGTTGACCTTGAGAATACACCCCTCTCTCAGCTTCTAAAGGTGAGAAAATGCACCTGGATCAGGTGTCAAGCTGCTGCTTTGTGACGTCTGTGGTATGGCTTGTGCTGAAGCCCAGGTGCTGTGGTCAATTCTAATGAAAGGAAGGACTCTTCAATGGTTTTGAGGCAGAGCCTTTGCTGGAGTCATCGGGGTCCCCTGTGGGGTATTTTCCTCAGGACAGTGATCAATGTGATCAAGGCAGGTCATTTCTGCCCCCAAAGTGACACTCAGGCTTCTGCAGGGTGAGGATGTGTCCTCCTGTTACAAAAAAAAAAAAGATACAAAGTTGAGGGGACATTGTGCAGTCAGAGACGACATCAAATGTTATTACAGAATTGGAAATCTAGAGATGGTCCCTGGGGTAATTTGCTAACAATGCAACCCTAGATCATGACAGGAAACCCAGGCTTATATCACCTGGACTTGCCCCTGGGGACAGCCCAGTATACAGTGTCCCAGGCTTTCCCTGATTGTCCCAGGTACCCTGCAGGAGGTTTGTGTCTGGGCTCACACTGACTTCTCACTGCGTCTTTCACACAGTAGTACACAACTGTGCCCTCGGCTCTCAGGCTGTTCATTTGCAGAGACAGTGAATTCTGGGCATTGTCTCTAGAGATGGTGAATCAGCCCTTCACAGAGTCTGTGTAGAGTACGGTATCACCACTTGTACTAATAACTGAGACCCACTCCAAACCCTTTCCTGGAGCCTGGTGGACCCAGTGCATAGCAGAGCTACTGAAGGTGAATCCAGAGGCTGCACAGGAGAGTCTCAGAGACCCCTCCAGTCTTTACTAAGCCTCCCCCAGACTCCACCAGCTGCACCTCACACTGGACACCTGCAAACACGGAGACACCCTGGTCAGAAACTGCCACACAAATCCACTGTTTCTCTCACTTATGTCCAGTCACACTCAGTGTGTCTCATTCTCCATAAATCACCTTTTAAAACTGCAACAAGGAAAATCCAGCTCAGCCCAGACTCCATGGTGTGTCTTCTGTGTTCAGTGTTCATGACCAAGTGGAGACAGCTGGGAATCCCGGGGCGGGGGCTCCTCTCCCAGAGCTGCAGGGTCAGGATTTGGCTGATTTTCAGCAGCAGAGGGAGGGCCCTATTTGCTTGTCTCCTACTACATAGAGAGCTCTGGGGTGGGAATCCTGAGGAGACGGCAGACCCCAGATAAAATGACACGGCCCCACAGGAGTTGGGTGACAATTACGGTATTTGGAAAATACACTGTCTTATTAGGAAATTTTGTTGTGATAAGTATTTGCACTATTTTATCTTTTGTATATTTCTGTAAATTATGTTCTGTAGGAGTCAATGGTTTCTCCATTTACATATGTGGAAGTCAACCTACACATGGAGGAGGGGCTAAGTGTGTGTCCACGAGGTCATGTCTGAGATGAGTGAGCCCCGGTATCTGGGCCTGTGATTCCTCATCACTGTTACTCCCTGAACCAAATCTTGGTAAGAATTGGACATACCTCGTGTGCTTTGTGGAACCCACTTCCTGTACTGAGAATGTGTGTGATTTTGGTGCACGCTACCATTCACCTAAAAATAAGGACGGAACTAGGGTCAGGAGTTAAATTCTCAGACATTTCTGACATTTAATATATATTTTCTATCTTTATACCATCCTTTCTTTGTCTAATTTTTCATTTGTCTGCTTGCAATAAATTTTGCGAGTGTTAATTGGCAGATAATAGACTTCACATATTTAAAGTGTGCAATTGATCAACATGATGTAACCCATCATTTCCAAGCTGGACAAGTGAACTCCCCTCAACATTTTCTCTTGTTCTTCTGTAAGTTTCCTCCTTTCCCCTTCCTTTGGTCTACCCTTTTTCCAGGTAACTACTGATCTTCTGGATATTGCTTTAGATTCTTTTTCACTTAAAAGAAATTGCATAAATGGAGTAATATGGTACATATTCTTATTTGTCTGGCGTATTTTACTCAGCATAAACACTTAGATATTTTTCTTTGTTGCTCTGTGTACCAGAAATATATTTATTATAAGTGATGAGTAGTGTTCCAGTGAACACATTTACCATAATTTGGTTTTTTTGGGGCAGCTGAAAAATGTTTGGATTCTTTTATTATTCCAGGTTTTACTTAAAAATATGCTGCTCAGCTTAAAAATGTACATGAATGAGAAATATATATTTATTTTTAAAACAATAACATCAGCAATAACAGATAAACAGAAAAGATGGAAGTTCGCAAATTTTATTAAATGCTTCAGATAACTGAAGGTTTAAAACAAAAAAAATTGAAATCTAGGGAGAGGCAAGTTCTAGTACAGAGTAATAAAGTCAAGATATGAAATTACCTGAGGCACAGTCTGTCGTATTCAACGTAGGCCATTACAAGATGGAGCACAAATACACATTGCATTGCTTGAAGTCGAGTGTGTTAAGCGTGTTGTAGTGAGAAATTCTAAGGGACAACATACTGAAGAGTTGTGCTATTCTCTTGAAGAACCTTTACAGTCACAAGAATCTATCCTTCCCAAAGTGACTGTCTGGGAGAGAATGAGAGCCCACACTTCTGAAATGCATCCAGACCCAACTCTCTGATTCCCACTATGAAACTCAGATATTACCCTGCAGGAGCAAGCCATGAAAATCAGCATCCTAGGGCACTGGAGCAGCCCCTCATGAACTGATATGGGAACAGAGGTCCCCATCAAAGATCTATTGAGAAGCAGCTCCCCTCAGTTTCTTATGGAATCAGAGCCTTAATCTGCAGGTCATGGCAGCAGATCTGGAAGATGGGGACACCAACAGAGATTGTGAGAGCTGTGGGAGGGAACAACTGGGGAAAACAGGAGGACTCTACCCCAGGGGAAGAGGCAAGAACACACAGACCAGTATCTCACTTGCAGGAGGGTCGGGAAAACTTGGAAGGTCACACTCAGACTCAGGATCACAACGGCTTTCTAGAATTATGGCCCAACGAGAGGTCAGTTTCTTCCTTTAGTCTAATGCCTTCCGCCAATTTCACAATTGGCAGTTAAATATAACACTTTAATCCACCCTAGGAATGTGAAGGAGATTCTCTGTAGAATGGAATGAGGTGAATAGACAAAGCCAAGCAGGCATGAAAACAAGGTATCACTAGAGTATCTGAAGTCTCCAGTGGACATAGAAGAACACACTTCAACTGCTACAGCCGTTGCAAAAGTAAATGTCAAATGTAGCTCTGAAGAGATGCACAGACATCTCCACAATCAAGGCCCAGCACAGATAGGGTGTGGTCAAATACAGGCAGAAATGCACAAAATAAAATAATACGTCAATATCAAGGGTCCAAATATGGCTGGTTATCAACAAAAATTATAACATTCATCAAAGTCATATAAGTTATAAAAAACACCAAAGTCATAATGGAAAAATCCTCAGAATTGATATTTGTAAATGACACAATACTAGAACTATCTTATTAAGTAGGATATTTAAAGTAATTGAATTTGTTAAAAGTATCTGAAAGAAAATGTGGACACAGTGCAAGACTAGATAGGTGACTGACAGAGAGAAATACTAAGAAAGAATCAAATGGAAATTCATAAAATTATCAAAAGTGATGCAGTATAAAGTTGAATATACCTTGGGCACGCTCAGCAGTAGAATTCGCTCAGCTCTTAAATGAAACCAGGGACTTCAACTCCGTTACTGGAAATTACACAAAGTGAATTTCAAAGGGAAAAAGAGTGAAGAAATTTAAGAACTAACATCAAAAAGTATAGTGTAGATATATTTCAAATTTCAAAAATAGAAATTAGAAACAGAGAAAATATCTTAAGAATTAATGATATCTTAAGATATACTTATATCTTAAGATATATTTCTTAAGAAAAATATCTTAAGAATGTGAAACACCTAACTACAGATCCAAAAATTAGAGGACCCCAAGCCGGGTAAACACACACAGACACACCTGCACGATACATAGGAACATACTCTGTGAGCCAAGAGTTCAAATTTACAGTGAGCTGTTATCACACCACTCCACTTTCAACGTGCAACAGAGAGAGACTCTGTCTCTAAAAACAAACAAAAAAGAATGAATAAGATTTTCGGCCCGGAGCAGTGGCTCACACCTGTAATCCCAGCACTTCGGGAGGCCAAGGTGGGCGGGTCACCGGAGGTTGAGAGTTTGAGACCAGCCTGACCAATGTGGAGAAACCCCATCTCTACTAAAAATACAAAATTAGCTGGGCCTGGTGGTGCATGCCTGTAATATCAGCTACTGGGAGGCTGAGGCAGGAGAATCGCTTGAATCTGGGAGGTGGAAGAGGCGGTGAGTCAAGATCGTGCCATTTCGCTCCAGCCTGGGCAACAAGAGCGAAATTCCATCTCAACAGATAAATAAATAAATAATAAAATGAAATAAGATAAAAAAGGTTTTCACACAACTGCAAGGCTACTAAAATAGGAGATGTTAATCTGAGCATCCTCAAAGATTCTCTGGTGTTTCTGATGTCTTTAAACAGATAGCTGACCTAAGACCTTCAGACTAAGCTGATAATCCTTAATAGCAAAAGGTTTCCACCCAAGTCACTGGACCTGGACCCCTGTCTAATTCTGCACACCCTCCTCCTGCTTCTCATTATTATTTGCTTTGACTTATAAACACTCATCTCATTTTCTGTAGACCTGAGTGTTGCCCATCATATTGAACCCTTATCTCGTTTTTTATTCATTATTTTTATAGTTGCTACATAGAATAACTTGTCACACTGTATTTTGGTGTGTGACTGCTGATAGCTTAAGGCTCATTCCTCCATTACCTCCTTTTTTACACACAAGGTGAATATCGGTCCAGAATCACAGGAGCTTCCTTATTTGAAGCCAGTGGGAGTTTCCCACCCTATAAACCCCTTTCTGTGAGTGGAAAGACTCAATCTGCCCCCACCACCAAACCCTGAGGCCCTCTCTTTCCCTGTTCTATCAAGCCATTTTGCACTTTCCTGAGAGAACTGCCCTGCTCTCAGCAGACACGTCTAGAATAGAGATAATTATCCCTTCCATATCCACTTGGTCTGAGGGTGTGTCACCATCCAACATCACATCCACACTAAATCTTAGTTGAGATATCTTGGCCTTTGCATGACGTCAACTACAAGTGGTGCTGGGAGCTTGGTGTCACAGCTCCTGTTAACAGGACACATCTGATTCCTGAACCAACTCTGGGACAGAACTGGACATGTGATATGGTTTGGTTCTGTGTCCCCACCCAAATCTGATCTCGAATTGGAATTGCCACACGTCCAGGGAGGGACCTGGTGAGAGGGGATGGGCTCATGGGGTGGTTCCTCCATGCTGTTTTCATGATTGAGGTCTCAGATTGAGGTCTCAGGAGATCTGATAATTTAAAGTGTGTGGTGGTTCTCCCCACCTCTCCTGCTGCCATGTGAGATGTCTCTTGCTTCCCCTTCACACTCTGCCTTGATTGCAAGTTTCCTGAGGCCTTTCCAGCCATGTAGAACTATGAGTCAATAACCTATTTTCTTTATAAGTTACCCAAACTCAGGTAGTTCTTTGTAGCAGTGGGAAAACAAACTAATACAACGTGCCTGGAGTGGTTTAATAAACCCCCTTCACGTCATAAAATGATGTCATTATTTTGCTGTATTGTAGTGTTTTCATAAAAACATAGAGAAGTGCAGGCTCACTCATGTGAATATTCAGGTGTCTCTGACTTTTTATGTATTTTATCTCTGTCTGACTCCGTTTCTACCAAATTACACACGTTACAGTTAGTACTATCTTTAATGATGTTAAACTAAAAAAAAAGATCTTCACATGAAGTGTTCAATTGTACAAATATTATCATAGACATCATTATTATCAATATAGATAACAAGTCAATTATGCTTAAAATTTTCTCTTTTCTGTAATTCCTCCTGTCTACACTTTCCCTTCTATAATATTCACAGTGAACTACTGATTCTTTATGTAACTTTAGTTTTTATTCTATAGAATGTATAAAAGTGTGTCTACGGCCATACCACCCTGAACGCGCCCGATCTCGTCTGATCTCGGAAGCTAAGCAGGGTCGGGCCTGGTTAGTACTTGGATGGGAGAATGTATAAAAGTGGTATCATATGTGTGTACTTTTATTTGTTTGGCTCATTTTACTCACCATATGAGAATTTAACCATACTGTTGAGCGTATCCAACATTAGTATATTGTGGTCACAGTCAGTAGTATGCCAATGAATGACTTTTCCACAATTTGTTTACCAGTTAAGCTGATGATTGACATTTGGATTGTTGGCCATCTCAGTATGATAAGCAAAGCTGCCACTCAGCTTGGAGAAGTACACAGCTGAGAATCTCATGGTTCTTATACTTACAGCAGCATGAACAACAACAAAGATGGGAAAGCTGCACATTAATCAATTTTATTCAATACATCAGGTAATGAAAGTTATAGATTTCTTTGCGTGTGGAGTGGGGATTATGTCCATTTGTGTGAGAGAGAATAAGGGGAAAGGGAGACAAGGAAAGAGAGGAAACCTACAAAACTGACCACAATTTATGAGGTCCTCAAGTAATTACAGGGAATTAGTCCTTACGAACAAGGCCGATAGAAGTTGAAGAGGAAAACTTGACACACCTTCGTATGGTTATATATTTATAGAAGTATGATTTTCTAATCATACACTCATATGCAGTAGAACACATGTAGTGGAGGGTGTCTAGTGGTGAAATATGATGGTGACACAAAACCCCTCATCCAGCCCCTTTTCACCCCATCTGCACCTGCCCTGAGGCTGAGCCTAGAACCTGCTGTTTCTGAGTCCCCACAATGGTCCTGAGCCCCCTGCTGTACCGAGTCTCTTCTGGTGTCCTGATTTTCCTCGATGGTTCCTGAGAGCCCCCGGGTGACCTGAGTGCCTCTACAATGGTCTTGCGTGTGCCCTGGAATCCAGACCACCCCCTTCCATCATCGGCACTCCTGCTGTCCTGTGCACCCCTCCAGGAAGGTTTGGGTGTGAGCTCGCACCGTGGTCCCCTCACTCTGTCTCTTCTTTAAAACATGGCTGTGAGCTTGTTGCTCACATAGCTCCACTGTAAAAACAAGTGTTTTTTGGACCCGAATTTGGAGATGGTGACTGGATTCATAAGGAGTGGGTGGGAATTTTTGCTCCCTTCATGACGTGTGCGCCTGGTCCACTCCAGTCCTTCCCATGTGGACTCGTGGATCCAGCTCCAGCAGGAAACACTGGTTGTGATGGAAAATCCAGAGACAGCACAGGTGAGGGAGAGGGTCTGCGAGGGCTCCACCAGGCCAAGAGTGCACTAAGAAACACAGTTGTTTGTGAGCACAGATTCTGGACAGAATGTTAACATTTCCAAAGACACACATTTTAATGAGAATAAAGAGCTCACTGGTGTTCAATTTTTGATTCTGCTAGAGCAATGCAGTAGATTCCACGGTTAGAGTCCCACAAACATATGGTCTCCATTTCCCCGCAAACTTGGCTTATTTAAAAGACCTTGCCCAGAAATTGGCCAACAGGGACATGACAAGTTTTTATATCAGAACTACTATTTTTTACCTGTTTTATGTGGAAATCTGAGAGATGTGCCCAGCCTCAGGAGGCTAATTCTCCATCCAGGGGACAGCACTAACAGAGTTATGTGGTATTAGTCTGTCTGGATCTTCATAAGAAGACAACAGGAGTGGGTGGCTTAAACAACAAATATTGATTTTCTTAAAATTCTGCAGTCTGAATGTTGAAGATTAGTGTGCTGGCAGGGCTGGTTCTTGGCGCGGCTTCTTCCTGGCTTGCACTGGGCCACCTTCTAGTGCACTATGTCTCCACATGGCCTCTTCTCTGCCTGCACGTGAAAAGTGAGAGGTCTCTGGTGTCTCTTCCTCTTCTTATAAAGACAACACGTCTATTGCATTAGGGTCTTACAATTATGACCACATTTAACCTTAATTATTTCATTAAAATTCCAATATAGATCCATTGAATTTAAGGTTTCATCATATGAATTTCAAAGAGGGTACAATTCAGTTGATGATACAAATCAAGAGATGGTGAGAAGCATTAGAATATATATTTTTTAATCGATAAGTTATAATGGGTCATGCAGGAACTTGTAGGCAAGTTCCTAGTAATTGGTGAAGCTTCAACTATAGACGAAAATTTGTCTTCCTCGTTTCTTTCCTGGCACAAGAATGTGAGGAAGCAGAACCACAGATAATAAAGAAAGAGGAGCCCTGGTGACAGCGAGGTGCTGGCGAGGACGGAGACCACTGAGCAGATGAGGAAGCCCCGCCCTCCCTGCACCTGCTCCTGACCCGGCCTCATGCTCTGGGGGCCCCGCGCGCCACCTGCTGGTCCTGAGCAGCACCTGCGCCGGTCCCCTCCGCGTCCATGCAGGGAGGTTTGTGTCTGGGCTCACACTCACCTCCCCTCACTGTGTCTCTCGCACAGTAATACACGGCCGTGTCCGCAGCGGTCACAGAGCTCAGCTTCAGGGAGAACTGGTTCTTGGACGTGTCTACTGATATGGTGACTCGACTCTTGAGGGAGGGGTTGTAGTTGGTGCTCCCACTGTAATAGATATACCCAATCCACTCCAGTCCCTTCCCTGGGGGCTGCCGGATCCAGCTCCAGTAGTAACTACCACTGCTGACGGAGCCACCAGAGACAGTGCAGGTGAGGGACAGGGTCTCCGAAGGCTTCACCAGTCCTGGGCCCGACTCCTGCAGCTGCACCTGGGACAGGACCCCTGTGAACAGAGAGACCCACAGTGAGCCCTGGGATCAGAGGCACCTCCCATACCCCCATGTCTGGATCCCTGAGACACTCACATCTGGGAGCTGCCACCAGGAGGAGGAAGAACCACAGGTGTTTCATGTTCTTGCACAGGAGGTCCAGGACTCTCAGAAAGTATTTCCCATGTGAGCTGGAACCTGAATTTAAGGAAATGTGTGGTGGTTTCCTGTGGGTGCTTAAGTAAGGATTTGCATGTGGGTGGTGCCTTTGTACGGAGAGGTGAAAAAGGAGGAGGGAGGCCCCAGTCTTTTGGGCTCGCCCTGGGAGTAGGATGCTGGCTGTGCCCTTTGAGAACTCAGTTGTCTTCTTGGGGTCTCCCCTCTCCAAGCCCAGAGTCCTCTTCTTTCAGGTAAAGAGACGTGCTGAAGGACCTGGTCTGGGAGATGAGTGTGATCATGGATCAAGGACAGATTTTGGAATATGGTCAATATTGTTCTACCCTTGAAGATTCATATAAATTGTCATCTAAATTGTCATTTACTACTTCAGACACATTGAAACAGCAGCTGAATGTAATAATGACAGTGACTTCAAACAATCCTGGATCCATCCAATGTTTATTGTAGTTCAGAACATCCACCATGGTTATAGGGAAGCTCCCTGTCCCTGGAAGTGGGTCATTTTTTAAAAGCACCTGAGAGCTGTCCTTCTGTGTCCTTTTGAAATCTGGGATTCTGTCTGAGATCTCAGGAGAAGGTAGTGGGACATATCTACATCCTTCTCAATGTGTGACCGTGAAGATATGTCCTGGCCTCTAAACACTTCTGATTGAAAATATGTAGATTGGGGATTGCAGTGAGAACTTCAGACAAAAACTCTATAACAGGTCAGCACTGGAGGATAGTCTCATGAAGATCATGAAGATTAGTGCGATTATCTTTCCTGGGAACCAGAGAGGAACTCTGTGACCCCTTCCCTCTGAGAACACAAGGAACTCTTGTCCTTCCCTGACAGGACACACTTGTGAAACATGGCTGGACAATGATACTCAAGCCCAGAGTCCTTACCCACATATTTATCATTTCAGATCCATCTGTCTCTGAAAGACTTTCTCCTCCATTGAATTGCATGAACATACCCTAGGATGTGTGGTATTGCAACTTGGGCATTTGACATTAGTTTGGTGAATTATATAATAAATAATCTATCTCCATGGATGTGGGTAACAGGAGAGTCATCAGAAGTTTGATGTGTTTTAAAATCAGGACAAACCTGGGCTTTCTTCTTAGGACCTGAACAACTGGGCTGACCTGTGTGACAACAGAGGGAAAGAGACAGACCCCACACCAGAGCCAGGTGAACTCCTTACCTACCAGATGGTTTCTGGGCATTTTGTTTGAACAGATCGAGAAGGAGCTTCCTCACCCTCAGGAGAATTATGAACATTGAGGGAAATTGATATAAATTTTTATTTACAGAGAATAATTCATAGGCTTGTGGACATCTATGTGGGTGTGCACAGAGTTGCTAAGATATGCTTATACACAGAACAGAAAGAATTATATTTCATGGAAAGAAAAGCAAAGAGCTTCTGAATTTGTAGGTATTGTTTGCCACAAATGTGTGAGATCACTAGATCATGTTATGATGGTGGAGGTAAAACTTCCCAACATTGTCATGGAGACAAAATGCAAAAGAGTAAAGATTCAAGTGAGATTCCTTTGAAAAATACCAGTAATGAACAGGCCAAAAAAATGAACCATTATCGACAGAGTGCTAAGAATTGGTGTTTGAGAACCTCTGCCTAGATTTCAGAAGATGTATGAAAACACCTGGATGTCCAGTCATAAGTTGGCTGCAGTGGTGGATCATTCATGGAGAACCTCTGCTAGGGCAAGGAGGAAAGGAAATATAGGGCCAGAGCTCCCACACAGAGTCCTTACTGGGGCACTGCCTAGTGGAGCTGTGAGAAGAGGGCTGCTATCCTCCAGACCCTGGAATGGTAGATCCACTGACAGTTTGCACTTTGTGCCTGGAAAATCCACAGACACTGAACACCAGCCTGTGAAAGCAGCCAGGAGGGAGGCTGTACCCTGCAAAGCCACAGGGGTGGAGCTGCCCAAGACCATCGGAACTCACCTATTGCATCAACATGTCCCGGATGTGAGAAGGGGAGTTACAGGTGATCATTGTGGAGCTCTATGATTTGACTGCCCTGCTGGATTTTGGACTTGCATGGGGCCTTTTTGTTATGGGCAATTTCTGTCATTTGTAATGGGTGTGTTTACCCAATGCTTGTAACTTGCTTCTGAATTTACAGGCTCATAAGGGGAAGGGACTTGCCTTGCCTCAGATGAAATGTTGTACTGTGGACTTCTGAGTTAATGATGAAATGAGTTTAGCCTTTGGGGAGCTGTTGGGAAGGCATGATTGGTTTTGAAATGTGAGGACATGAGATTTGGGAGGGAACCTGGGGTGGAATGATATGGGTCGGATGTGTCCTCACTCAAATCTCATTTTGATGTGTAGCTCCCATAATTCTCAATGTTGTGGGAGGGACCAGTGGGAGGTGACTGAGTTATGGGGGTTGTGTCTCTCCTGCACTGTTCTCTTAATAGTGAATGAGTCTCATGAGATCTGATGGTTTTAAAAAGGGGAGACCCAGCACAAGCTCTCTTCTCTTGTCTGCCGCCATGTCAGATGTGCCTTTCACCTTCCACCATGATTGTGAGGCCTTTCCAGCCACGTGGAACTGTAAGTCCAATAAAACTCTTTCTGTTGTAAGTTTCCCAGTCTCTGGTATGTCTTTATCAGCCACGTGAAAACAGACAAACACAGTCAGACGTGATCTACTCAAGGTCTCTTTATCAGCAGCGTGAAAACAAACACAGTCAGACGTGCTCTACTCAAGGCCTCTGCACATGGAGAAAAACCACGGAAAGTGGAAAATGCATTTTCTTGGTTTGATGAAAAATACCTGTAGAAAACACAACCCTGTGCCAGGACATCATGCAGAATTCAGAAATATTGGAATTGGAATAAATGTGAAAATTACAATCATTTGCAGCTGCACATTTGTTCATTTATCTTCAAATGAAATAAAGTAAAAGTAGGTGTTCTCTGTAAAAATCCACAAAGAGTGTGTTGACCTTGAGAATACACCCCTCTCTCAGCCTCTAAAGGTGAGAAAATGCACCTGGATCAGGTGTCAATCTGCTGCTTTGTGACGTCTGTGGTATGGCTTGTGCTGAAGCCCAGGTGCTGTGGTCAACTCTAATGGAAGGAAGGACTCTTCAATGGTTTTGAGGCAGAGACATTACTGGAGTCATCAGGGTCCCCTGTGGGGTATGTTCCTCGGGACAGTGATCAGTGAGATCAAGGCAGATCATTTCTGCCCCCAATGTGACACTCAGGCTTCTGCAGGGTGAGGATGTGTCCTCCTGTTACAAAAAAAAAAAAAAAGATACAAAGTTGAGGGGACATTTTGCAGCCAGAGACGACATCAAATGTTATTACAGAATTGGAAATCTAGAGAAGTTCTCTGGGGTAAGTTGCTAAAAAGGCAACCCTAGACCATGACAGGAAACCTAGGCTTATACCACCTGGACTTGCCCCTGGGGACAGCCCAGTATACAGTGTCCCAGGCTTTCCCTGGTTGTCCCAGGTACCCTGCAGGGAGGTTTGTGTCTGGGCTCACACTGACTTCTCACTGCGTCTTTCACACAGTAATACACAGCCATGTCGTCGGCTCTCAGGCTGTTCATTTGCAGATACAGTGAATTCTGGGCATTGTCTCTGGAGATGGTGAATCGGCCCTTCACAGAGTCTGTGTAGAGTACGGTATCACCACTTGTACTAATAACTGAGACCCACTACAAACCCTTTCTTGGAGCCTGGCGGACCCAGTGCATAGCAGAGCTACTGAAGGTGAATCCAGAGGCTGCACAGGAGAGTCTCAGGGACCCCCCAGGCTGGACCAAGCCTTCCCCAGACTCCACCAGCTGCACCTCACACTGGACACCTGCAAACACAAAGACACCAAGGTCAGAAACTGCCACACACATCCACTGTTTCTCTCACTCATGTCCACTCCCACTCAACATCTCTATTTATCTATGAATCACCTCTTAAAATAGCAACAAGGAAAACCCAGCTCAGCCCAAACTCCATGGTGAGTCCTCTGTGTTCAGTGCTGATCACGGAATGGAAACACCGCCGACTTCCAGTGCTGGGCTCCTCTCCCAGAGCTGCAGGGTCAGCTGGGCTGGTTTTCATCAGCAGAGGGAGGGCCCTATTCGCATGTCCCCCACTATATAGCAAGCTCTGTGGTGGGACATCTGAGGAGAGGCTGGGCTCAGGGCAGATGAAGTGTCCTGGGACAGATTGGAATAATTGTATCATTCAGGAAAATATAATTTTATATTATGTGCTTGTGCCTTGATTAATATTTAGCTCTCATAATCTTATTTTATTCTTACATATTTATACAATATGTTTAATGCAGGTTTCAATGTTACATTTTACAGGAGATAATTTACACAGAGAACACAGCAGTTGTGCAGTGTGTCTAAAATTACACATCTAAAAAAATTAGTCCTATTACCTGGGCCTGTGCTCTAACCACTGGAGGAGGCAGCTCCCCTGAGACAACTCCAGGGCAGCGTGGACCATGCCTAGTGAAGTCTGCAGGATTCCCCATCTGTTATGACAACTTTCTGTAATTTACCAAAATACGTAGAGTGAACCATGGTTCATGTGCATGTTTTCATAAGTCAGTCATATTCCTTGTGTTAACATCGATCTGTTTATTGCTCCATTTTAGTCAAATGTTATTTTATTGGTTTCTTCGTTATTGCTTTATTCAAGTGTAATTAATAAGTAATTAATTCAAATTTATAGTGAAGGATTTGAAAAATGTTGACCTATGTTTGCAGCCATTTGCTCAGCACTTCAATCAAGTTTTGAATAATTAAATTAATCCCTAAATCTTTCTTTTATTTCTCTGAAATTCAACTCACATCCACATTACTCCCAACAGCGTATTGTCAGACAAACTCAAATCTTCTCCGTGTTAATTTACAATAATGGCATCTTCTAAAATTCCTACAAATGTATCATATAAAATTTACTCTTAACTCCTTAGTTTCTTTCACTAAACAGAATTACTTGAGAATTTAGCCATGTTGTTTATATGAGTGAGGCATGCCTTGATTTCAAGCTGCGTTATGTTCCAGTACATAAATATATGCCAAACTATTTAATTGTTCACCTGTAACTAAATGTGATTTGTTCTCTCAGTTAATGGATTTGATAGAGAAAAGCAGCTACTAAAGCATGGGAATATAAAACGGAGCAAAGTATGGGCCGGGCGCGGGGGCTCACGCCTGTAATCCCAGCACTTTGGGAGGCCGAGGCGGGCGGATCACAAGGTCAGGAGATCGAGACCATCCTGGCTAACACGGTGAAACCCCGTCTCTACTAAAACTACAAAAAATTAGCCGGCCATGGTGGCGGGCGCCTGTAGTCCCAGCTACTCTGGAGGCTGAGGCAGGAGAATGGCGTGAACCCGGGAGGCGGAGCTTGCAGTGAGCTGAGATAGGGCCACTGCACTCCAGCCTGGGTGACAGAGCGAGACTCCGTCTCAAAAAATAAATAAATAAATAAATAAAAAGAGTAAAGTATTATCTTATTCTGACCTCATTAACAACAAACCTGAACAACCACACACAAAAAAACCTTCAACATATTTGAGTTTATATCAGAGAGAAAACAAACAATAAACAAAACCTGAAATCTGAGGAGAGAGGAGGCTGCAGAGAAGCAGGACCCATATATTAGTGTACCTGGGGCAGATACAACTGGATGGCATTTAAGATAGGAACAGGCTGGCTTGGAAATATTCAGCGAGTTGCGTGAGGATGCACGTGCTCATAGTGTTAGACTGTGAAACTCCTGGTGCTTGCAGGCTTTTCCTACAGAATTATTATTAATATTCTTGCTGCACTTTATGCAAATAATCAGGCCAAGTTTAAGACTAAAGTTTATTTTGCAAACAACTCAGTCTTACAATTACTTGATTCTGACAAAAACCAGAACTGGAAAGAGAAAAATTGTATTTCAAAACATATCATACGATCATCTTTAAATTCTAATCTCTTCAGTTGTTTAAGTATTTGCCTGCATTTTAGACTGACTGCTTATTCCTGAGCGCCAATCAATGATCTCTGGCTACAGCCCAGAAGAAACAAAAAGCGATGGGGAATATAAAAAAATCTGTATCAATATTTTAATTCTAAGCAATTATCCTTTAAATCATGCCAGGTGATGGGAATGAATAGGGTGCCCCTAACCTGGAGGTTTCTTTGTTTGGGAAAATAAATCCCAGGGAGCTGACAAAAGCCAAGCCTCATGCGCCCAAACCTTAGCAGGCATAACTACAGCCGCAGTTATCTGGGCATGTCAGCAGCCTTGGAATTTTCTTTCAAACTGTCCTTACCACCTTGACCACCTTGTTAGGTTTGGATACATGTCTTCTAATAATCTGATTTGCCTTTTCTCGTTTTCAGACCATCAAACTCCAAATGCTCATGCAACTGAAGCCTGGGATAATGGCTCCCTTTTCCTGGGGTCCCTTAGACAGGCCTCCAAGAGAGATCTTCCCCAAACAGCATCCCCCGTCAGCTGGAAGCAGTTAAGATTTGTCTTTGTCTCTATTCTAACGACAGTTAGATGTATTTCTTCAAAGAGGAAAATGATAGAGGTAGAAGGCAGAGAACTCTCCTAGGCAGGTAGGGAAGAGTCCCCATAGAATCTCCAATGCACCAAGGTCATTGTGCACAGGGGGTTGCCTAGACATGCCTGCAGTGAAAATTGTTAATGTTGTCTTTATCACTCTCGGAATAAATAACCACACATAATAATCCAGCTGCATGAAGATAAAAAATAACTAGTTTGAAATTAGAACAAGTTCCAATAAAGTCAAAGTTAGCATGTGGTTTATAACATGATAGGAGACATGGCTGAATACTAAGAATGTGTTCACATCTGTTTTATGTCATGATCAGGAAAATATTTTGTATATTCTCTATGTAAGAGTCCCATTGAGAGCATTGATGAACACTGATGGATAATACCTCAATAATAAAGTAAGGGTTATTAACTAGTAATTTGTATTAAGAGAACAAACTTTTATTTAGGATATATTATTATATGTGTTGTGAAATCAACTGAGAAGGCAGAAAACATTGAACTTATTAGAGCTTTTTAATAAATTAAAAATGAGAATTAAGTACATATGTTTCTAGATTGTGCATAACTTTGGAATGTTTTGTTTTCTTTTATTTTGAGATGGACTCTCGCTGTGTCTCTCAGGCTGGAGTGCAGTGGCACAATTTCGGCTCACTGCAACATCAGCCTCCAGGGTTCAAGCAATCCTCAAGCACCACCATGCCCGGCTAATTTTTGTATTTTTAGTAGAAAGGAGGTTTCACCATGTTGGCCAGGCTGGTCTCAAACTCCTGACCTGAAATGATCCCCCCCACCTCGGCCTCCCAAAGTGCTGGGTTTACAGGCATGAGCCACTGGCCTGGCCTGGAATATTTTTACAAACAGAGAGGGTTCTTATGTATTCTGGAAATCCTATCAAACTGGAAAACAAGGAAAGAAACTCTCAGATGAATTTCTACTTACTACAGAGCTGATTAATATCATTTTAAAGCCAACGCTAACACGCAGACAAAAAACTAACATGGAGCTAAAAAATAAAATATACAGTGATTCAATACAGCAAACACTGTAGCTCAATCTAGTTTATAATATTATCTAATCATGGAGGGCATTGTCTTTGTTCATACGAGACAGAGTCAATCCCACTCACAACCTTCTGGGAATGTTTAAAAAGTGGCATCTCTACATATTTTAATAAAATGTAAAACTCCCTTGGTCAAGGGTTCTTCCACTAGCACTATGGAATCATGGTCCAGTCCTCAGGGTACATCAGTTATTACCCTATGACTTGGTAGCTAAAAGGCCCATACGTTTATAGACTTTACCCCCAGAGATCATGTTTGCTCTATTGCATGCATGTGTTACAAAATACTGAAAGTGATTCCTGTGTGATATCCACTCTAACAATGAAGAGTTTAAGGCTGCCTTTTTACTACATATTTTCCACAATTCCCTGTGATCTTCAGCAAGGAAACTGGAAGGAACATCAGCGGAAAATACTGCTCGTGAATCACATAGGAAGGAACCTTATCAGATGCTTTTAACTAACTCACTGCAGAAAACATTCAGGCAGTTAATTATTGGCTTCATATTTTACAACTAAAGAATAAATTCAGGTCAGATGCAGTGGATCTTCCCTATAATCACACCACTTCCAGAAGCAAAGTGAGGGAAATCCTATGAGACCAGGCAATCGAAGCCAACCTGAGCAACATAAAGAGATGCTATTTCTATGAAAAAATGTTTAAAAAATAAGGAGGGTAGGGGTGGTGTGCCCATCTAGTTGTAGATACTCAGAAAGCTAAGATGGAAAGGTTGTGTGAGTCAGGAGCTCAAATTTAAGGTGAGCTATGATCACACAACTGTACTTTAAGCTGTGGAACAGTGTGAGAGCCTGTCCCTAAAAACAAACAAAAAATAATCAATTAAGAATTCCACACAACTGTAAAGCTACTCAAATAGGAGATGTTAAACTGAGCATCCTCATAGACCCTCTGGCGTTTCTGATGTTTTTAAGCAGATGGCTGACCTAAGACCTGCAGAATAAGCTGATAGTCCTTGATTGTGAAAAGCTTCTACCCAAGACATTAGACCAGGCCCCTGTTTAATTTTCCATCCACTTCTTATTTTTCTCATTATTCTTTGCTTACATTTCTAAAGTCATCTCATTTCTGCAGATCTGGGTGTTGTCCACCCATACTGAACCCTTGTCTTCTTTCTTATTCATTATTTTTATTCCTGCTGCATGGAATAAGTTGTCACTCTATCTTTTGGTGCATGACTGCTGATTACTTAAGGCTCACTCCTCCATCGTCTCCTTTTTTGCCACACAAGATGAATCTAGTTCAGACTCACAGGAGCTTCTTCATTTGATGCCAGTGGGAGTTTCAAACCCTATAAACCCCCATCTGTGAGTGGGAAGCTTCACTTTGCCCCCACCACTAAACCATTATAAAAACCCTGAGCCAGTCTCCTTTGGTTTTCTTTCAAGCCATTTTAGATTTTCCTGGGAGACCTGCCCTGCACTCAGCAGACACCTCTACAGTGTAGATAATGAACTTTTCCCTATTCACTTGCTCTGAGTGTGTGACTTCATTAGACACAACATACACACTAAATCTCACTTGAGATCTCTTGGCTTTGCATGGTGTCAACTACAACTGATAATATGAACTTGGTGTCACTGTTTCTATCAACAGGACACACTGGATCCCTGAAACAACTCCAGGACAGAACTGGACATGTGATATAGATTGGTTTTGTGCCCCACCTAAATATCATCTCAAATTCTAATCCCCACATGTCAAGGGAGGGACCAGGTGAGAGGTGATTGGATCATGGGGGCAGTTTCCCCATGTTGTTCTCATGATAGTGAGTGAGTTCTAACAACCGCTGATGGTTTAAAAGTATGTGTCACTTCCCCTCCTCTATCTCTCTCCTGCTGGGCTGTGAGACGTGCCTTGCTTCCTCTTCACCTTCCACCATGATTGTAAGTTTCCTGTGGCCTCCCCAGCCATGCAGAACTGTGAGCCAACTATACCTCTTTTCCTTGTAAACTACCCAGTCTCAAGTAGTTTTTTATACCAGTGTGAAAATGAACTAATACAACATGCCTGGTGGGTTTGATAAACTTTCTTAGTGATGTAAAATTATGCCATTATTTTGCTGTATTCTAGTGCTTCTCTAAAAATACAGAGATGTCCAGTGCTCATTCATGTGTATATTCAGGATTCTCTGACTTTTCATGTATTTTATTTATCTTTAATTCCTTTGATACCAATTTATACCTGTTCTAATTAATACTATCTTTAATGGGGCTAAACTAAAAACAATAATCTCCACATGAAGTGTTCAATTTTGCAAATATTGTCATAGACATTATCACTATCAACATAGATAACAAGTCAATTCCCTCAACATTTTATCTTGTTCCATAATTCCTCCTTCCTAGACCATCCCTTCTCCTACAATATTCACAGTGAACTACTGATTTTTTTTTTGCAACTTTAGATTACTTTTTGTTCTATAGAACTTATGAAAGTTGTATCCTATGTATGCACTTTTATCACTTGGGCTCATTTTACTCATCTGAAGTACTTGTGAATTTAACCATGCTTTTGAGCATAGCCAACATTAGCTGATGGTAGTAGTGGGTAGTATGTCAATGAATGACTTTTCCACAATGTGTTTACCAGTTAAGCTGATGATTGACATTTGGGTTGTTTTTCATTCTGGGTATTATGAACAAAGATGCTACTCAGCTTAGAGAAGTACACAGCTGGGAAACAGATGGTTTTTATTGCTACAACAGCATAAACAATGAAGCTGCAAAACACATTAATCAGGTTTATTGAATACATCAGGTAATAAAAGTTATAGATTTATGTGTGTTGTGGGGTGGGTGTATGTAAATTTCTGTGTGAGAGAGAGAGAAGAAGGGAGGACGGAAGGCAGAAAAAGACACACCTAGCTATGGTTATATATTTATATCAATATCATTTTCTAATCATACAAACACATGCATTAGAACAGATGTAGTGGAGGGTGTCTGGTGGTGAAACATGATGGTGACACAAAACGCCTCATCCAGCCCCTTTTCACACCAGCTGCACCTGCCCTGAAGCTGAGCCTTGAACCTGTTCTTTCTGAATCCCCACAATTGTCCTGAGCCCCTCGCTGTACCGAGCACCCTTTGGTGTCCTGATTTTCCTCCATGGTTCCTGAGAGCCCCCGGCTACCTGCGTGCCTCTACAATGGTCTTGAGTGCCCCTTGGTGTCCTGAGAGCCCCCTGGGCTCCGGAGTAACCCCTTCTGTCCTATGCATCCCCACAGGGAGGTTTTGGTGTGAGTTCACACTGTGATTCCCTCACTGTGTCTTTTGCTTAAAAATATATGGCTATGTGATTGTTGCTCATGTAGCTCAGCTGTAGGAAGAACTGTTTTTGGACATGGATCTGGGGATGGTGACTGGACTCTTGAGGAAAGGGGAGTAATGTGTGCTCCCTTCATGACCTATGCACCCAATCCACTCCATTCCCTCCCAGAGAGGGGCTGATGGATGCAGCTCCAGGAGGAAGCACTGGTTGTGATGGAGAATGCAGAGATGACACACATGAGGGAGAGGGTCTGTGAGGGCTTCACCAGGCCAAGAGTGCACCGAGAAACACAGTTGTTGGCAGGCACACGTTCTGGACAATATGTTGAAATTCCCAACTACATACATTTCTGTGAGAATAAAGAGCTCACCTGTGTTCGATCCGTGAGTATCCCAGAGTAATGCAGTGGATTCTGATGTTGGATTCAGACAAATATAGGGTCACATGTTTCTCCATACTTGGAACCAAGTAATAAAGAGAAACTTATGTCAGGAGAATAGCCATTGAACTATCTCTCTTTATGGTGATTTTCAGAATAGGATTCAGATGTGATAACTTAAAGAGTGTCCTAATTCTTAACCCACAATTAGGCCTGAGAAGCAGTCACAGGCACTGGAGGTCGCCCACATGGAGAAATGTCTGACTCACTGAAGCTGCACCTGGGGGTCTCTGCAGGCTCTGAATTGTACAGGAACAGCTCCTCCCCTAGACTCAGAGTGAGGACAATCTCTGCTCTTTCTCTAGGGGAGGTGAGGGTTAGTGTGTGGAAAGAACCCAACTTATTTTCAACAAGATCTCTGTACTTGGGCAAAAAGAAAGAATATGAGAAAAAATGATTTCAGTTTAAACAGAACAATTTCTCATGTGGAAGGCAAAAATATGTTTGGATCTTGCACAGAATTAAGAAACAATGAATTTGGGGTAAAGTTGAAAATTACAATTTCTTTGCAGATTCTGTTTTTAGTTATCTATGTCATCTGAGAAAATGAAGTAAAATCAGGGTTTTTATATAAAAATTCACAAAGAGGGTGCTGGGCCTGAGAATGCACCTCAAATCCCTCCAACATCAGGGAGCCCAATAGACCAGGCAGCCAGCTGCTGTACTGCACTCTAACACCCGCCACCTGGTGTGTGCCAAAGACACTCATCCTGGGAGCTCCTCCCAGACAATGGCTGTGCACAGTGGAGATACTGAGGCAAGGCTGCTGCTGGGACACATGGGAGATTCCTGATGGACTACTGTGCTCTGGAAGGCACCAATGGCCTTGCTGGACTTAGCTCGGACCACAGGATAGGTAGGAAGCTCCACTGAATGCCCACTACTCTCCAGTGCTAGTTGTGAGACTGGCATTGCGGGGTGGCAGTGTCTACAGCCTCACCTGGCCGCCTGTGCACTTTTGTGCCTCTAATACTTACTTTTGTTTTTGGGACATATAAGAATGTTTCCTCTTTTAAATTAAAGTTTTGTAATCCAGGGACCTCATGGTGGGCACAGAAACATAAAAGTGCAGAGGATTCGAGGGGAACTGCTACATGCAGAGGAAAGCACAGATCCTGAAGGACAGCAGCCCTTGACTGCTTTTCTGTACCTGCCCTGGGGCTCCACCTGTTTTGTGAGTGCTGAGTGTCCCCTTCGGCCCAGAATCCTTTCTTCTTTCTGCAGGAAATTTTGTGTCTGGACTCACACCGATGTTTCCTCACTTGGAACCTTATGTACAGCCATGCATGGTCATGTCCTCAGCTCTCAGACTGTTCGTTTGCAGATACGGTGAGTTCTTAGCATTGTCTTTGGAGATGGTGAATCTGCCCTTCACAGAGTCTGCATGGTATATCTGACTTCCATCATATTTTACATCTATTACTCCCTCCAGCCCCTTCCCTAGAGTCTCATTGACCCAGCTCATTCAGTAGCTACTGAAGGTGAATCCAGAGGCTACACAGGAGAGTCTCAGGAACTTCCCAAGTTGTCTCAGGCCCTCTATGGACTCTATCAGCTCCACCTCACACTGAACACCTGAAAATACACAAACGTCCTGGTCAGAAACTGCCAAACACATCTACTGTTTTTCTCACTTATATCCACTCACTCTCACTCACTCTATTTCTCTATGAGTCACCTTTTAAAATAGCAACAAGAAAAATTCTGGTTAGCTCAAACCCCATAGTGAGCTCTGTGTTCAGCCCTGATTACCACATGGAAACCCCTGGGAATCCCAGTGCTGTGGCTCTTCTCCCAGAGCTGCAGGGCCAGGTCTGGGCTTGTTTTCACCAGTAGAGGGAGGGCCCTGTTTTCATGCCTCCTCCTCTATAGCAAGCTCCAGTGTGGGATGCCTGAGAAGAAGGCAGTGCCCAGAGCAGATGTGAGACTCCCGGAGGAGCATAATTGAACAAGTGGAACTAGATTAACAAAAAAAGATTCTGCAAAGCAACGAAATAATTCCAACTCACAGAATTGGATAATATACCATGTATCTGGAGGAGTTAGTGGCAATGACAGCATTTGGGAAAATATGATTATTCATAACGTGATTGTGCCATGAAACTCACTAAGCAATTATTATTTTATTTTACTTTTTACACAGTACAAATACAAATATAAATGCATTAAGCAAACTTTAAGATATATATATAGAGAGAAATAGAAAACTATATAAAAATAAGGGAAAACCTTAATACCTCACTTAGAATAATGTATAGCAAATCCAGAAAGAAAATTCTTAATAAGCCTCTGAACTTGAACAACAGTATTGAACAAATTTACCTGAAAGACATTTACAGAACCTTCCAACCAAGAGCCATGTAATACACATCCTTCTCAAGCACCCATTGAACATTCTCCATGATAGGTTATATGTTACATCATAAAATTAGTCTTAACATTTAAAGAATTAATGCTAATGCTTCTCTAACTCTTTCAAAAATTGGTGAGGAGTCCACCTTCCAAACTCTTTTTTTATATATAGTAAATAAACTTTATCTGTTTCTCAGAGATGACACTGCCAACAGTCACAGATTTGCATACAATACTGTTAGGTATTGGGTATTTACAATTTACAGTATTTTTTTTCCTCTGAAAAATATAAGCACAAAAGCTAAGTAAACAATGACGTACTGCCATTTGGAATTTATTACATGCCATAGTGTAAAGAACTGGTCTCTAACAAATATTCAACAAACCAACCTGAATAAAATAGTCGGTTAGGGATTTAGTACATGGCACAGCTTAAAGAACTGGCCTTTAGCAAATATTCAACAAATCAACCTTAATACAATAGTCAATTAAGTGATTTATTATTTCTAATTCATTAGAAAAAATCCACTAAGTCTCACCTCAAAATGTATTGCACAATCTTTATGAAAAAAATCACCCTAAAAATAATTAGGAAAGGTAAGCAGTTCTTTAAAAAGAATGGAAGAAAGGAATATTATGTAAGCCCATTAAGCAGGTTAAGTTATTCAGAATATCTTTTAAACAACATAAAACTCTTCCCTTGGGAGGCCGAGGCGGGCGGATCACGAGGTCAGGAGATCGAGACCATTCTGGCTAACACGGTGAAACCCCATCTCTACTAAAAATACAAAAAGTTAGCCAGGCGTGGTGGCAGGCGCCTGTAGTCCCAGCTACTTGGGGGCTGAGGCAGGAGAATGGCATGAACCCAGGAGGCGGAGCTTGCAGTGAGCCGAGATTCTGCCACTGCACTCCAGCCTGGGCAACAGAGCGAGATTCTGTCTCAAAAAACAAACAAAACAAAACAAAAAAACAAAAAACAAACAAACAAACAAAACTCTTCCCAACAGAAAACTGAAGAAAAAAACTATCACCGTTTCTCCACTGATAAAATCTATTTTAAAGGTAGTCTGCAACACACCTTCCAAACTCTTTCTATGAGGCTACCGTTAGAGTACTACCAGTAATAGACAAAGGCACCACAATAAAAGAAAATCATAGACCAATATCATTAGTAGACATAAATTAACCCCCCAACAATAGTAAAATAAATTCTAAAGATTTTATAGAAGACCATACACCATGATCAACTCAAATTTATTCTGAGATGCACAGATGATTTGACATTCTCAAATCAATCAATTCAGTTGATTAATTAAAAAACTAAAGAAAAAATATCTCAGTAACATTTCATCAGACACAGAAAACACTTGAAAAAAATTCAGGATTTCATTATAAAAACTCTGAACAAAGTAGGAAGACAAGAAAACAACTTGTACATAATGAAACCAATTAAGAAAAGCCACAGCTATTATTATACTCAATAGTAAAATTTTAGAATATTTTGGTCTAATATCTGTAACAAGGCAAGAATAAAGCTTGAGGTATTACACTTCCAGGCCTCAACATTTATTAGAAACATACAGTAATAAATCAGAATGGCATTCGCATAAATTCATACAGAGAGCTTAGATATAAACCCACATATTGATGGCCAGCTGACTTTCAGCGTGAGAACCATCAATATATAATTGCTAAATTATAGTGTCTTCCAAAGAGCGTGTTATGAAAATTGGATATTTACATGCAAAGAATTAAGAATTTTAGGTTAGAATAAACAAAAAAATTAATTCTAAATGCATTAAATACTTAAATGAAACACGTGCAATTGTAAAACTCCCAACCCTCAAAAAATTAGCAATCTTTTTCTGGATTTTACATTCAAACAAATAAAAAAACACAGAATTGGACAAGTGGGACTAGATTTAAAAAAAGATTCCGCAAAGTAACAAAATAATTCCAACTCACAGAATTGGATAATATGCCATGAATCTGAAAAAGCGTTAATATCCAAAATGTAAATGAAACATCTACAACTCAATAACAATAATAAAAATAGCATAATTTAAACATAATCGGTTTTACACCTTTAACAATGTGAGAACCTCAAACTCATGTTCAATGTTTTTCTCTGTGGGTAACAGTCTGCCTGATGGTATGCTTGGTTGGGCAATACTTTGTAGTTATTTGATCAAACACTAATCCAGGTGTGAATTTTTAAATAGATGTTATTAAAACTGTGATCAGTTGACTCAATATTAGGTAGATTATCATCAATAACAAACTTGGCCCTGATTCCATCAGAACAGATCTGGAGAAGGTAAAACTCCGTGGTGATTAAGCAGCTTGAGATCTTTCTAAGATTTCCAGCCTGCATTTACTGATGGCTGACCCTAAGGATACTGCACGTTTCCAGCCATCCCCCAAAACTGTCATCCCCTACATCTCACAGGAAAGTGGTGTGTCCCTCTGCAGCTTGTCAAACCTAAACATCAGAGAGAAAGAGATTCTCCAAAATCAAATCGTATTTATTTGAAAATGAGCATTGCAATGGGATTATCCATGGTCACATTTAGGTTGGTAAAGAAAGACAAGTGTCTGAAGGATAAATGAGAAGATTACCTGAGCTATTTTGAGACAATTATCCTGGGGTAGAAGAATCAATAACAAGGGTAGAATCAGTTTAAGGCTGAACAGGGAGTTGCAGGGCAGATATCCCCTCAGTATTAATTCTCTTATTGTTGTGGTAGCCTTTGTTCAAGATTGTGGTTGTGCAGAGTATTTTTAGGGTAATTCTTGTTATCAGGGATGTGTGCATGAGAACCCTCTATTCATGACCTCTTCCAGCTTCGCCTGTAAAGATTATAACACACGTGGCTCCATTTTTATTCTGACAACGTTCACACCCACTTCCTTCTCCACTAGTGAAGAACGTTACTGTGTGACGGTTTTTCAGAACAGGATTAGAAACACATCCACATCCCACATTAACCAGACAAGCTTGTCCCTTCAGTTCCCACTGGCAACTTGCATTTCCAGATGAGTCTCCATGCAACACAGTGGAGGGTCCTGAGTGACGAAGAGTGAAGAAAGTCCCACCAGACTCTCCTGCGTGACTGCAGCAGCCACAGCCTGAGACCCACCTGAGCGCCAAGAAAAGGGCTTGAGGTCTGGAATTTTGACCACAGCAAAAACATCTTCCTTTTTCGGAAAGCAGGAAAAGCAAATGGAAAAATGAGAACAACATCTAAAAAAGACAGTAAATGAATTAGGAAAAGAAGCTCCAGATCAGTATTGATTCTGATTTGCATTCTTCAGTGTCAGGAGAAGGGTCCTACGAGAAACCTGTGAGGTTCTACATGACACTGACCCTGGCCCAGCCTCTCTTTTTTCTGTAATCAGAATCCCCAAAGACTGTTCTTGCTGGGATTCACTCAGGATGGTGGCGGAAATATTAAAGGGGAATATTAAGGAAAGTTATAGGGAATAGTCATATACCTTTTTAGAAGGCCGAAAGGTTACATAGCTTGTAATAATTGAACAGGCTGAAGGCGGCCAGTTCTTACCTTAGAGCGTTAGGCATAGGGTAAATACTAGGGACAATAGAGGCCTCCCCAGTTAAGTCTGGTTACCCTACCTCCATTAACTAACCAGGGTATTGCCCCCTAATGGTATTTACTTTAGACCGCAGTCCCTGAGCTTTAATCATTCGTAGAACTACTCTCTTAACCATGTTAATTATCCACAAGTGTGTTGTCAGAGCTTCTGTTGTTAATTCTATACTCAATACACGCCTGGAGTGCGAGCTGCTCAGGGCCACTGCTGCCGTTCTTTACAGGATTCTTCTTGGAGTCTGTAAGTTGCCTCGGACCCTCAGCTGAACTGGCAAAACAGAATATCTGTGTGTCAGTGTACGTTTTATTCATCCGCCACCGGGTCAGGGGTCTGCAGGAACAGACCCCCCGCAGCTTGAGTTCTCTTGTGAGGAGCAATACCTCAGTTCTAGTCAGGATTCTTTCTGGAGTTCCTGTCCTCAGTCTGACTGGAGAAGACTCACCAGGAAGCCCTGAGCTTCCTCAGGACTCTGACAGTGGTGACCATGGTTGAGAACTTTTCATCTCCTCTGTGAGGATCAATCTGCATTTTCTGCATAGGAGAATAGGTTTTCATATTAAAACAATCATTTTAAAAATATGTAGAAATGACCCTAGTAATCACAGAATTCCGAACTTAGGTTCAGTAGAGAAACTTTAAGAAGATGAAGTCCCACATCGTGACAGGAAATCAGCCTTCATCTGCACCTGCCGCTGGGGCTGACTCTGATCAGTGGCTCCTGAGCGCCCCCTGCAGATGACTTTCCCCAGCGTTCCCGCAGGGAGGTTTCTGCATGGTCCCACATTAACTTCTCCTCACTGTGTCTCTCGCACAGTAATACACAGCCATGTCCTCAGCTCTCAGGCTGCCCATTTGAAGATACAGCGTGTTCTTGGAATTGTCTCTGGAGATGGTGAATCTGCCCTTCACAGAGTCTGCATAATATGTGCTACCCCCATTACTACTAATAGCTGAAACATATTCCAGTCCCTTCCCTGGAGCCTGGCGGACCCAGTGCATAGCATAGCTACTGAAGGTGAATCCAGAGGCTGCACAGGAGAGTCTCAGGGACCCCCCAGGCTGGACCAAGCCTTCCCCAGACTCCACCAGCTGCACCTCACACTGGACACCTGCAAACACAGAGACACCAAGGTCAGAAACTGCCACACAAATCCACTGTTTCTCTCACTCATGTCCACTCACACTCAATATCTCTATTTCCTCATGAATCACCTTTAAAAATAGCAACAAGGAAAACCCAGCTCAGCCCAAACTCCATCATGACTCTTCTGTGTTCAGTGCTGATCACCAAATGAAAACACCTGGGAATCCCAGGGCGGGGGCTCCTCTCCCAGAGCTGCGGAGTCAGGGCTGGGCTGGTTTTCATCAGGAGAGGGAGGGACCTATTTGCATGTCTCCTACTATATAGCAAGCTCTGGGGTGAGATGCCTGAGGAGAGGGCAGGGCCCAGGGCAGATGAGAGTGTCCTTGGGGATTTCGATGACAATGATTACATTTGGGAAAATGCTGTTTTATTGTGAAATTGTTGTGTGATAAACACTTAATAACTATCACATTTTTAATTATTTTTACCTATGTGTATAAATTATGTTATTTAGGAATCAGTGGTTTCTTCATGTACAGATGTAAAAGTGAACCCACACATGGAGGGGCTATGTATGTGTCTAAGGGCTTATATCTGGCATGAGTGAGTCCTAGTACCCGGGCCTATGCTCCTCACAGCTGGCCTCAGTTGCTCTTTTAACCAACTCTAGGACAGAGATAAACGGGCCTAGTGTGGTTTGCAGAATCCACTTCCTGCCACGACAACCTGTGTGATTTTGCTGCATTTACCTAAAAATACGGAGAAAACTAGGGGTCAGACAAATAAATTTTTAGGTATATTTGACATTTAACATATTTATTTGTTCCTTCCTATCACCCTCTTTTTGTCTAAAATTTCAGTTTTTTTGTAATAAATTTTATGAGGTTTAATTGACAGATAAGAAAATTCACATATTTATTCTGTACAATAGTAAACTTTGAAAAATAAAATCTCTATTTTTAAGAAGGTGACAAGTCAACTCCCCTCAGCATTCCTCTTGCTCTTTTATATTTTTTTGGTTTTTCTCCTTCCCTTCTTCTACCATTTCTTTATAAATCTACTGATGTTTTCACATGTCTTTTGACTAGCTTTTATATTCTAGAATTTATAAGAATGAAAAAATATAGTATATGCTCTTATGTATTTGGATTATTTTTCTCAATAGAAATACTGAGAATTAAATCTTTTATGTTGCATGTGTTTATTTCTTACAAATAATGGGTAGCATTTCAGCAAACAAATGTAGCATAATTTGTTTTTCTATTAAGTTACTAACTGGCATTTGAATTTTTCATTACTCTCTCTAAGTCTTACTAATAAATCTGCTACTCAGCTTGGTAACACACATAGATGATAAATTATATATAAGTTACATAAATATATTTTTTGCAACAACAGTAACAAGAGAATGTACAATTTGGCAAATTTTGTTTAGTATTTCAGATAATTGAAGTTATGAAATAAAAAACAAACCTGTAATCCAAAGAGTACCTGAGACTAATCTCAATAGATTTAGGAAGTTCGTATTCCAAGATTAAGGACATGGCAGTGACACCGCCTCAGGGAGTCCTGACGATATATGCCCAAGGTGGTGGGACACAGCTTGATTTTATGCAATTTAGGGAGACATGGGACAGTAATCAATATATGTAAGATGTACATTGGTTTGGTTCAGAAAGGCAGGACTTTCTGAAGTGGGGAGAGAGCGTCCAGATCACAGGTAGGTTTGAGACAAATGCTTGCATTCTCTTGAGTTTCTGATTAGCCTTTAACTGAATGCACAATTTACAGGAATAGTCACGTAGGCCTTAGTCTGGCTTAGCAAAACAATAGAGAAATGGTGGCAATCAGATAGGCATTTGACTTATGTGAGCAGAGAAATGACTCTGTCTGTTGTTGGTCCACAAGGTTTTTCCTTGTGGTCAAATTTTGAAGGAGGTATGTAGTTTTTTAAAACCTTAGTTTCACTCGTGTCCATGTGAAGAGACCACCAAACAGGCTTTGTGTGAGCAATAAAGCTGTTTATTTCACCTGGGGGCAGGCGGGCTGAGTCTGAAAAGAGAGTCAGCGAAGGGAGATAGGGGTGGGGCCGTTTTATAGGATTTGGGTAGGTAAAGGAAAAAGGGGGGTTGTTCTCTGGCGGGCAGGAGAGGGGGTCACAAGGTGCTCAGTAGGGGAGCTTTTGAGCCAGGATGAGCCAGGAGAAGGAATTTCACAAGATAGTATCATCAGTTAAGGCAGGAATAGGCCATTTTCACTTCTTTTGTGGTGGAATGTCATCCATTAAGGCAGGAACCGGCCATCTGGATGTGTATGTGCAGGTCACAGGGGATATGATGGCTTATCTTGGGCTCAGAGGCCTGACAGTTAGTAGCTATCATTTTAGGGAAAGAATGGAGGTGGGTTTGCCCCAAGCAGTTTTCAGCTTGACTTTTCCCTTTGGCTTAGTGATTTGGGGGTCCCAGAGATTTCTTTTCCTTTCACAAACATGGAAATCTTGGGAGAAACAAGTTCTTGTAGAGAGAAACAAAGCCATAGTGTTAGCTAAACTGAAGCAGAGGCTGCCATATGAAATACAGCCTATTACAAGATAAAGCTACAAACATGTGTTGGATTGCTTAAATTCCAGTGTGGTAAATGTGTTGTCATGTGAAATTCTCAGGAACCACATACTGAAGGGCACTGATAAAGTGAATTAAATGTGGCCCGAAAAGGACTCTGCACTTCTATGATTGAGTCCTTGTGGACAAACTGTAACCTTGTGGACAAACTTGTGGACAAACCTTGTCCTTGTGGACAAACTGTAACTGTAACATATAGAAAAAATATGAATTAAACTCAGTAGACTTCAAGCTATTGACATGTAAATTAGGTGGAATATTTCATAGCTAAAGACCTGATCTAGCATGAGAAATAACAGAGAGATGACACACGGAGAATGCAGCAGGGGGAAGCTGACATTCAAGTTCTGATGTTTGTTTACTGATATTTGTCCCCTAGCATGTCCAGCACTTCATGAGCACAGAACTCCTCTAATAGAGAAACAGCCTCTCACAGGACATGATCCTCAAAATGATCTCACCTACAAATGGATCACTAGCAACTTCAAACTTTTTTGGTTTTTGCCCTTTGCAAGTTGAACTACTGGCATGAGTGTGTCTCTCCATGTTTGCACACATTGAATTGATAAAATTAGTTTTGTTCTACATCTTCCAACTCTTAAGATATCTGAAAACTCTAAAATTTTCTCCTTTCAAATTTGGTTCTCATTGACTCATTGGGTTACATCAATGCTCTAAGTACGATGGGATATGGAAGACACATCGGTAGTTTTTGCTAAATTATTTATGTTTTATTTTATTTTATTTTCAAAAGTAAAGATGAAGCCTCACTATGTTTCACAGACTGATCTCAAACTCCTGGAAATCTTCCCACCTCAGCCTCCCAAATTTCTGGGATTATAGGTGTAAGCCACTGTGCCTGGACATTAATTACTTATTTTAACTTTTTAATTGCATTTTTGTTTTGAAATAAGTGTAATTCAGATGCTGGTAAAATTTTCTCCTCAGACTCCTCTGCAGCTGCTCCAGGGCTGACATCTGTGTTGAGTGGTTTCTGGGCCTGTCCTGCAGCTCTGCCCTCACCCGGCAGGGGAGGATGCTGTTTGGGCTCACAGAGCATATTCTCCCAATGTCGCTCCCCCAGAATGAAGGGGCTGTCCCCTGGTTCACAATCCTCTCTCAGCAGCATCTAATGCTTTCGAAATTGTCTCTCGAAACAGTGATTTAACATTACTGTACCCAGTAAACTGCAGGGGGAGCCCAAGCACAGATTCTTTGAAACCACCAGAGAGTCTGTTCCCTGGGACTGTCAGATGCAATGACACAGTCAAGATCCATGGTGAGTCCAGAAACTTTCAGAGAACTCATAGGAGCCTCTTATTTCTTTCAGAATTCTCTATTCAAAGATCACGCCAAATAGTATGTCCACAGAGAGAACTACATGGCTCAAAGCCCACAAAAATTAAAACACACGTGTACACACACACACACACACATGCACACACACATACACAGTGGGAAGGCTGAGCTTTATAGTAATTGACTCGTAATTTGGGATCTTTCCTAGTGTAAACCAAAGGTTTCCGAGACAGATCTCAATCAAATTAAAATTAATTTTGCCAAAGTTAGGGCATGCCTGGAATGAAAATACAAGTAATCACAGAAAAATTTGTGGTCAGTGCCGTTCCCCAAAGATGATTTTCAGGGCTTTCAATACAAAAAAGGGGGGAAAGCTGGATAGAGGGGAAAGAGGGACAGTATGAAAATTTACATGTTGTAATGAGAGAGAAGCACATAGGGAAACAGAAAAATTATGTAGTTCTCCTGAACTAAGTTAGCACTTTATATAAAGTAAAATGAACAAAGAGTAGCTATCTGTGAAGATATTTAACTTTTTATTTGTAGCTATTCTCTTAGGAATGAAAGGAAAATCAGTTTCTTGCATGGATCATCCTTTAGGATTTTCCCCCCTCATGACATAATGAATTGACAGCACAAGTTTTTATTTTCCTTTTATATTTTCCCCACCTGTTCCTTTTCAAAATCATTCAGAGGAAGCATTTTACAACCAAATGAGTTTCTGGTCTCCTGTTTTGTTTTATCTTTCATTGATAGAATGGATTACTCTTAGATAAACAGGTCCCATGTTGTTAAGATAGCTCATTGTTACCTACCTTTCAAATGTTGTGAAGTCTCACATCCCAATGATGAAAAAATAGTGGGAGAAAAAGGGAACTAAACATAGAAAATAAAGGAGGAAATAACCAACAAAAAGGGGAAACAATCCTGGAAAACTGATATAGGCTTTGGAACTCTGAAGGCTGTACATGAGTAGGATAAACAACAAATATCTGAGACAGGTCTCAGTCAATTTAGGAAGTTTATTAATATGGTTTGTCTGTGTCCCCATCCAAAACTCATTTTGAATTGTAGTCCCACATTTCCCATGTGTCATTGGAAGAACCCAGTGAGAAGTAATTGAATCATAGGGGCAGGTCTTTCCCATGATGAACTCATGATAGTGAATAAGTTTCATTAGATCTGATGGTTTTCTAAAGGGGAATTCATCTGCACAAGCTCTCTCTAGTCTTCCACCATGTAAGATGTCCCTTCCTTTTCTGACATGATTGCGAAGTGTCCCCAGCCACGTGGAAATGTGAGTCAATTAAAACTCTTTCCTTTATACGTTACCCAGTCTTGATTATGTTTTTATCAGCAGCAGGAGAACAGACTAATACATTTGTTTTGCCAAAGTTAAGAACCCAACCATAACCAGCCTCAGGAAGTCCTGAGACATGTGCACAAGGTGATTGAAGTACAGCTTGCTTTTATACATTTTACAGAGACATGAGACATCAGTCAATACATGTGAAATGTACATTTTTTTTTCCTGTAAGCCAGGACAAATGAAAATGGGGGCTTGCAGGTTAGAAGAAGATAAGAGACAATAGGTTGCATTCTTTTGTGTCATTTATTATCCTTCCACTGAATACACAATTTAGTCTGACTCAGTGAATCTTCATTTTTACATAAATTATAGTGGGGAGGAAGAAATCATATATGTATTTGTCTCAGGGGAGACTTAGAGGAATGCCTGCTTTCCTGCCTTTCTGAATCAACTGTTCTAAGTTTAAGTTTTTGTAGATGACCAAAAACAAAAAACAAAAACAAAAACAAAACAAGACAAGACATGAGTTACAAGGAAGAAATACTAAGAGATCCTGGGGAAGACCTTTGCTTTACAAGGTCAAAAAATAGCAAGTTCAAAAAGGAAACCCCACCCTGCCCAGGGACCTAATGTGGAGCTGCCTCCTAAGGGAACCGTGGTGTCTGAGCGACCCCTGCCGTCCTGAGCGCCCCCTGGTGGTTCTGAGCGCCCGCTGGTGGTTCTGAGCGCCCCCTGGTGTCCTGAGCACACTCTGCTGTTCTGAGCGCCCGCTGGTGGTTCTGAGCGCCCCCTGGTGTCCTGAGCACACTCTGCTGTTCTGAGCGCCCACTGGTGGTTCTGAGCGCCCCCTGGTGTCCTGAGCACACTCTGCTGTTCTGAGCGCCCGCTGGTGGTTCTGAGCGCCCCCTGGTGTCCTGAGCACACTCTGCTGTTCTGAGCTCCTGCTGGTGGTTCTGAGCGCCCCCTGGTGTCCTGAGCACACTCTGCTGTTCTGAGCTCCTGCTGGTGGTTCTGAGCGCCCCCTGGTGTCCTGAGCACACTCTGCTGTTCTGAGCGCCCCCTGGTTTAACTGAGTTCTCTCTGGTGTCCTGAGCATCTATCTCCTGGCGGGTTTGCTGTGCAGAAACTCCTTAGTTAATTAGGTCCCACTCATCTATTTGTGTTTTGGTTGAATTTGCTTTTGGATACTCAGCCAAAAATTATTCGTCAAAGTTGGGGTCGAGAAGAGTATTTCCTAGGTTGTCTTCAAGGATTTTTATGGTTTGAGGTCTTACATTTAAGTCTTTCATCAATTTTGAGTTAATTTTATGTATGTTGAAAGTAGACGTCCAGCTTCAATCTTCATCACATGGCTAGCCAGTTGTCCCAGCACCATTTATTGAACAGGGAGTCCCTTCCTTATTGCTTGTTTTCATCAGCCTTATCAAATATGAGATGATTGTAGGTGTGCAGCAACACACCACTCAGAATGGCTATCACGAAAAAGTCAAAAAACAATGAATGCTGGTGGGACTCTGGAGAAAAGAGAACACTTATACCCTGATGAGAAGAATATAAGTTAATCTTGCCCCTTTGGAAAGCAGACTGGAGATTTCTTAAAGAACTTAAAACAGAGATATCATTTTACCCAGCAATCCCACTCCTCAGTATACACTAAAAAGTAAGCAAATAATTCTTATTTGTGCGCACATTTGTCAGAAGCCCTCAAGCTGTACATTGAAAATCTAAGCATTTTTATGTTAATTTTATATCATAAAAATAGAAAATAGACAATGGTAGGAAAATATTTATATTGATATTAAAATCCTAATAAAATATATATGAAAATTCAAATAAAAAATGTAAATGTGATTACAATAATTATTAAAATGCATTCAGCTGTAGTGGAATTAAATCCAGGAAATTAGAAAGATAAAGGTGACATATTAAAATGAAAAATTAATAAACACATTTCACAGATAAGTAAAACATGGCTAAAAATATGTGGAACATTTTATATTATTAGTAATACAAAGTAAATAAACTCTTGATATAACATTTTGACCTGTTTTATCAGGATAAATGACTAATATTTTGTGTAAAATCACAACATGTAAACAATTAAAAATAACCAAAATCAATTATGAATTACTCTAATAATTTATATTTAGTTCATCATTAATTTTGATTCTTCAGGACATGTTTTTAGAATTATTTTATCTTAATGTTTAATATGAATGCCTACACATATATGCATAGGTCTGTGTATTTGTACATCTTTTTTTCTTTCTTTCTTTTTATTTATTTAGTTTTTTGAGATGGAGTCTCAGTTGCCCGGCTGGAGTGCAGTGGCGCGATCACGGCTCATTGCAACCTCCGCCTTCTGGGTTCAAGCAGTACTTCTGCCTCAGCTTCCCAAGCTGGGGTTACAGGCACAGACCACCATGTCTTGCCGATACATATTTCTATGTTTATAAATTTATGTCCCTATAGCTATGTAGTTGCTGATGTCAACAAATGTTAATAAAACTCTGGAAGAATCAGTGCAAATAATTAGGAATATTTATATCTTCAAAGTACATATTTAAAATGTACTTATATATAATTTTAATAATTACTAAAATTTAAATACTAACGATAATAAAGTCATAATAAATACAAGTGATAAAATGTCACAGCCTAGAATGCTGCAGAGTCCTGCAAATACAAACCTGACTTCTCCAGCTGATGAGAAAGGAAAACTACCCCAGCATCTGCTCCTGGGACCTGTCCTGTCCTCAGTGGGTTTTGACCGCCCCCGGTGGCCCCGCGCGCCCCTGCAGGGAGGTTTGTGTCTGGGCTCACACTGACCTCCCCTCACTGTGTCTCTGGTATAGTAATACACGGCCGTGTCCTCGGTTTTCAGGCTGTTCATTTGCAGATAGGCGATGCTTTTGGAATCATCGCTTGAGATGGTGAATCTGCCTTTCACAGACGCGGCGTATTCTGTTGTTCCACGATTAGTTTTGTTTTTAGTGAAACCTACCCACTCCAGCCCCTTTCCTGGAGCCCGGCAGATCCACTGCATGCAGTAGTTAACAGAAGGTGAATCCAGAGGCTGCACAGGAGAGTCTCAGGGACCCCCCAGGCTGTACCAAGCCTCCCCCAGACTCCACCAGCTGCACCTCACACTGGACACCTCCAGAGACATCGTGATCAGAAACTGCCACACTATCCACTGTTTCTCTCACTCATGTCCCCTCACACTAAGTATCTCTAGTTCACCATTAATTATCTTTTAAAATAGCAACAAGGAAAAACCGGCTCAGCCCAGACTTCATATGGTTGGTAGTCGGTGTTCAGTGCTGATCACCAAGTGGAAACACCTGGGCATCCCAGGGCTGGGGCCCCTCTCCCAGAGCTGCAGAGTCAGGGCTGGGCTGGTTTTCTTCAGCAGAGAGATGGCCCTATTTGCATGTCTCCTACTATATAGCAAGCTCTGGGGTGGGAAGCCTGACGAGAAGGCAGTACCCAGATAAAATGACTGTGCCCTGCAAGAATTTGGTGACAACGATGGTACTCAGAAAATATGCTGTCTTATTATAAAATTATGCTGTGATAAACTTTTTGAATTCATCATCCTATTTTATTTTTACATATTTGTGCAAATTATGTTTTGTCGGAGTCAATTGTTTCTCCATGTACAGATGTGGAAGTCAACCACGCATGGAGAAAGGGCTAAGTATGTGTCTAAGAGCTCACGTCTGGATGAGTAAGCCCCAGTACCTGAGCCTGTGCTCCTCATCACTGGCCCCAATTACTCCCTGAGCCAACTCCAGGACAGAGCTGGGCGTGCCTAGTGTGGTTGTGGAACCCACTTTCTGTAGTGAGAACACGTGTGATTTTGCTGCATTCTAGCATTCACCTAAAAATATGGTGAGAACTAGGGTTCAGGCAGATAAGTTCTTAGGTATTTCTGAAATTTAATATACATTTTTTCTATCTTTCTATCACTCCTTCTTTGTCTAAGTTTCCATTTGTTTGCTTGTAATAAATTTTGAGAGTTTTAGTTTACAGATAATAAACTTTCACATATTTAAATTGTACAATTGATAAATATAATGTAACCATCATTGTTATCAAGGTGGACAAGAGAATTCTCAACATTTCCTTTTGTTCTTCTACATTCTTCCTCCTTTTCCCTTTCATTCTTCTACCATTTCTCTGGCAACTCCTGAGCTATACATTGCGGCTGAGTCATTTAGTTTATTAAAATTTATACAAATCAATGCAGTATATATTCTTATTTGTTTGGCTTATTTTACTTAACATATGTAATTCGATATTTTACCTTATAGTTGGGTATAGCAGACATTTATTTATTCTAAATACTGGATAGCATTCTAGCAAACAAATTTACCATAATTTGTTTTTCTGTTAAGCAGCTGAACAATATTTGAATTTTTTATTATTCTGGGTCTTACTAAAAATCTGCTATTAAGTTTGGAAACGCACATAGAAAAGGAATACATTTTCCTTATTTTTTACAATTGCATCAACAATAACATAAACATAGAAGATGTAGCTTTGCAAATTTTCTTTAATACTTTTGATAATTAATGTTTCAAAACACGCGACAAGTCTGAAGTTCAGGGAGAAGCAAGTTCTTATAGAGAGTGACAAGAAGTTTGTCATCCTAGGTTGTTTGTCAGTCTAGCTTGTCTTTCTTCACTCTGCTAGAATAGTCTAGAGACATTAAGCTTAATATGTAACGAATTTGAAAATTAGAACGAGTCCGAAGTGAAGTCAAAGTTACCGTGTGGTTAATAATGTGACAGACAGGAGACATGACTGGATACTAAGAGTGTGTTCACATCTATTTTATCTAGATTAGCAAAACATTTTGTGCATCCCTTAGATAATATTCCCGTTGAGAGCCTTGATTTAACATTATTTCTTGATGAATAACACCTAAATAATAAAGGTGGTGGTTATTAACTCATAATTTATATTGCTAGTACAAACTTTCATTTAAGATAAATTCCTCTATCTGATGTAAAATCAGCCGAGAAGGCAGAAGTTATTGCACTTACTAGAGCTTGTCAATAAACCGAAGACCATGATTAAATACAGATGTTTTACTGTAGTGCAGAATTTTAAAATGTCCTGCAGGCAGAAGAGGTTTTCAAATCTTCTGGAAGCCCCATCAAAATGGACTACAAGAAAAGAAATTTTTAAATAAATTATTACATTCTAGATATCTGACATATAAATTTGAAATGAAATGCAAGCAAAGAGAAAAAACCTAGTATGGAAACTAGAATAATGTTATGGTGCATCATTTCTACAAACTTTCAATCTCAACCTGGTCCTTAATATTATCTAAACATAGAAGGCATTCCCATTGTTCATATCATCCAGAATCAATCCCACTCACAATATTCTGAATATGTTGAAAAAAATGGCATCATTAAATTAAAAAAATATAAAAACTTTAATAAAATATTGAAAGTCTCTTGGCCAAGAGTTATGCCACTAGCACTGTGTCACTCTGGTACCTCCCTCAGGCCACATCAGTTACTATCCTATGACTTGGGAGCTGGAAGATTCATACATTTAGAAAGTTTACCCTCATTGCTCACCTTCGTCTTTTTGCATGTGTGTGTTACACAATATTGGACGTAATTTTTGTATTATACTAACTCCAATCACCAAAAGTTTAAGGTTGCCTTTTTATGTCATGTTTTAACAGTATTTTGTGATCTTCAACCATGAAAATACATATATTGGAAAAAACGTCAGGAAGAATTCTGCTGTTGAAACAAATTAGAATAAATTTTATCAGGCAATATTAACCAAAACACTGCAGAAAAAAATTAAGGGAGTCAATTCTTGGGTTGATATTTTGCAACTAAAGAATCAGTTCAGACCGAATATCGTGGCTCATGTCTATAATTCTACCACTTTGAGAAGCAAAACCAGGGGAATCACATAAGACTAGTAGTCAAGACCAGCCTGGATAACATAGAGAGACCCCACTTCTATGAAAGAATTAAAAAAAAATCAGCTTGGTCTCATGTCCTCACTACTCAGGAGGCTTATAAAGAAGGATTGTGTGAGCCAGAGGTTCAAGGTTACAGTGAGCTATGGTTGTGCCACTGCACTCCAACCTGTGTGACACAGTGAGACCCTATCTCTTATTATAATAATAATAATTAAGAATTTTACACTATTGTAAGGCACCTTAAATAGAAGATATTAAACTGAATATCCTCATGAATCCTCTGGCGCTTCTGATGTTTTGGAGCAGACAGCTCACCTAAGACATTCAGAACAAGCGGATGATTTTAGGTAATGAAAAGTCTCCACACAAGACATTGGAACAGGACCCTTGTGTAATCCCCTGCCCCGTGCCTTTCACCTCATTTTCCTCCTTTTCATTATGATTTGCTTATTCTTATAAGCAGTCTTCTTGTTTTGTGTAGACTGGTTTTTGTCCACCCATATTGGACACTGATCTATTTTTATTCATATTTTTATTCATTTATTATGAATAATTCATTATGATCTATTTTTATTCATTTATTTATAGTTGCTACATAGAATAAGTCATCAGACTTGTTTTGATGTCTGACTGCTGATAACTTAAGGCTCATTCCTCCATCATCTCCTTTCTTTCCGACACGAGGTGGATCTAGTTAGGAATCACAAGAACTCCCTCATTTGATGCCATTTGGAGGTTCAAACCCCACAAACCCATTTCTGTGAGTGAGAACCCTCACTCTGCCTCCACCACCAAACTGGTATAGCAACCTGAGCCAGTCTCCTTTCTTGCTCTATCGAGCCATTTTGGACATTCCTGAGAGACCAGCTCTACTCTCAGCAGACACCTCAAGAGGTAATCAACCTTTTCGTATTCACATGGGGGAGTGTGCGGCACTCACAGATGTGACATCCACACTACATTTTGGTTGTGATCTCTTGGCCTTTTTATGGTGTCAACTAGAACAGATGCTGTGAGCTTGTTGCCACTTCTCCTAACCACAGGACACACCTGTTCCCTGAATCAACCCCAGGACACAGCTGGACATGCCTGGTGGGGTTTGATTAACGCCCATTATGTAATGAATTCATGACATTATTTTGTTGTATTCTAGTGTTTCCCTAAAAATATAGGTAGGCTTAGGGTTTATTCATGTATATATCCAGGAGTCTTTGATTTCTCATATATCTTTAATTAAATCTTTAATTCTGTGTTGAGAAATTTAAAATTTCTTCAGTTTGATGAGTGAAGTCCTTATGCCAACGTTCTGTGATTTTCTTTTTTTATTTCTCATATATTTTATTCATCTCTGTCTAACTTATTTTCTACCAAATTATATGTGTTTAAATTTGGCATATTTTAATGAGGTGAAATTAGCAAATAATAGCCATCCCATAATGTGCACAATTTGACAAATAGTGACATAACCATTACCTTTCTCAACACAGAAAAAACTCAAGTGCCCTCAAAATTTCCTCTTGTTTTCCTGTAATTTCTTGTTCCTACACCTTTCCTTCTCACACCACACCCAGAGTCAACTACTGGTTTTCTTTATGTAACTTTAGATTGGTATTAATTTTATAGAATTTATAAAAGAGGAATTGTATGTGTGTACTTGTATTTATTTGTCTTATTTGACTCATCATATGTACTTGTGACTTTACCTTTGCTGTTGAACGTATCCAGCGGTACCAGAATGTAACAGTGGGTGATTTTCCAGGGAATGAATTTACCACAATTTGTTTATGATTAAGCTGCTGATTGATATTTGGATTGCTTTCAGTATCTGGGTATTTAAAAAAATGCATTAGGAGATATACCTAATGCTAAATGACGAGTTAATGGGTGCAGCACACCAACATGGCACATGTATATATATGTAACAAACCTGCACTTTGTGCACATGTACCCTAAAACTTAAAGTATAATAATAATAAAATTTTTAAAAAATGTCAAATTAAAAAAAAAAGTTGCTGCTACCTTAGAGAAATACACAGCTGAGAAACACAATGTTCCTATTCTCACAGCAATATGAACATCAGCTAAACTGGAAAAGCTGCACATTATAAACTGTCTTCAACACATCACGTAACTGAAGTTGTAGAATTTTGCGTGTGTGTGAGTTTGTGAGTGAGAGAGAAGGAGGGAAGAAGGGAGAAAGAAAAGATAGAGATCCCACAAAATTGACCATAATTTATGAGGTGCTCATATAAATACAGGGACTCAGAGTCTTAGTGGAAAGGTCCACATACGATGGAGAGGACAACTTGATGCACCTACATATGGCTATATATTTATATAAATGCCATTTTCTAATAATACACAGAATCAGGTACATGAGAATAAACACGGTGGTGGGTGTCCAGTGGTGAAATACGATGGTGATGCCAAACCCCATCTCCAGCCCCTTGTCCCCCCATTGCACCTGCCTTGATGTGTCCAGAGTGTTCCCTGGTGTCCTGAGTGCCTCCTGCTCTTTCTGAGCTCCCCTGCAGGGAGGTTTGTATCTGGGCTCACAATGACTTCCCCTCGTTGTGTCTTTTGTATTAAAATTCATGGTTGTGTACTTGTTGCTCAGGTAGCTCAGCTACAGGAAACACTGTTTTTTGGATGTGGATCTGGAGATAGTGACTGGACTCTTGAGGAGTGGGTTGGAATGTGCACTCCCTCATGACCTGTGCACCTGATTCGCTCCAGTCCCTTCCTTGCGGGGGGTGATGGATGCAGCTCCAGCAGGAAGCACTGGTTGTGATGGAGAATGCAGAGACAGCACAGGTGAGAGAGAGGGTCTGTGAGAGCTTCACTAGCCCAAGAGTGCAGGAGAAACACAGTTGTTGGCATGCACAAGTTCTGAACAACATTTTGAAATTCACAAATATGCACATTTTGATCCATAAATAATAACAGGATGGTATTGGCATTAATATATAGAGAGAGCTCAGAAATAAACTAATATATCTACAGCAAACTGATTTTCAGCATGAGAACTAACAATATACAATGGATGAATCAAAGTCTCTCCCTAAGAGGGTGTTAGAAAAACTGAATCTACACATGCAAAGAATTAAGAATTTTAGTTTAGATTAAATACCAAAATTTACTCTAAATGGGCGAAATACTTAAACGTATGGCTTGCAATTGTAAAATTTCCCCCACCCAGAAAATAATATTAAGAATGATTTCCTATATTTCAAATTAAAGGCACAGACAATAAAAGCAGAATTGAACAAGCAGAACTACATCACAGCAAAAAGATGCTGCAAAGCATGGAAAAAATTTCCAACCCACAGAAAGAGAGAATATAATTATAAGCTGTGCATCTGAAAAAGTGTTAATATCCAAAATGTACATGCAACTTCTACAACTCATTAGCAAAATCATAATTGGGTGATTGTACAGTGGTCAGTTTTGCACCTTAAAACACTTAAGAAATCGATCTCATGTTAAAGATTCTTCCCTCTGGGTAATGGTAAGTTTGATGGTACACTTGGTTAGGGTAGACTTTGTAGTTATTCAATCCAACATTAATATAGGTGATGTTGGCCGGGCACAGTAGCTCACATCTGTAATCCCAGCACTTTGGGAGGCTGAGATCATGAGTTTGAGACCAGCCAGACCAATATTGTGAAACCCCATCTCTACTAAAAATACAAAAATTAGCCGGACTTGGTGGCCTGCACCTGTAATCCCAGCACTTTGGGAGGCTGAGGCGGGTGGATCACCTGAGGTCAGTAGTTTGAGACCAGCCTGACCAATGTGGTGAAACACTGTCTCTACTAAAAATACAAAAATTAGCCGGATATGGTGGTGTGTGCCTGTATTTCCAGATACTGGGAGGAGGCTGAGACAGGAGAACTGCTTGAACTCCGGAGACAGAGGTTGCAGTGAGCCAAGATCATGACATTGCACTCCACCCTGGGTAACAGAGCGAGACTCTGTCTCTCTCTCTCCCTCTCTTACTATATATATAGTTATGAATTTACTTAATAGATGATATTAATACTGTTATCAATTGACTCTAAGTTAGGTAGATTGTCATTGATAAAATTGGTGGGCCTGATTCCATCAGAGCAGAACTGGAGAAAATGAAATTCCACGGCGATTCAGCAGCTTCACTTCTCTCTGGGACCTCCAGTCTGCATTTATTGATGGCTGATCTTATGGACATTGGAGATTCCTAGACATCTCCAAAAACTGTCATCCTCTATGTCTCACAGAAATGTGGCATGTCCGTCTGCAGCTTGTCAACCTGAATAACAGACAGAAAGAGACTCTAAAGTATAATAATATTTTTTCCAGGATGTGCATTTCAATTAAAATATGTATGGGTACATTCAGGTAGGAAAAGGAAGATAAAAAATTAAGGAGAACATGTGGACACAGGGTGGGAAACATCACACACCGGGGCCTGTCATGGGGTGGCGGGAAGGGGGAGGGATAGCATTAGGAGAAATACCTAATGTAAATGATGAGTTAATGGGGGCAGCAAACCAACATGGCACATGTATACATATGTAACAAACCTGCACTTTGAGCACATGTACCCTAGAACTTAAAGTATAATTTAAAAAATAATAAAAAAGAGAATTAAGGAAAAATGAGGAGGGTGACAGCAGCTATTTTGAGACAGCGGTGTAAGGTTGAACAGGCAGTTGCAGGGCAGATTTACTTGGAGAAATAAAGCTTTTAAGGCTGTGGTGGTCTCCGTGTAAAAGGTTGTGGCTGTGCAGAGTCTATTTATGACAGTTCATCTTATCAGGAATATGTGTTAGAACCCTCCTTCATGGCCTTCCCCAGCTTCATTCATTAGGGTTTTAACACAAGGGGATCCATTTTGTTGCCGATAAATTTCACAAGCTCTTTCTAACACTACTTCTGAAGAAGATGACTCTGACAGTGTGCATAGAACAGGGTTAATTCCACATCCACATCCCATTTTGATCAAATGAGTTCATCCCCTTCACTACTAACAGCCAATTGCATTCCCAGATGAGTCTACACACAACACAGAGGAGGGCCCTGAGAATATGGAGAGAGAAGGAAATCCCGTCAGCCTCTCCCACGTGGCTGGAGTAGCCAAGCCTGAGCCTTGCCTGAGTTCTAAGAAAATGCCTTGAGCCCTGGAGTGTAGATCACAGAGACCATGTGTTTCTTTTTCAGGAAGAAAGAAAAGCAAATAAAAAAGGGAGAACAAACACTCCAAAGAAAGAACATGTATTGGGAGCAAAAGCAGCACCAGATCAGTGCTGATGCTCATTGGCTTTAGGGTCAGGAGAAGGGTCAGACTTGAACCCTGTGAGCTTCTACAGGACACTGACCCTGGCCCAGCCTCTCTATTGGCTGTGATCAGAATCCCTGCCGTTCTGGTCCAGGAATCCCTCTGAGGTTTCTGTCCTGGGCCTGAATGGAGGAGACTCATCAGACACCCGTGAGCTTCCTCAGGACTGCGATCCTGGTCACAATGGTTGAGAACTTTTCATCTTTGTAAGCATCAATGTGCATTTGGTGCATGAGAGGTTATGTCCTCATGTTAAAATGATCTTTTGAAAATATGTAGAGATGACATTAGGAACCACAGAATTCTAAAATTAGAGAGGTTCATTAGAGAAACTGTTGGAAGAAGATGAAGTCCCACATCCTGACAGGAAACAGCCTCCACCTGCACCTGCCTCCGGGGCTGACTCTGATCAGTGGCTCCTGAGCGCCCCCTGCCGCTGATTCCCCCAGCGTTCCTGCAGGGAGGTTTGTGTCTGGGCGCACAATGGCCTCCCCTCACTGTGTCTCTCGCACAGTAATACACAGCCGTGTCCTCAGCTCTCAGGCTGTTCATTTGAAGATACAGCGTGTTCTTGGAATTGTCTCTGGAGATGGTGAATCGGCCCTTCACGGAGTCTGCGTAGTATGTGCTACCACAGCTATAAATAACTGAGACCCACTCCAGCCCCTTCCCTGGAGCCTGGCGGACCCAGCTCATGTAGTTGCTACTGACGGTGAACCCAGAGGCTGCACAGGAGAGTCTCAGGGACCCCCCAGGCTGGATCAAGCCTCCTCCAGACTCCACCAGCTGCACCTCACACTGGACACCTGCAAACACAGAGACATTGGTTAGAAACTGCCACACATATCCACTGTTTCTCTCACTCGTGTTCACTCACACTCAATATCTCTAGTTCTCCATGAATCACCTTTTAAAATAGCAACAAGGAAAACCCAGCTCAGCCCAAACTCCATGGCGAGTCCTCTGTGTTCAGTGCAGATCACTGAATGGAAACACCTCGGAATCCCAGTGCTGGGCTCCTCTCCCAGAGCTGCAGGGTCAGGGCTGGGCTGGTTTTCATCAGCAGAGGGAGGGCCCTATTTGCATGTCCCCCATTATATAGCAAGCTCTGTGATGGGACATCTGAGGAGAGGCCGGGCCCAGTGCAGATGAAGTCTCCTGGGGGAGATTGGTAGTAATTCCATCATTCAGGAAAATATAATTTTATATTATGTGATTGTGCCTTGATTAACATTTAGCTCTCATAATCTGATTTTATTTTTACATATTTACACAATATATTTAATGCAGCCTTTAATGTTGTATTTTACAGAAGATAATTTACATAGAGAATACAGCAGCTGTGCAGTGCGTCTAAGTTTACACATCTAAAAAAATGTAATCCTATTATCTGGGCCTGTGCTCTAATCACCGGAGGAGGCAGCTCCCCTGAGACAACTCCAGGGCAGCGTGGACCATGCCTAGTGAAGTCTGCAGGATTCCCCATCTGTTATGACAACTTTCTGTAATTCACCTAAATATGCAGAGAGAACCATGGTTCATGTGTGTTTTCAGAAGTCAGTCATATTTCTTCTGTCAATATCAGTCTTTTTATTGCTCCATTTTAGCAAAAATATTCATTTATTTCTTCGTTATTGCTTTATTCAAGTATAATAAATAAATAATTAATTCAGATTTATAGGGAATGATTTGAAAAATGTAGAGCTATGTTTGCAGCCATTCACTCGGCACTTCAATCAACTTTTGAATAATTAAATTAATCCCTAAATCTTTTTCCTTATTCCTCTGAAACTTAAATCACATCCGCATCATTCCCAACACCATTTTCTCAGAAAAATTTAAGTCTTCTTCATTTTAATTTATGGTAGTGGCATCTTCTAATATTTCTACAATGAATTATATAAAATTTACTCTTAATTCCTTAGCTTCTTTCACTCAGCACAATTCTTTGAGAATTTAGCCATGTTTTTTATGATTGAGGCACACCTTGATTCGAAGCTGCATTATATACTGGTACACAAATATATGTCAAACTATTTAATTGTTCACCGTTAGGAAAATGTTATTTTTTCTCTCAGCTAATGGATTTTATAGAGAAAAGTAGCTACTCAGCATGGGAATGTAAAAAAATGAGTAAACTATGATCTTATTCTGACCTTATTAACAACAAACCTGAAAAACCACAAATGTGGGAAAAACCTTCAACATATCTGAGTTGATATCACAGAGGAAAAAAATAAACCTTAAATCTGTGGCGAGAGGGGCCTGCAGAGAGAACCATATATTAGTGTTCCTGGGACAGATACCAACTGGATGTTATTTAAGCTAAGAACCAGCTGACTTGAAAATATTCAGTGAGTTGCTGGAGGATGCATGTGCTCATACTGTTAGACTGTGAAGCTCCTGGTGCTTGCAGGCTTTTCCTACAGAATTATTATTAATTATTATTGCTCCACTTTATGCAAATGATCAGACCAACCACAAGACTAAAGTTTATTTTGCAAATCACTCAGTCCTATAATGATTAGTTTCTGACAAAAATCAGAACTGGAGAGAGAAAAATTATGTTTCAAAACATATCATACATTTGTCTTTAAATTACAGTCTCTTCAATTGTTTTAAGTATTTGCCTCCATTTTAGACTAACTCTGCTTATCGCTGTGAACGAACCAATGATCTCTGGCTGCAGCTCAGAAGAAACACAGGCATGGGCTATATAAACATCTGGACGAATATTTTAATTCTGAGCAATTATCCTGCAAATCATGCCAGGTGACTGGAATAAATAGGGTCCCCCTAACCCGGAGGTTTCTTTGTTTGGGAAAATAAGTCCTAGGGAGCTAACGAAAGCCAAGCCCCATGCACCCAAATCTTAGCAGGCATAACTACAGCCGCCAGTTATCTGGGTGTGTCAGCAGCCTTGGAATTTTTTTTCAAACTGTCCTTACCACCTTGTTTGGTTTTGATACATGTCTTCTAATAACCTGGTTTGTCTCTTCTCACCTTCAGGCATCAACTCCAAATGGTCATCCAAGTGAAGCCTGGGATAATGGCTCCCTTTTACTAGGTCCCTTAGACAGACCTCAAGGGAGATCTTCCCAAAACAGCATCCCCTGTCAGCTGGGAGCAGTTAAGGTTGGCCTTTGTCTGTATTCTAACGGCAGTTAGATGCGCTTATTCAAAGAGGAAAATGATAGAGGGAGGAGGCAGATAACTCTCCTAGGCAGACAGGGGAGAGTCCCCATAGAATGTCCAACCCACGAAGGTCATTGTGCACAGGGGGCTTGCCTAGACGTGCCTGCAGTGAAAATTGTTAAAATTGTCTTTATCATTCTCTGATAAAATAGCCACACATAATAATCCAGCTGCATGAAGATAAAAAAATAACTAGTTTGAAATTAGAACAAGTCCCAAGTAAATCAAAGTTAGCATGTGGTTCATAATGTGATAGACAGGAGACATGGCTGAATACTAAGAATGTGTTCACATCTATTTTATGTCAAGATCAGGAAAATATTTTGTATATTCTTTAGGTAAGAGTCCCATTGAGAACATCAATTTAAGATTATATATTAATGGATAATACCTCAATAATTAAAACAGAGGTTATTTACCAATAATTTGTATTATTAGCACAAACTTTCATTTAGGATATATTCTCCTATGTGTTGTGAAATTAACTCAAAAGGCAGAAAACAGTGCACTTATTAGAGCTTTTAAACAAATTAAAAATTAGAATTAAGTATATATGTTCCTAGTTAGTGTAAAACTTTGGAATATTTTTGCAAACAAAAAGGGTTCTTATGTCTTCTGGAAATCTTATCAAAGTGGACAACAAGAGAAGAAACTCTCAGATGAATTTCTACCTACTAGAGAACTGATTAATAGAATTTTAAAGTAAATGCTAACACACAAACAAAAAACTAACAGGGAAGCTAAAAAAAATAGTGACTTAATACACCAAACACTCTAGCTCAATCTAGTTTATAATATAATCTAACCATGGAGGGCATTGTCATTGTTCATATCGGAGATTTTTGGGAAGGCAGGGTCAAAGAATCACTGGAACTGGATGCTCGGGTTTAATCTACCTGTCACTCTTTCATTTTTCTTTAATATGAACCCTGTTTTGGTATTTAATGGAACCAACCTTCATCAACAAATAAGTCCAAGAAGTACATTAAGAGGAGCCTGGCCCGGAGGAAAGTCATAGCTGTCTGCAATCCGTGCACTTAGAGCTAGAATCCTCTGTTCTTAACAATAAGGCAAAGTGTTCACGTAGAAGGAAAGAAAACACAGGCTACATATTATCAGGGCTGGAGTTCATACTTTCCTGGATGCTGAGCTCAGGTTTTCACTTTGTCCCCCAACATCCCACAGACAGGCACCTCATTGTGCCCCTGCAAACTCCCTGTGCAGTGTGGCAAGTGGGTGAAGGTTCACTGTGTCTGGAAAGCATCTGGAGCCTCCTGCTGACAATGTTGTCACCTGCTCTTGATTCTCCTGCTTCCGTCTCATCTCCTGCAGGGGCTAGTATTTCCAGAGGAACCTCATGACTCCCTGGGACAGGTCTCCTGGAAAAGTCCCTGTAGAACAATCAACCATTGCTGAGATCTTCTCTGAGGACATACTCAGGTACTCGGCACAACTTTGACTTCAAACACTGGGCAACGTGTCACAGGGACAAGAAATTGAAGACTTACATGTCTAGTGAAGAGAGATGCAGAGATCCTAAAGAAATTGCAACAGCCAAATGTCATCATCATAATCATTTTTATATAGTTATATAATATATATTATATTATATAATTATAAGTATTAATTTTTAAAGTAGTGTATAGTAGTGGGTAACTAGTGGGAGGAGGTTTGTGTGCAGATTGTCACCTTCCAGAGTGCACTCATCATGGGGTTGACACTGACAAGCACGCATATGGACTTGCTCAGCTGGAGAGTGACAGGCATTTTTATAACCTGTGACCCCAGTAAGGCTCTCCCACTGCAAGAATGATCAGGCGCAGGCCTCTGGCTAAAGTGCAGCCAGCAAGTGGGACCAGTGCCCAATGCTGAGAGGGCTTCCTTCAGGTGCCAAACGATGTCAAAGGAAGTGATTCTTCCTGCCTGGATCCCCTGCATGTATTCTAATTTCCTGCAGAAAGGGCCTCCTCCAGAAATACCCCCAAGAGCTTACGCTGTATTTAATCCAACTCCAGGGCATCATACATGAAATCCCTCATGTCCAAAGTCTCCACTTCTCAAAAAAGGTTGTGCATTATGGAATTCACCAGAAGCTTCTGGCCTTTTAGTGAAATGGACCTTCCTCCCACGCTTGGAGAACTTACCCTCTGGGAAGGGGCATAGAAAACCAGGAGTCAGATGAGCTCTAAGTCAATGTGCATTTTATGGATTCCTGAAGAAAGAGTGCAAAAAGGAATGGCCCCACCCACTTTCCCTCTAACTGGCATCATTCCCAGTAACCCACTTGAAGAACCCGTGGCGCTTCAAAATAATTTATGTTTGTTATACCGGGGGACCACCAGGAAAGGAAAGAACTAGTGTGTCCATGTAGGTTCATCCCACATAACGCAGTTAGGACTCTGTTTCAGGGAGCTGATCATGGGGAGGGCTGTGTATGTGTTGGGCAGGGGTACATGGGAGCTCTCTGTTTCTACTTTTTACATCTGCTGTAACCCTAAAACTGCTTTATAATAAATTTAATATAAAAAGATAGGCAGTTTCTCAGAAATTACATTTAGTCTTAGTATTGGATCAAGCAATCTTGCCCTAAATGATTTACCCATTCAATTTTAAAACGTCTGCCCCCACAAATCCTCCATGGGAATGTTTGTTTCAGCTTGATTGATTGCTGCTTTTCCCACTCTGTTAATTTTGCTTATAGGGTGAGATTTGAAAAGAATATTTCTTATATAATTAGAATGCATATATCTTTCTATTTCTTCTTTTCCTCAATTATATAACCTATTTTCTAAACAACATTAAACCCCATAAATCCTGTCATATCCTGAAAACTGGGACAGCTGCTTCCTCCCTCAGGGTTACTGACACTCTCAGGATATGAGTTTTCACACTGTGTCTCTCCCACAGTAATACATGGCCGTGTCTTCAGATCTCAGGCTGCTCAGCTCCATGTAGGCTGTGCTCGTGGATGTGTCCCTGGTCATGGTGACTCTGCCCTGGAACTTCTCTGCGTAGCTTATGCTGCCATCACTAGGGCACATCCTTCCCATCCACTCAAGCCCTTGTGCATGGGCCTGGCGCACCTAGTGCATAGAGTAACTGGTGAAGGTAGGTGTATCCACAAGTCTTGCAGGAGACTTTCACTGATGCCCCAGCCTTCTTCATCTCATCCCCAGACTGCACCAGCTGCACCTGGGACTGGGCACCTGTGGAGAGGACACGGGAGTGGATAAAACCCCCTTTGACTGGACCCAGTCACCTTAGTCCTGGGGACTGAGAATTATCCTACCTGCAGCTACGACCACCAAAATTAGGATCCTCCAAGTCCACTCCATGGTGAGGAGCTGTGCTCTCAGGGGCTTCTCTAGAGGAGGGATGTGGTTATTGGGTGATGCTCTCAGGGCACAGAGTTATCTGTAGTGTTCACCTCAGGTGATTTGCGTATTCATGAGGACTACTACTTCATAGCATTACACCTGATCCAGCACGAGAAAGAGAAAATAGATCTCACATGGACAACACAACTGTGGGATGCTGAGGTACAAATCTTCATTCTTATTTAATGACATGTTTCCCTTTATATGCCCGGAAATTTGTGAAGGGAGAATTTCTCCGCTAAGAAGCTGACTCACACCGGACATGGTTCTCAGCGTGAGCCCAAGTTCCCATGGCACATGGACAGCCTCCGCCCTTTCCAGGATTTGCTCTCCGCAGTCTTACTCTCGGGACCAGTGTGTCTCTGAAATGTGTACATTTTTATTTAATAAAACCATTCTTGTTCTTTATCTTTTTACTAGTAAAATATCTCAAAGCAGTAATAATTTTGCCTTTTAAATGTGGTTCTCACTGAATTATTGATTTATTTATTTCTAAATACATTAGGGTATTTAAATATACATAAATAGTCCTCATAAAATTCTTATTTAGCATGTTATAATTTTTTGGTTTTCAGTAAAGTAACACTCAGTCCTTGTGAGAGACTCCCTCTGCAGCCTCCTGTGCACCAGCTCTGGGGCTGGAGCCTGTTCTGGGTGGGTCCTGGGCGCCCCCTGCAGCACTGCCTCTGCCCTGCATGGAGGTTTCCATCTGGGCTCACAGGGCATTTACCTCTCAGTGTCTCTAGGGCTATAGGAAGTGGCCATGCCCTAGTTTAAAATGCTCTTTCAGTGACACCATATGTTACTGACACCATCGTTTGAAAACATTGACCTTAGGAGACCCAGTCAACTCTATGAAAGAATTGGGGATTCCCTTCCCTGGAACTCAGGATGCATTGAATCAGTGGACACATAGTCAGCACCAAAATTTTCAAGACTTTTGGCGAATCCTTTATTTTATTTAGACTCCTGCAGTTAAATATTACATCTAAGAGTGCCTGTAGGTATCTATGCTTGTGGATCAATGCCCACTCCATGTCTTCTGTTTCAATAACACACACATTCACACAGACACACACACACACACTGACACGGAGCTAGTAGATTTTTATAACAATGGGCCTCTAACTTACCATTTTTTTCTAGTATCTTGCAAATAGGGAGCACCCCCTACACTGATACTAGACCTGAGTATACGACTCCCTTCTTCAAACAGAAGTAAGGAAAACAGTACACAATTGGAGATGTAGCAAGTGTACATTCATCATGTTTGCATATTGTCACCTTAGAATACTGCAGTTTCCCTAAGAGAAGTGACTCTGTGTCCACCAAAAGTTGAGTCATGACCTTGGTCCTCAAGCTATTGGTATCAGAGGCTTCGAATTGCTCTACTGTCCTTGACTTTTTTCTCCCATTGTCTTTGCATTTCCCTATGTTCTCCTCCCTAAATAGAGTCTCTGCATTACCACACTCATCTTCAATGTAGATTAATTATACTGATGAGAAGGTAATGTGTGGGACAGGGGAGCACTGTATTGTTTTTTCTTTTCTTACAACTATAGGCTTTTTCATTCAGTTAAAAGGTAAACAGATTAACATTGGAGGCTATTCCATTTAACTAGCCCAAGTTCCTATTCCACTTCATATATCCATCCTACGCTGCCATACATCTTGAAGAAATGACTGCCAAAAGACTGCTTCTAACTTCTTCTTAGCAATAACCTTCAATGAATTGCTTTCAAATAAGTTATTCCTAACTTAAAATTTTATTGTGTTCAAAGAAACTCATCCCTCTAAGAGGTTTCCACATGTGCCAATAGAACGTTCCACCACTGACAGGAGGGCAGAATACCAATGATTCTAATTACAGGAGCTACTCCAAGGAAAGCTTCCATGATATTTGTGTTGTTAGATTCGGTGCTTGTTAGGGCAGAAGATGGTGAGACTAAAAATGCAGCGCACACTCTGTCAAATGGCTGCATGTTTGGTAGTTTTAAAAAATCTTTGTTTATCTTTAGAGACAACATTTAAAACATAATGGAATTGAAGCCTGATACAAAATATATAGAAACTTGCACAGGAATAGACAGCCAAGAAGCAAAGTGGAACTCAGTGGAAACCTGGCTACATTACATAGCTCATTTTTAACCTAACCATATTTATCACAAAACAACTGTAGCACAGTAACACTTTCCTTCTCTGGCTCCCAAATTTAGTGTCAGCCTTCCCTAACGCTAATCATTCTTTCAGAGAGCCGGAATATGTAAGGTAGTCCCAAACATTGACAAAAATGTTAATGTCAAGCAGCTTCAAACTGTGAGGATGACATACTTGAAGTCAGCCAAGATGGCAGCACTGATAATTCCAGAAATAAAGATTGTGACAAACCAGGCCATACAATATAATGAAAGAGCCATAAGTCAACAACTTTCTTGGATTAAAGCCAGGTACAAAGAAGACTGTTACAATGTGTTGTACTGATGAGGAGGCCAATATTTGATGCAATCACCAATGAGGGCAGGAGCCAGTCCAGTACTGAAGGCACCAGGCGGTGTGACAGTGTCAGATTCTTCCCCATGGTCTGAATAACTCTCTTTCTCCAAACCCCTAGGCTAATGCAGATGCCATCACCACCAGAGAGCAGAAGCCATACTGGCGTCACCACTCTTGAGGAAACATCTCCCACATTATAAACCAGATACAAAGCCACCAGAGAATGTACTGCATTGCTGATGTCATTACCACCATGGGCGAGTGACCTCAATCGGGCAATAAGAAGCTGCAGCAAATGGAAGAAGATAGAGAGTTCAGGCTTATCTTGGCCATACCATTCTTCTCAAGAATGACTACTTCCTTTTCTTTCACCTAGACCCATCTCCCCCTTGATACTCATGAATATCTTAGATGCTGGGAAGGTCAGACACAGCATTGCAGTAACTGGTGTAGCTGTACATTCAAAATCACTTCTTGGAGACTGCATTGGGCCATGCATGTAAGATTCTCCATTTACTTGACCTTCTGAAGGACTTCTTTGGAATGAAATGAATATAGAGGCATGCCATGTATTGTCATGATATAGGAAAAATAGCTATTATTGCACCTTAAGTGTTTGCCACCAGATCTCCCATGCCATCTTCCACTTTGTCAATATGCAAACTATAGAGAAAATCCTTGTGTAATCTAGAATCTTTAGCCATGTTGTAATACACATAATGTCCACTGAAGCTATCTGGTTGCTGATGGCTTGATTGAACTGGACAAAGTTTCTTACAATTTCATCTCATTGATTTTATCCTCTTCCATTTCTTGGCTGTGACCTTTAAAAGCAGTCTCCATTAATAAAGCTGATTTTGGTCTATTACTTCCTTCCCTGTCTGCAGCATCTCCGGTCTATTTTTGTTTAATCTTACCCTACTGGCTAATATTAATTATTTGCATAATAAAGGAAGCCTGGGCAGAGGGTTCTGCATGACAATGAAGGACCTTCCACCATGGAGATAAATTACTGGAAAGATTCTTCCTCTGGATGGTCTGTCTGGAGAAGGTTCTGGGTATATGTTTTAGAGATTAGGTCTCTTGAAGACTGACCCAATTCACAAGGAATTTATATTAATTCTAAGTTAAAAATGTGGAGGTTCCTGGAGCAAACAAGGGCCCCCCAGAATATCTCTTTCTAATAATAGCACAAACCTGTCCTTTAAGTTCTTTAATTCAGATGTATATATAACAAATCAAACAGACAGGGTCATTTAAATAGTAACTTACTCATTCAAATAAGTTAGGGCAGCAGCTGAATATAATAATCAAATTGAATTCAAGCAAATCTGGGTGCAAACAAATGTTTATCATAGTTCAGAACAGTTTCATTAACTCAATTAATCTGTGTAACATTTCATTTCTGAGGTATTTCACCACCAAGTGTATTGAAGTGTTGCCATAATATTGCTGTGTAGTTGGATTTTTTTATGTCAGCCTAACATGTAGGTCAGTTTGAAAAATGTAAATTTTTCTACAAAATGGCCATCATCCCTAGTGTTGCTAAAATATCCAGAAATCCTCAATCTTATTGGTTTTCACTAATACCTGAATTTCTGCAAAAATTATATGAACCAAAAAAAAAATCTCCCCTTCATGGATGACTGAAAACTGTGAACTTTACTCACCACTACAAATAAAGCCAGTTAATGCAGGATTCTCAGTGCGGCATGTTGAGCCAGTAATGTAGGGCACATATCCTAGAGGGGTCCCAGTGTGTCTCTGCCAATAAAATTTGAATTGAGGGATCCTGATTATGCATTCATGGGAGTATAGAATCCTCAGGATCCTTAGCAATAGAGCTTTACAGTGAAAGGCTTGCAGGTGGAATGAGTCCATGATGATTCAGCATCTCCTTCTCTCTCTTTTTCTCTATTGTCATCTCTCATTACTGTTCTTTGCTTCAGAATCCTTAAACGAGCCAACAGCCTCCATTCTACATACTGCCAACTCTGGGCTGAAAGAGAATTATGAGCAAAACAAATGTTTTCTTAACAAGGTGAGGAAACTTTCTGAACTTCCATTAGGTTTATTAGAGACTCTCATGGAGAACCATAATCAAGCATTATTTGTTTTTCAGTCACTCCCCAACATTGAAACTGTTTTTCATAATAGCTACACTAATCTGAATCTCCACCACTATGGAAAGCAGTAAGATGATCTTAAATCAATTAGAACTAGAACTACTGTATGACCAGCAACCTCCCTTCTGGGAATATACCCAAGATAGAAAAAATCACCACCTTGTGGAGATATCTGCACTCCTATGTTTACTGCAGCGCTATTCACAAGAGCCAAGATATTGAAATAATCTAAGTGTCAATGAAAAAAAAATGCAGAAAAGTGGCTGGATGCTATGGCTCACGCCTGCAATCTGAGCACTTTCAAAGACTGAGGTGGGTTGATTTTTTGAGGTCACAGTTTGAGACCAGCCTGACAAACATGTTGAAACACCATCTCTACAAAAAATACAAAAATTAACCGGGAGTGGTGGTGCATGCCTGTAATCCCAGATACTCCGGAGGCTGAAGCAGGAGAATTGTTTGAGCCCAGAAGGCAGGGATTACAGTGACCTGAAATCACGCCACTGCACTCCAGCCTGGGTGACAGAGTGAGTGAATCTCCATCTCAAACAAACAAACAAACAAACAAACAAAAAGGATAATGGCAATGTGGTATGTATACAGAATAGAATATTATTTAGCCTTTTAAAAGAGATGCTGCCATTTGCCACAGTAGGAATGGGTTTCCAGCAGCACTAGCCATGCATTTTATCCATTCAACCCATTCCCCGGGGACTGGCAGATCCACGTCCAATATTAAGCATTGGTTGTGATGAAGTGGCCAGAGACAGCATGGGTGAGGTCAGTGTGTGATCTTCACACCTAGGCATGACTGCTGTAGCTGCTCCTGAATAGGACATCTGGCGGTATGGAAAATTAGTTACTGTCAGTTACAGTACTATTCCCATAGACCCATGTCTGTCATCTGGACATCTGAGACTCTCATGATTTACCATCTTTAGGCTGTTATCTCGATACCTAAAGGGTATTCTAGTCAGGGAGATGCACTAAGGTCTCTGTTCTGAGTGTGATTGGAGAAGACTCAACAGGTCCCACTGAGCTGCTACAGGTCTCCAATTCTAGCGACCACGGTTGAGGACTTTTCATTTCTGTAAATGTCAATTTGCGTTTTGTCCATATGAGAATATGTCCTCATATTACAATATTTTTTAAAAACCTATTTAGTGATGGCATTGGTAGGCACAGAATGCTAAAATTAGGGAAGTTCTCTGGAGAAACTGTCAGATGGAAGTTTTGTTTTTTTAAAAATATACTGGCAGGAAAGCAGTTCTTAACCTTTCTGTGCACCTCCCTCTGGGGTCGACTCTCATCAGTGGGTCCCAAGCTCCCCCTGCAGCTAATTCGCCCATGTGTCCCTGGAGGTTTATGTCTGGGCACACACTGGCTTTCCCTCATGTGCTCCTCTTGCACAGTGATATACTGATGTGTTCTTGGTTTACAGATCGCCCATTTGCAGATATAGCATATTCTTGACATTGTCTCTGGAGACAATAAATCAAAGACAAATAAATATTCTGTCGGACCAATAAAACCTGAGAAAACCTATTTCCAGCACATGAATCTTTCCGTAGACATTTTAGCAGAGTCTCTAGATGAATAGCCATGTGACATAGATCCAACACCTGAAAATATGCACAAAGAAGATGGTCAACAATGGAAAAATGAGGTTGAAATACAGTTTTTGCATTTGTATTTTGTTCATTATGTAAGTGTGGAAAGCAATTATAAAAATGCCAATATTACATTTTATAGCATGTATAGATACAAACAGAAAATAAAAAACATGGGATAGGAAAGAGGAATTAGATATATAGAGTTATAATATCTCTGTAGTATATATGAATGGGAATTAAATTTTTGAATTAGAATTCAATTATAGAAACTTTTTATTGTTATCCTTATGGTAACCCATAAAATGTTAGTCACAGAATGATTAAATAATAAGTTAATAGAAACAATAAACTTTATTGTAAAAATACAAATTAAAACAAGAATAATTGGACAAAAGAGTAACATCATTAAAAAATAATTCTTCATAGTTGACTAAAAAAAAACACCCAACTATTATTTATCTCCAAGAAAATTTCTTTACATATTCAGAAATAGAAAAAATAAAGATGGAAAAATATATATCATGAAAATATAAACCAAAAGAAAACTTAAATAGCTATGTTAATTTAAGACAAAATAATCATAAAAAGAAGACCTTTGGGACTCAAGAGAAATATTACATAAAGTAATAGGATCAACTTTCCAAAATACATTTAAAAATACTTAATGAATGGATTTGGAACAGAAAATATAATAACATGTATAGAAGACGGAGAAATCAACACTCATTGTGATTGACAAGCAGTGTTCAAATAAGTAAAGATATAAGTGTCCTAAATAGGACTATCAATCTACTTGATAAATTTTTATCTATAAAATATTAAACTAGAAAACTTCAGAAACACAAACTGTGATTTGCCAGAAGAGAATAAAGGAACATGACAACTCAATTCAAAGTGATGACCTTGTTGGAATCTGGGAACAAACAAATATACAAAAACAACAGCAAGGAGAGATCCTGTCTCAAAAAACAAAAAAAAAAAAAGAAAGAAAAAAGAAAAAGACAGTATCCACTAAAAGAGACAAACCGTGAATTATTTAAGACAGTTTATTCTGAGATATATATGAGTGGCCAAGGCCCATGACACAACTCCAGGAGTTCCTGAGTACACGTATCCAAAATGGTTTGGTTACAGCTTGATTTTATACATTTTAGTGGTACAGAAGGTATAGACAGATATGAATCAACACATGTGAGCTATACCATTTACACAGTCCAGAAAGGCAGAATAAGCTTACTCAAGTGCTTCCAGGACATACGTGAATTCAAACATTTTCTGATTGGCAATTGGTTGAAATGTTACACACTCATTACAAATGAGTATCTGGATTAAGATACGAGATTGTGGAGCTCATAATTGTTATTATGTAGATGAAACCTCCAGGTAGCAGACTTCATAGAGAATAGATTTTTAGGCGTTGCTGTTTGTCATGTGATGCTATACTAGAATCATATTGTAATTTGGTATCTTTTCACTATGAAGAGTGTTTATAGAAAAAATATAGTTTTGTCAGTCTAAGGGTCTTTGTTTTAGTGTTAATGCTGGCCACAGGTGCCTTAATTCCAAAGACAGGAGGACATAATGAGGCATATCTGACCTCTCATTTTCCCATTATTGCTGGAACAAGTTTTAAAGTTTACTTTAAAATATCTTTGGCTGATAGTTGAGTTCATTTAGTTGGATGAGGAAGCTTAGAATTTTATTTTTGGTTTACAAAAGAAATTATTGGAAAAATGGTAAATCTCAAATAAGGCCTGGTATTGAATATATTTAAAGTTATCAACGTAAATGTGTTAACACCATGTTTTATGATTGTGGAGGATGTTCATCTTAGGAGATACTTAGAGATGGGAACACACTGTATTAACTTTATGATTATTTTGTTAATCTACAATTATTCTGAATCAAATGTATATGAATGTAAAAATACTATCATAAAAATACAAGTCACAATTGATAAAATAGGTTTCTGGAAATTATAACATGTCAATCATAATTATGGACATTAATTTTAGAAGATAATATAGAAATTATCATCAAAAAATGATAAATGTTCATTTCTATCAAAAAACAAGTGAAGTACCTAATACTAAAATCAAGCAATGAGAGTGCTATTTGTATAATTATTTTATTTTCTATGATAAATAAAATGTGTTATTATTATAGGCATATCATAGACCAATAGTGGGCATAATCATGTTATTTTTTTCTAAATTTTGTGCCAATATCCTGTTAATTTCATATAGACATTTCTTACTGCATGTGTCATTTCCAAAATATTCAGCTATTATTTTTCATTTTAATATGACTCCTCTGTAGGCCCTAGGTATTCCAAATGCTTTCTATAACTTTTCCCCTTTTGTGGTTTCTACTGTCTCTTAACATGCAAAACTTCAATTTATATAACTATATAGGGGAGTAATGTATTTTAGAAGTTCATAATCATGCATACACATACACACATATGCCCAGTACTGAAATATACATGTGAAAATAGAAAAATGAACACCTATCCAAATACCAAACCAAAACATGAATTTATTCAATTTATTTTATTTATTTAATTGAATTGAATTTACTCTCTTTTATAGTATAATGTAGTAGTCCCAAATAATGCTTTTCTGTGTGAGTGTTTCTCTATCCTAATGCCAATAAACAAATACATTTAAAGACATGCCTCGGTAGAACTGAATGTAAATGCCATTCTGGCCAAACACATTAATTAAATGGACAATGGTATTTATGTATAGAATCTGTGTTGGTTTATTTGTCAGTTTTGCTATCAGTATACTTTTAAAATACCAGCCAATTATTAATAAACTTAATAACATATAAGATAAACATCACTTTTAAAATTGTATTATATTATTGGTTAAATTCACATTGTATTTTTATAAAAGTCAGGATAAATGTTCTTATTTAGAAATTAGGATTTTTTTCTACAATTGATTTTGTATAAATTTGCAATACAAATTCTAGATGTTAATTTGCCAGTACTCCTGGATGCTAGAGAACATCCAGTAATATGGAACTGAAAACAGCCCAGGATCCCCAAAATTCACTCACAATGGCAGGGTTGTCTGAGAATTGCTAACACATTAGGGATTTGAACTTCATCATCAAAGCACTAGTGAGCCTTAGTGCTGAGCACACAGAGAGCAGCAGGAGCTGCAGAGACTATTCTGTGGTACTTAGGTAAAGGAGTGGATGTGGTGGAGGTGACGTCTGCAGGACCCTAGAAAGGGGTGAGGAAGGCAGAGAGTCTGCAGGTAGATGAGCATATTCTAAGGAGAACTGTTATCCTCCTAAACTTGGTTGACTTCAATGATCATGAAGAGAAGTGAACAGATTCACCAGACATGGAAGAGGCAAAATAAAGGGACTTGTTGCTTCCTTGCTAGGAGACTGAGGAAGACAAAAGGCTTGGACAGAAGAAGGGAAGGTGGAGAAATAGTGTGAGGAGCAGAACACCAGAACCCAACCAAGGTGGGGGAACTGAGCCCTGAAAGTGGTGTTTCATCTCCACAAAAGGCAGATGAAAGAAAAAGAAACTTAACACTATGCCTATGCTGAGTTATTGGTAGAAAAGCATTGACTATAGTGTGACTGACACAGCAAAGAAAACAAAAACCCATGCATGGAACCAGAGCTTGAATTAGGCATACGCAATTTCTTATTATCAAAACATTCAATTACTGCTAGTGTTATTCTAAAAATATGGAGGGTTAAAAGTTGAATTGAATTCCTGTTCTAAGTTAATGATTTGTACGTGAAAGAAACCATGGGTTACAAGGAAGAAATGGTGAGAGATCCTGGGAAGGTTTTCGCTTGACCAGATCAGGGATCAGCAAGGTCTAAAAGCAAATCTGACCCTCCCCAGGCACCTGATGTGGAGCTGCCTCCTAAGAGAACCCTGTTGTCTGAGTGATACCCTGGTGGTTCCTGAGCCCCCCATGGTGGCCTGAGCACCCCCTGTTCGTCCTGAAGCTCTGGTGTCCTCAGCACTCTGAGCAGTCGTGAGTGCCTCCTGGTGGTCTTGTGTGTCTTTAGGTGTTTCTGTTACCCCTGGTCCTGAGTATTTCTTGGTGGTCTGGAATGCACCCTCGTGATTCTGTGCCCCCTGCTGTCCTGAGCACCCCCTGGTGTCCTGAGCCCCTTCCCTGGTGTCCTGCATGCCCCTGCTAGTCCTGGTCACCCCCAGGTGTTTCTGAGAGCCCCCTGGTGTCCTGAGCACCCTCCCTGGTGTCCTGAGCGCCCCTGCTGTCCTGAGTGTCCCTGGGTGTCCTGAGAACCTGCTGGTGGTTCTGAATGCCCCCAGTGTCCTGAGCGCCCCCTGGTGGTTCTGAGTGCCCCCGAGTGGTTCTGATCCTCTTCTGGTGTCCTGAGTGCCTCCTGCTCCCCCGAGTGCCCCCTGGTGGTCCTGAGTGCCTCTTGCTGGTCCTGAGCATCCCACTGTGTCTTGAGCGCCCCCTGCTGTCCTGAGTGCACCCCGTGGTACTGAGCGCCCCCTGCTGTCCTGAGTGCCACCTGGTGGTTCTGAGTGCCCCCAGGTCATTCTGAGCTTCCCCTGGTGTCCTGAGCGCCCCCTGCAGGTTCTGAGGGCCGCATGATGTCCTGGGTGCCCCCTGGTGGTTCTGAGCACCCCCAGGTTGTTCTGAGAGCCCCCTGTTACCCTGAGAACAGCCTGCTGCTCCTGCATGCCCCATGGTGTCCTGAGCACCCCCTGCTGGTCCTGAGCGCCCCCTAGTGGTCCTGAGCGCCCCCTGCTGTCCTGAGTGCCCCCTGGTGGTTCCAAGTGCCCCCAGGTCTTTCTGACCTTCCCCTGGTGTTCTGAGCGCCCCCTGCAGGTCCTGAGGGCCCCATGGTGTCCCGAATGCCTGCTGCTGTCCTGAGTGACCCCTAGTGGTTCTGAGCACCCCCAGGTGGTTCTGTGAGCCCCCTGTTGCCCTGAGCACGGCCTGCTTCTCCTGCATGCCTCATAGAGTCCCAAGCATGCCCTGCTGGTCATGAGCGCCCCCTGGTGTCCTGAGTACCACCTGGTGGTTCTGAGCTCCCCCTGGTGTCCAGAGCGCCCCCTGGTTTCCTGAGTGACCCTTGGTGGTTCTGAGAGCCCCCTGGTGATCCTGAGCAATGCCCCCTACAACACACACCATGTCCTGAGCGCACCCTGCTCTGCTGAGCACCCTCTGCTGTCCTGAGTGCCCCCTGGTGTCCTAAGCACCATTTATCACAAAGTCCTCTCTTGTCTCCCTGCAGGGAGGTTTCTGTCTGGACTCACAGAAATGTCCCTCGCTGTGTCTCTCACAGTAATACACTGCCTACCCCTGTGAGAGCCCCCTCAGCTTCCAAGTAGATTATTTTAAGGGAGACTGTGCTGGTAATTGGTGTCCCTGGGAATTGTGAATCTTCATTATGCTGATGCAGAATATCACTGAGAACTTCCACTTGAATCAATCACTGTTACCACCCACTCCAGCCTCTGTCCCCCAGCCATCTGGGCTCAATTTATGCTGTAGTCAGTGAAGGTGAATCTTGATGCTTTGCAAAAGAGGCTAAGAGAACAGCCAGGCTGTTTTGCCAAAGATAAAAATATAGATCCAGTAAACATTTGAGGTTTCCCAGGAAGGTGGGGAGAAGGTGTGTGGATTAGGTGAAACACACACTTTTTAATCCCAATGAAACTATTTTTTTTTTTTGAGAGGGAGTCTTGCTCTGTCACCCAGGCTGGAGTGCAGTGGCGCGATCTCTGCTCATAGCAAGCTCTGCCTCCCGGGTTCGCGCCATTCTCCTGCCTCAGCCTCCCGAGTAGTTGGGACTACAGGTGCCCACCACCACTCCCGGCTAATTTTTGTATTTTTAGTAGAGATGGGGTTTCATTGTGTTAGCCAGGATGGTCTCGATCTCCTGACCTCGTGATCCGCCCACCTCGGCCTCCCAAAGTGCTGGGATTACAGGCGTGAGCCAACACGCCCGGCCAATGAAACTATTTTTATGATATTCAATGATGGACACATGGCATAAAGAATTTCTGAAAACTCATATTTTTTGAGACAAAGTGTTAACCTAAATGCATACAACTTCGAAAGTATTTAGCAGGTCATGAAACACAAAAAAAGACAGCTGTATAAAAATATCTAACAACAATCAGAAGGTTTGAACTAATTACACTGAAGAAGGTGGGGCATAAATATTGGACACAAGAGACTTGGAAAGAATTTGATGTTGCGATTGTAAAACATAAATAAGCTCCACATAAGCACTGTATTCTAGTTGATAAACATATTTTCAACAAGGGTCAGTTTAACAATCCTAAAGACGATTTGTGTATTTTGAAATTGTGCACTAAGTAAATTAATGTCATATCTTAGGAGAGGTTTTCTCATTTTGGAGTGTGGGATTATGGACAAGCAGAGAAAGAAGGCTATGAATGTCTATGTGGATGACAGTAGTGTGTAAAAGCCAGTGTGTTCTTAGGTTTAATGTAATATAGTTACAGAATATTAGACACATAAACACTTTAATTTTGAATCTTTGTGGGTAAATAGTACACGTATATATTTATGGGGTACAGGACTCTGAATCAGCATGAACTGCATAATAATCACATCATGAAGAATATTTTATACATCCTCTCAAGCATTAATAGAGTTACCAACATTCCATTCATAAACTTTTATTTTAAAATCTATAATTAAGTTATTGAGGACTATATTTATTCTGTTGTGTTATAAAATATTATGTGTTATTTATTATTTCTAATCACTTTTTCTACCCATTGACCATCCCCAATAATCCCCATCTACCATAGACCTTCCCAGCTTCTGGTGACCATCTTTTCCCTCTCTATCTCCACGAGTTCAATTGTCTTAATTTTTAGCTTTCACAAATAAATGGGAACATGTGAATTTTGTCTTTCTGTTCTGGGCTCATTTCAATTAATATAGTGAACTCCAGTTTCATCCATGTTGCTGCAAATGACAAAATCTCATTTTTTTATGGCATGATATTAACCCATATCCTATATGTACCATATTTTATTTATCCATTCATGTGTTAATCGGCACATAGGTTGCTTTCAAATTTTGACTGTTGTGAACAGTGCTTTAACAGTGCTATTACAGACATGGTAGTGCAAAAACATTTCCTTTTTAGGGGTATATACCAGCAGCAGGATTGCCAGATTATATGATAACTCTATCGTCAGGTTTTGAGGAAACTCTAAGCTGTTCTCTATAGTGGTTGTACTAATTTAAATGCTCAACAGTTTATGAGTGTTCCCATTTCTCCACAGCCTCCCAGGATCCTGATGTGGAGCTGCTTTCTAAGAGATTCTTCCTGTTCTGAGTGCCCACTGGTGTTCTGAGCGCCCCCTGGTGTCCTGAGCGTCCCCTCGTGGTCCTGAGCTTCCTTCCCCTCGCGGTTCAGAGCGTCTCTTGGTTTCCTCAGCGCCCCCCCCCCCCCCCCCCCCCGGTGGCTCCAGCACGCTGACGTGTCCTGAGGTCCTCCTGGTGGCCCTGAGGGCTCCCTAGTGGTCCTGAATGCCCCCTGGTGCCCTAAGAGCCCCCTGGTGGATCCGAGCACCCCCCGCTGTATCCTGAGTGGCCCCCTGGTGTCCTGAGCGCCCCCAGCTGTATCCTGAGTGCCGCCTGGTGTCCTGAGCGCCCCCTTGTGTTGAGTGCCCCCTGGTGCTTCTGAGCAGCATCTACCATGCAGTTCCCTCCTGTCTCCCTGCAGATTTTTGTGTCTGGGCTTGTGCAGATAATCTCTCTCCTGTGAAGCTCACAGTATTACACAACCTTGTCCTTGGCTTTCAGGTTAGTCATTGTAAGGTAGAGTGCACGTGAAAGGGTGTCGCTGGACCAGTTAATTTATTTGTACTCATGAAGAGTAAACCTGAGCACTCCCACTTGTTGACTCACTGTTGCCAGCCACCACAATCCCTGTTGTGAAGCCTGCTGGACCAACCTCAGGCTGTTGCCAGAAAAGGTGAATCCAGACGCTTTGCAAGAAAGTCTCAGTGAACCACTGGGCTGTACTACGTTTACCCCTCTGACTCCACCACTGAACTTCATACAGGACTTCTATGAACACAGAGGAAATAGACTGAGAACAACCCTATGAGCAGCCACAGCTGGACCTGATTTACAAGGGACACTAATATGGAGGGTGATGAGAAGGGAAACCCAGATCAGTGCAGACTCCATAGTGTGAACACTGAAGAAAGACACAGATATGGGGTGGCTCCTCACCAGGGCCTGAAGGAACAGGGGATGAGCTGCCTTTCATGAGGAGGGGATGGGACATATTTCCAGGTCTTTCTCTTTGTGGTCGTAGGTGCACCACTCAGCGTTGCTCATCCATCCTCTGTGTCTCCATTTCAGGGAAGGCAGAGTCAAATGGTTCCTGCGTCTGGATGCACAGGGTTAATCTGCCCATTGCTCTTTTTTATTCTCTAATGTGGACACTGTTCAGGTATCTTCATGTGAGCAAACATTATCAACAAATTAGTCCAGTAAGAACATAAGAAATACATTTCCAGAGAAAATGGAAATCTGACTGTAATCAGTGCATTTATAGCTGCAAACGACTGTTTCTGACAATGAGATGAAGTTATGTTACAATAGACAAAATGCAGATCTACAGATTTTCAGGGTTGGAGTTTATAATTATCATTATCTTGAGATCATTTTGTCGCAAGACAGTTTAACATTGGACATATGTGCTTGTGTCAGGAAACAGTCAGTGTTGAAATATGTGTACTTATCTGAGTGAAGACTTCATTCACACTGAGACATGTTTGCTTATCTGAGACAAGAGTCCACATGAGGAAATGTCTGTTTTCTGAGGAAAGTGTAAATGTAAGGACATATGTGGTAGTCTGAGGAAATAGTCCATGTGGGGACATTTGTGTTTGAGGGAAGAATCCACATGAGTGAAGCTGTGTCTGTCTGACAGAAGAGTCCACATATTGACAGGTGTGTACCCATCTGAGGGTAAATGCCCATTCAGGTCAGCGTATGCCTGAACTAAGCTGAAGTTAGGGGAAAATCTTTCTCAACCAATGAAAGAAAAGAATCCTTTGGGTTATTTGCTTGTCGGGAATTAAAAACAAGGGTAAGGTAGAAAATTGATTTTTTTAAAATAAAAGGTCTTCAGTGAATGGAAACATTGTATATGCAAATGGGGAAAATTACTTCATTCTTTGTTGCATGTATCTCATAACATCCCCACTCTCACCAAATAAGTTATTGGATAATTTTATACAGTCTGCATTTAATCCTGGGGTTAATGAACTGCTGAATTTTTTTAATTGAATATGTTTAAGTTTATATTTTCTATCACAAAATTATTAGCTTAGACAAATTAGTTATATCATATCTCAACCATTGCATATCACTAAAAATAGTTTTATTTTTCCTAAACACCACATTTTTTTTTTTGCTTATTTTATACCCACTCTCTAAATTCCTGGAACATCCTCTGTCTGTTTACTTGACTATAGTCTAAGCATTTATGGAATTTCAAATAAATGAAATTATACAATGTAATTGAAATGACTTCATTGAAGAATGTGGAAAATGAAGTTGCTGACCTAAGCAACTCAGAAAACGAAGAAATTCTATAAGTTTAATGTGTAAAAAATCTGCACATAAGCACTCTATTCTAGTAGATAAACATGGTTCCATCAAGGGCACAGCTTTACACTTTTGATACTGCTATGCATGTGTCCTGAAACTGTGCAGCTAAGTAATAAAATTACATATGGTGGAATGGGGTTTCTCACTTTGCAGTGGGTGGTTATGGAAACGCAAAGAAAGAAGACTAGAAAGGTTCATGTGCTAACATAGTTGGGTGGAGAGACCAGTGTGTTCTCATTTTTAATGTGATATGGTTACAGAAGATTAGATACATAAATAGTTTCAATGAGTCCATAAACTTGGGTTCACATAAACATGCACGTTTACTGGGACCATTGTTTGAGAGGTTCTAGAAGTACTCATACCACATTAACAACACACAGAGCCAGTATCACAATGTTTTATTTTAATACTATTCTTTAACATCAGAAACATGCAATCTTTATAAAAGTGGTTGATTCTATGTAAAAAAAGGTAATAAAGAAAACAAGCTTAGAATTTATGGTAATACCAGGAAATACGCAAGTGTTCAAAAACAAAAATATGAGGTGTGCTGTAAGGATGCAGGATTCAAACAAAATGAGCTCCCAGCACCTAATAAAGCTGTGGTGCTTTGAACAATTAAATGAATGATGTAGCATGGATCTTTTTCAAAGTATAAAATGGACATCCATCAACCAATACTGATATTAATAGATGATTAATTAAAAAATAATAGGAAGAAGAACACATCTCCTTACAGAAGTATTCCAAATACATTAGATTGATGGTCCTCCAATCAAGCAGGTGAAGTTTAAACACTCATGAGTTGATTGTGGCCTGAGATTAGAGATATGGAAAAAATAATGACTATTAGTTTATTTTATAATGAAACTTCAGATATAATGCCAAAGGCATGATCTATGAATGAATAAAATTATATATGTTTTCAATCTAAATTTGTACAAACACACACACACACAAACACACACATTTTTCTGCGATACCTACTGATAAGGGAGTAAAAGGCAACCACAGACTTGGAGAAAATACTTCCTGTGGGGTTCAGTCAGGCTCGTGGGAAAAATTTTAGTTATAATAGCCACAAGTCCTCGTGGAAGGCTTGAGAGATTGCATAACTTCAGTAATAAATCTGGCTGAAGGCAGCCTAGTCCCCTTACCTTTAGTTTAGTAAATTTGAGTAGAAACAAAAGAATGTGGGGAGTTTATCTAACTAGCTTGTTCACTCATGTGGTCCTAAGACTCACCTTTGATCTACCTGGATGGTCAGTCAAGCTGGCAAAGCAGAATATCTGTGTGTCAGTGTACTTTATTCACCCGTTGTTGTGTCAGGACCTGCAGGACAGACCCCCACAGCCGGTGCCCCATGTGAGGATCGCTGCAAAGGGAGCGTGACAGACCCCATGAAAACGAAGGTTGAGGAAGACTGCGTGGTCAAGTCAGTAAAACAGTAAGTCATTGGTGCCCACTTGGGATCTCCAAGTTCAGGGGAGATTGTTCAGGCTGAGATTTCATCATGGGACAGCAGTTATCAGCTCAACACAAACAGCATATGAAAGTATTGTAACAGTTGCTTAAGGCTAGGGGAGCATCAGTTTCGCAGGCTCAATTAAGGCACCTAATGAAAACTGTTGTCTCACATAATCTGTGGTCCCAGAAGAAGGAAAGCTAGAAGTAAAGCTCTGGGAACAAGTAGGGAGAAATCTTGAACAGCATTACACACAAGCGCAACGGGTCCCAGCATCATCTTTAACACTATGGGCTTTAGTAGGGATGGCTTTAGTCCCATTATACAAAGAAGAACCCAAAAAGGGGAAGGAGGAAGAAACGTCACTTGCCTTACCACCTGCTCTTCCCAAAATAACAAAGAGGAAACGGAGGTTTTGCCTGAGCCCCCTCTTTCAATAGATAGAAAAAATAGAGGAAATACACTACAGCTATATGTCCCTGTCTTCGACAAGCAGCATTAAAAGGGGAGCTCTTAGACTGCCCAGTAATGCAAGATCAGCAAGGCAATCAGGTACACGAAGGGTTAAGAAAAGGCATTAGGGGCAGGAGCAAGTGCAGGAAGCTCCCCTCTGCCGGCAGCAGCTGCTGAGCAGTGTGGGGAGGGAGCTGGCACAGAGGAAACGCGGTGGCGAAAAGTGGCTTCTAAGCAAGCACAAAGCCGCAGCCGCCCTGGGACCCACCTGCTCCGCTCTCTGGCTCCGCAGGCGGCCCAAAGCAAAATTTGTTATGTTCTTTGTATACAAGCGACATCCCAGATTATAATTCTATGATAAGAGTTAAGTAAAATTTAAGAATTTGAGAAACCTCTTTCTAATAATGGCCACTGTTATCTCTCTCTTATTCCTAACATGACTCCAAATCCAGTTTAAGTAAAACAGTAACCTCTAAAGGGAGAGACATTACAAAAAGCCCCTAAGTTAGTTAGGGAGCAATTAAAAGCAAGCTTTGCTCCCTAGTAGGAAAAAGTTTCCTGGCTACAAGATTATTCATTTTATGGGTAATATTCTACTAACAGCCCTTAGAATTTACCCATTTTCATCATTCCCAAAAGGCCTAGTTAATGTGTTACCTACAAAAATAGTTTACTCCCCCATATTTAATGCTTTAGCACTGTTTACTGATAGATCTGGTAAATATGGAAAAGCAGCAGTCTGGTGGACACCACACAATTCATTCACTCAATCTGGGTTTACTAGCACTCAGAAAGCTAAAGTTGAGTCCTTAATATTGGGTCTAGAGAACTTTTACAGCCCTAATTAAGTCAACTCTGGAGCCAGCCCTGTGGACTCTTTTTCTCTGATTTCAGCAATTGCTAAATCAAAGTACACATCCTATTTTATTACACACATTCCAGCCCACAGCTCACTGCCTGGTCCATTAGCTTATGACAATAATCAAGCCAACCTTCAAGTTATGATATCGCTGCTTGACCAAGCCACCCAATTGCACCAATTTTTCCACCAAAATTGGAAAAACTTATCTAAACAATTCCAACTTATATAGAGACTGGCTAAACAGTCTCTGAGATCGCCAGCTCAACTTATACAGAGACTGGCTAAACAGTCTCTGAGATCGCCAGCTCACAGGCACGTCTCCTCCTTCAACAGGTATTAACCCTAGAACCTAATCTGTTGTGGCAAACAGATGTTACACACATCCCTGAATTTGGAAAACTTAGATAGGTACATGTATCCTTTGATATCAACACTCATTTAAGTAGTGCACATACTCCGCCTGGAGAGTTTACTCGATATGTCATTAAACATCTTCTTTTATCTTTTGCATTTATGGAACAACCCGCAAAAATTAAGACTGATAATTGTCCAGGTTAGGCCAGCTCACAATTTCAACAATTTTGTCACACGTGGAATATCCGACATTCCTCAGGTATCCCATATAAACCCCAAGGACAAGCAATAGTAGAACTTGCCAACTCCACCCTTAAAATATGCACAAAAAACAAAAACAGGGGAGTATGGGTACAGACCCTGCAACACTTTTGGCACAAACCTTATTTTTTTAATTTAGAAGACAAATTTGAATCCGCTGTAGAAAAGCACTTTGCTAAAATTTCCCAATACATGAAACCTGCAGTTTTATGGAAAGATGTAAACAGTAATGAATGGTGTGGTCCAAGTGAATTATTAATGTGGGGAAGAGGGTACGCTTGTATCCACACCCCCTCGGGTCGTCTTTGGGTTCCAGCACGACGCATCAAACCATACCAGGACATTGCTAGGACCCAACCCAGTACCAGAAATGAAGGAGTTAACCCTACAAGACCTACAGCCCCGGACGATGCAGCTTCTGTGAACAACACAATCCCCAGACATTACCTGGGGGGTACTGAAAAGGACAACTCAGGAGGCTGAACGAATCCTGCTCCAAATGCAGACACCATTTACTCCAGATAATGTGTTTGGTGCTATGATTTCTGTTGTACATTGCAACTCATGTAGGGTATTAATCCTTTTTATGCTCTCACTTTGTCTGCAACCTGTACCTGCTACACTCTATTGGGCCTCTATCTTAGACACACCTTTCTTTCACCCTGCCAAATGGGAAGACACTCCCTTCCCAGCCTATAGTAACGTGACTGCTTGGCTAGGAGGGATAGATTTACCCCACGTGGGGTCCCTCAATAATGGCACACAATGGACTAAGGTGGCAGATAACACTATATGTCAATCCACTATTATCCTCCCAGTGTGTGTAAGTTATAAAGACTCTAACCCTTACTGTGTACCTGCCCAAAAACAAGTATGGTTACATCATAGCAAAGGAAATGCCTTAACATTCTTAGCTGCAGATAGCCTCAAACTGAGCAATGCAATCCATGCCGCTGCTTCTTTCCCAAACATTCCTTCCTGTGCTAAGGAACAAAGCTGGGACAGTAATCGGTTCGACTTTAGCTGGGAGGTCTGTCATGGGAGACGAGCCCATAGCCTCCAGTTAGGTAATTATAACATCTTAGACTGGAGTCCCAGCGGCTGATTGCAGGGCAGCCTTACTAATACCTTCATCCATCAGAGCATCAATCAGTTTCATAGCCATGTCTTTTCCCCTATAATTTGTGCCAAGGGGGGATGGCATATCCAAGGCCCCAAGTAAAGTCCATGCCGCCCCAAGGTACTTTATGGTGTCTGGGACATCTTAGCACCTCCCTTAACACCTGGCATGGGACATACCATATTTCCCGTTGCAACTATGCTATAAGCTTTATTCATAATCACACTGATCAGTGCCTAATTTGCACTACCCATCCATACGATTTCCTTATGGGAACTAACATTTCCATTACACCTCAAAACTCCACGTTTGTGACCTGGATGCAGGGACAGGCTTGGTTTGCCTCATGTATCACTAATCACAGTATATCTAACTTAAAAATTACTAGCGCCATGGTATTAAAGAGAAAATCTGAGGCATTCTTACCAGTCAATCTGGCATGCAATTGGCAAGGTTCCTATGCCCTTGCAACCTTAGAACGTGCCCTGTCCCAGGTCAGACACAAAAGATTCATAGTTACACTTATGGCCTTTATAGTCTCAGCCATAGTCATCCTGGCAACAGCTAGTGTTGCTGTTGCATGTATTATTGACTTAGTGTAAACTGCTGCCTTTTTAGATAATCTGGCCAAAAATGTGTCTAATGAACTTCTCTTACAGCAAGGTATAGATCAAAAAATTATCACACGTCTGCTAGCCCTTGAGGCTGCTTTAGAATATGTCAGGGAGCGACAAGATGCAGTGGCATTCTGACAGCATTTAAACTGTGACTGGGAACATGAACATATCTGTATCACTTCTCTACCACGGAATCTATCAATACATAGTTAGGATGAGGTAAAACAATACCTCTGGGGAACCTTTCATGACAATTTAACAGCAGACGTAAAGTAAGTTCAAACTAAAATTTTAGAATCTCTTCACGCAATAGATCTACACCCCCAACAAACAGTCATATGGAAGGGTGTGTGAGATCATCTCTCCTGGTTAGACCCCGCTCCTGGGGGTCACTCTGACTGGAAAAGAATGTTGCTAATTCTACTCATGATTGTTTTATGTTATTTGCTAATTCTAGGATGCAAAGCCAGAATAAGAGCAATGACTGCCACACCTGACAGACATGTTGCTGCGCATATCTGCACGCTCCAATCCAAAAGACCTGATGTAGAAAACAAAAAATGGGGAGATGTGGTGGTCCAGTCAGGCTGGTGGGAAACATTTTAGTTCTAATAGCCACAAACCCTCTTGGAAGGCCTGTGAGTTTGCATAACTTTGGTAATAAATCTGGCTGAAGGCAGCCTAGTCCCCTTACCTTTAGTTACATAAAGTAGAGTAGAAACAAAGGAATGTGAGGAGCTTATCTAACTAGCTTGTTTACTCATGTGTTCCTAAGACTAACCTTTGATCTACCGCGGGTGCTTAATTGCTTTCCACTCAAGAGGTCCACAATGTCAATTACCTTCTAGTGGTGTTTACTCACGGCCTTTGTCAATTAATCTTTACTGAATAAATGTAAGTCTCCCTGACTGATCGAGGCGGTGGCTGTGACTAAGTGGCCCAGATGCTCAGTCGAGCTGGCAAAGCAGAATATCTTTGTGTCAGTGCACTTTATTCATTCGTCATTGTGTCAGGGTGTGCAGGACAAACCCCTGCAACTTCCAAGTCACATATTTGTTAAATGAATTCTTTTAATTTGTTAATTAACTTTTATAATCAATATGCAAGTAAACTTACAACTAATCAAAAGAAAACAGTGCTATTGAAAATGAACCAAATATCAGGAGAGGCATCTCACCAAAAATTATATGAAAATTGTTAAATATGAATTTTATTAGGGGCATGTGCATTTAAGCAAAAATTAGATACCATTACTCACCTATTATAATGGTTAAAACACACAATTCTCATAATGATAAATGGTAATATAATGTGGAAACCCAAGAACAATCATTCATTGATGGTGGGAATTCAAAGAGGTACATGGTCAAAATGAGACTCTTTTTGGCATTTTTTATAGAGACAAAAGTAGAGTTAAAATGTGATCTTGTGTCTGTGTTCCAAAACATTTACAACACTGATTCAGAAATTGATGTTTACAAAGATACCTTCAGAGGAATTTCTATGTCAGCTTTATTAATTTGATTAATTCTCCAATCCCTAGAATTTGCTTACAGAATAAATGTTGCATAAGAAATCTCTCAAATAATTACAATTTCTCAAATACACATTTATATTGTTCCTTTTCGTAAATGACTTAATGCTATTTTCTAAGAAAGTCTTCAATCTAATAATCTTTGTCATCTCCTCCATGCCAGCACAGCTGCCTCCTCCCTGGGGTTCCTGACTCTCTCAGGATGTGGGTTCTCGCACCGTGTATCTTGCCCAGTAATACACAGCCGAGTCCTCAGATCTCAGGCTGCTCAGCTCTATGTAGGCTGTCCTCAGGGACATGTCCCTGGTAATGGTGACTCTGCCCTGGAACTTCTTTGCATAGTTGGTGTTACCATTGTAAAGTGTGATCCATCTCATCCTTTCAAGCCCTTGTCCAGGGGCCTGTTGCAACCAGTGCAAGGAGCAGCAAGTGAAGGTGTATCCGGAAGCCTTGCAGGAGACCTTCACTGAGGCCCCAGGCTTCTTTACCTCAGCCTCAGACTGCCCCAGCTGCACCTGGGAGCAGACACCCATTGGAGGGTGGGACACAGGAGTGGATGAAAGCCTCCTTGACTGTACTCAATCCCCTTCTCATCACTGGGACTTGGGAGCACCTTACCTGTAGCTGCTGCCACCAGGAAGATTAGCTCTAGGTCCTGTCCATGGTGAGGAGCCATGCTCTCGGGGGATTCTCTAGAGGCGGGATGTGATTGTTGGGTGAAGCTCTCAGGGCACAGACCATATTTACCTCAGTGGATCTCAGGTATTTACATATTCATGAGACAGGGCATTTCATAGCTCAAAGCCTGATCCATGATAAGAAAGGGAAGACAAATGACACATCAGCCTTGCAAGAGTGAGATGCTGATGGTCCAAGCCCTAATCCTGCTTGAGGAAATGCATGCCCCTGTCCATTTAGGAATATTTGTGGACAGAGGTCCTTTCACTGAAGAAGAAGCCCCCTCAGAACGGCCTCTCACTGTGAAACTACATTAGATTAGCACAGAGACCACTTGGATCATTCTGGGGACCATCTCGGTCCATGACACAGAGCAGGTGCCTTGGCCCTATGCTGGACCCGTCAGACACCAGCACAGCTCACTGATGACTCTGAGCAAGTGACGCTGATGTCCCACGTGAGTGGCCAGCACGTTCCTCTGAGATCCCTGGGGCGCTCCTGAGACAGTTTCTCCAGCACCTTCCTGGTGTCCTGATTCCCCAGGATCGTCAACAGAAAAACTCTTAGTTTACAGATTTGCCCTGTGATGCATAATTGGAGATGATTTTCTTATGTCATGGACACTAGGATTCAGAAGTTGAAACAGGAGTTAGGAGTTCTTTATGAACTCATGCTCCCATAATAATTTCAAGGGAATTTGTGTTTTGGATAAGTTTGGGTTTTATTTCCTACTGGATTTATTAGAATTTCATGAACTGTTTACATACTTTCAGTTCATGTGCATAGATCCTCATCTTTACATGCTGATTTCTGACTCACTCTCAGATCCACACTCTCGGATCCACCACTGCCCTGTCACTCACACAATGTAGGCAACTTTACTTAACACTGAAATCTGAATTTTTTTTTTGGAGATGGAATCTCGCTTTGTTGCCCAAGCTGGAGTGCAGTGGCACAATCTCAGCTCACTGCAAACTCTGCTTCCCACGATCACTGACAGCAGCATTGTCTGAGGCTGTAGGTCTTGTAGGATTAAATCTCCTGCCTCAGCCTCCCGAGTAGCTGGGACTACAGGTTCATGCCACCCCACCTGGCTAATTTTTTGTATTTTGAATAGAGACAGGGTTTCATGGTGTTAGCCAGGATGGTCTCCAGCTCCTGACCTCGTGACCCGCTCACCTCAGCCTCGCAAAGTGCTGGGATTACAGGCATGAGCCACCAGCCCCAGCCTGAAATCTGAAATTATTATTCATGGAAATATAGTGACTCCCATAATTCTCTCTGCATTGAATTAGTAAGACCATCCCTATTCTTCATATTCTCACTATTAAGGTATTTATAATCTTAGAAGCCGACTTTAAAAAGATAGTTCTCCTTGTCTTGAATTGTGGGAGCAGCTCAGATGTGATAGAATATTTAAAAAGATAGTTATCATTGCCTTGAATTGTGGGAGCAGCTCAGATGTGATAGAATATTTAAAAAGATAGTTCTCATTCCTTGAATTGTGGGAGCAGCTCAGATGTGATAGTATATTTAAAAAGATAGTTCTCATCGCCTTGAATTGTGGGAACAGCTCAGATGTGATAGAATATTTAAAAAGATAGTTCTCCTTGTCTTGAATTGTGGGAGCAGCTCAGATGTGATAGAATATTTAAAAAGATAGTTCTCCTTGTCTTGAATTGTGGGAGCAGCTCAGATGAGATAGAATATTTAAAAAGATAGTTCTCATCGCCTTGAATTGTGGGAGCAGCTCAGATGTGATAGAATATTTAAAAAGATAGTTCTCATTGCCTTGAATTGTTGGAGCAGCTCAGATGTGATAGAATATTTAAAAAGATAGTTCTCATTGTCTTGAATTGCGGGAGCAGCTCAGATGTGATAGAATATTTAAAAAGATAGTTCTCATTCCTTGAACTGTGGGAGCAGCTCAGATGTGATAGAATATTTGAAAAGATAGTTCTCATCACCTTGAATTGTTGGAGCAGCTCAGATGTGATAGAATATTTAAAAAGATAGTTCTCATCGCCTTGAATTGTGGGAGCAGCTCAGATGTGATAGAATATTTGAAAAGATAGTTCTCATCGCCTTGAATTGTGGGAGCAGCTCAGATGTGATAGAATATTTATAAAGACAGTTCTCATCGCCTTGAATTGTGGGAGCAGCTCAGATGTGATAGAATATTTATAAAGATAGTTCTCCTTCTCTTGAATTGTGGGAGCAGCTCAGATGTGATAGAATATTTAAGGGCACACCAGCAACTTATTGAATTTTAGCTTTTTTCTCCCAAAGGAAGACCCAGCCCCTGAGAGGAAACCTTCTCAGCAGCCTCCTGTGCACCAGCTGCAGGGCTGGAACCCGTGCTGAGTGGCTCCTGAGTGCCCCCTCCCGCCCAGCCCTTGCCTTGCAAGGAGGTTCCTGTTGGGGCTCACAAAGCATTTCCCCCCAGCTTCTCTAGCCCAGCGTGAAATGGCTGTGTGCTAGTGTAGAATACTCCCTCAGTGACACCATATGCTGGTGACACCATCTCTTGAAATAATTGATCAACTTTACTAAACAGATTGAACTCTGCCGTGAGACTCAAAGCAAGGGTTCTATGACACAGGACAGAGCCCCTTCTCTGAAGCTCCAGATGCACTTAAGCAGTGGACCCACAGTGAATACAAAAACTTGCAAAAGATTTGGGAGTGCCTTCTTTCTTCATTGGGCTCTTGCAGGTGAATGTAGCATTGGAAAATACCAGCAGGTGCAGATTGATCGAGATGAAAGCCCACTCCATATCCACTATTCCAATAACACTATAACACTATAACAATAACTTCCTAATAAGGAAGAATTTTCCCTTCTTCCTAATGCCTAGCCTATAGAAAATTCCTCCTACACTGACACTAGGCCCAGGTATCTGACTTTTTTCTCCTAGAGATCTAAAGGTCAATGAGGGAGTTTCCAAGACCTTGATCTTAAAAATGGTGATGTCAGAGGCTTCAGATTGCTTTGTCGTCCTTGTCCTACTCTCTGCCTTTGTCCTTTAGTTTTCCAGTGTTCTTCTCACATAGAGTCTGTGCATTGCCACACTTCCATCTTTAATCCAGAGCTATCACACTGGTTAGAATGGATTGTGCAGTGCAGGCAAGCACTGCCTGTTTTGACAATGGAAACCTAGAGATGCGATCGGCTTCCTCTTCTGGGCTGTGACTTTGACCAGGAATCTCCAGGGGAAAAGCTACTTTGGCCATTACTCCCTTTTGTGGTTTCAGTGTCCCTGGACTATTTACTTACATCTTACCCCTATTGGCTAACTTTGCTCATTTCTATAATAATGGAAGAATGGGAGAGAAATCTGGAATGGGAGATTTGTCTTCCTTTACATAGGACAAGGTTCTCGAAAAGTCCTTCCATGTAGAAGCTTTTGAAAAAGTCTCCCGTAATATTTTTCAGTAATTAATCTTCTCCAATCTGACAAATAAGAAACGTATTTGGATAGTATTTTTTAGAATCTGGAGGTTTCTGGTGAGAAAGTCCATAAAACATAGAAATATAAGACCCTCTGGAACAGTCACATTTACTGAGTCCACATCTGTCTTTAAGACAACTATAGTGCTTATCATGTAAGTGCCCTCAACAACTTGTGGCTTCTGTAGATTCTCTTCCAGTTAAACAAGTGTCAACTGCCATTCTGGACATGGCTGTCTATCCAGGTTCTTGAGTGGGTATTTTTTTTTCAATTTCAGTTACTTAGCAGATTCCAAAAAGTATTGGCATTCAGATTATGCAGATTTCCTTTGACATAAAAATGAATGTGATGAACATCATAATCTATGTGTCAGTGCATAAACCAAAAGTACAATCAAAGGTCTCCATTGATGTGTTACTGGAGGCAGAATTTTGATCTTATTACATATAACAGACACCTGGTATGACATAAATGAACAGGCAAGAAAACAGAGTAAGGACATGGCACAACACTTATGAACAAGTCTCAGCAATTTTAATTTTCTTCTGAGGAAGTTGAAATTGTGAAAGTGAAACAGTGGGACTGGTCATGTCTCAGGTGATGTTGTCTTCTGGAAAGTGTCTCCAATCCTGGGCTGCATCCAGTAGGTGCACCTGGGCTCCCGAACCTGAAACATGGACTCTTATTCCTTAAACACAAGACATTCCAATGAGAAAGCTGTTCTCAGGTGAGCTACAGAGCAGGGAGCAGGAGATGTAGGTGTCCTTCGCTTCCTAGAATTACTGAAACTTGAAGACCAAGGCCTCCCTTGAGGGGCAGAGATCCACCTATGAGTACATCACATCAGCTCTGTCTTCGGGAATCTTTGGCTTTATGGGAGGATAAGGAATGTGATTTATTCCTTTCTGCTAATGCAGTGTGCATCAGAGAAAATGAGTTGAAAATTTAATAAATATTTTTTCCATATTAGGGGAGAGAACATGTATAAATCACGGCAATGCAAGTGCTCACTACAGAACCTGCAGGAGGAGCAAGTGCACAACTGAGAGAAGGCAGCGCCCTGCCCGAGGAAGCAGGTGCCCTGAGATCATCCCCTGGGAACTGTGCTCTAGGTGCCGTGCGCCAGTGGAACCTGGGCTGGGGCCTGGGATTTGTAGGTGGTGTGGAGAGCAGAGCACAGCTCCATTCCTCCTCACTGTGTGACCTGGGATGTGGCATCTTCCTCTGAGCTTCATTCGGACAAGGTGTTAATATAAAATTGCAGCATTAAATTTACCTATAACCTTTCAATTAGGAGCCAGTGCTGTTCAGAATTGTTATCACTACTGTTGTCCAAACCCTTAAATATTATAAAATACCTGTGTGACCCCTCATCTCAGACCTCAGATGACCACATTGCAGAGAAGACACCTGCTTTGTTTCTGTCACGAACATGGTATTAGAACGGGAAAGTATGTGTAACCTTGTTATAGATTTCATGTTAATTAAGTTACAATGGGTAAAATTAGAATTAGTAAGTGATACTTAAAATTTAGCTTTGGGGATTTCTAAGCAAAGTGTGGATGGTGTGTTTTGATTTCTCCTTGCTTAATATAGTATAATGTGAGAGGAGGAGACAAATTAAAGAAGAAACTATCCAGCAATGTGGAATCAGGTATTTTATAAATAAAGAAGGTTCTCACCTCTTCTGAAAACCCCATAACCTTAAAAAAATGAAGGAACTTTAAGACATATTTCTATATTCTGGATACATGACTAATAAAAACATATTTAAGTGCAAAAAGAGATACACAGAAGATGAAACTTCTGCAGCAGATAATTTTGCCAAATAGCTTTATACTAGTTTGTAATTTTACCTAAATATTCAAAAGATAAACTCCAGAGAGATCCAAATAAGAAATTATAACATTTCAATGTTAGATGACTGGTTGAGAGGCGCTTGAACTAACATTATTTTGATGAATCATACCTCAATAATAAAACTGTGTCTAATGGTACACTGTTCAAGAGGCTACTTGAGTATATAGTTTCTACCTCTCCTATTTGGGAGTCCTGGCACAACCCAACGTTCTCTAAACCTGGGGGCCACTAAGAACAGAGACAGAAGTTGGAATATTATGAAGTCATTATGAAGTTTTGAGAGATCCGCAATCACTGATGGAGTGATTGGTGAGGGTTGTCTCTATGAGCCTAGGCTTGGAAGAGTGTGGCTCTTTGTTATGATGAGCAAAGAGCTGTTTGTTATGATGAACGGATAGCAAGAAAGACCGTCAAGGAAAATGAAGAAACACGGGAACATGGTCCAAACAGACAGACAACATAGAGGTCCAGAATCTGGCATCAATGAATAAAAAAACATATGGATGTCCTGGCAGAAAATTTGAAGTAAATATTAGAAACATGTTTAATAAGCTAGTGGCAGCATGCAAGAACAAAGTGAGAATTTTAATAGAGATAAAAAAATTTAAAAGAGGACGAAACAAAAATATTTGTGTCGAAGAATACAATAAGTCAGCCAAAATTTTTAACAGAGCACACTGTGGGAGAGGCTCAGGCTTTCCTTTCCCCTAGAGCAGGCAGCCCTGAAATTTCCCTAGACATGAATCACTGTTTCCTCCCGCCCACCTTCCACATTCTCCTCAGAGATGCCCCTGGCTCCGGAGTTCAGCTTCTCACATGTTGTGTGACTTTGGGTTAAAACACACCTGAAACACTGAGTGGCTGTTGTCTTTGATCACTTCATCATCGTCCGCATTTTAGTTGATGCGATTTTTTTACCTCATTTTGAAGAAATGAAAATAAATCAATAGACTAGGCCAGATTTCCTTTTTCTTTCTTTCTTTCTCTTTCTTTCTTCCTTTCTTTCTTTCTTTCTTTCTTTCTTTCTTTCTTTCTTTCTTTCTTTCTTTCTTTCTTTCTTTCTTTCTCTTTCTTTCTTTCTTCTTTCTTTCTTTCTTTCTTTATTTTTCTTTCTCTCTCTCTCTCTTTCTTTCTTTCTTCTTTCTTTCTTTTATGGAGTCTAGCTCTGTCCCCCAGGCTGGAGTTGAAGTGGCACAATCTCGGCTCACTGCAAGCTACGCCTCCCAGGTTCATGCCATTCTCCTGCCTCAGCCTCCCGAGTAGCTGGGACTACAGGCGCCCACCACCACGCCCAGCTAATTTTTTGTATTTTTAGGAGAGATGGAGGTTTCACCATGTTGGCCAGGATGGTCCGGATCTCCTGACCTCGTGATCCGCCCACCTTGGCCCCGCAAAGTGCTGGGATTACAGGCGTGAGCCACCGCGCCCGGCCTAGAGAGATTTTCTTATCTCTCTTTCCCTTGATAGATGTGAATGTAGCCCCAAATATGGTAGGAATCAGTAGACACTGCAGCTCTTACAACACTTTCTTGGTCAGCTGGTCCAACAGTGTGAGCACCACAGTAGCACAATTATTTTATGGGACTAATTCTGTATCCAATGCAGACACATGTTTTTTTATGTACTGGGACCTCCAGTTCATCGCAGGCTGTGATTATGGAGAAGGAAGGAAACATTCTTCAAGGTTCCATCATACATGTGGTAAGAGAATCTCATATTTCTGTCCAGTGGTTTCCAGACCCAGGTGTTGTAGCTCCTGGCCACGGGGCTCTGCAGTGCTCTCTGTTTGGGGGCATTTAAGCATCCTGGAGAATAGTATTATCTCCAAAATGGCCCTTCTTTAGAGATTAAATTTCCTGCTATAAAACAGAGGCATAAACTACCTGCTGTTTATCTCACATCAGACTGTGGAGACCTAAGTCAATGCTTCCATTGTTCTGCTGGGGTCTTTGTTTCTGGGCAAATGTGAAGGAGCAAGAACTGCTGGATCGCAGACTCGTGTTCCCGTGATCACATCTCCTGTCCCTTAACTACAGCTACGTTCTGTCGTGTCAGAACACATTGTGCAGTGTCTCATTCTAGGAATAAGATATTCAGTAACTTGGACAGTGGAACTACCACTAGTAGTTTCTCTATGATTAAAAAAAAAACATGTGGAGATAAAAGTTAATTCTTCTAAGTACAAATTACTACCTATCAGGCTTGGGCTTTAATTTTTTCTAATTGTCTCCATATGACTGGTGGGTATCCTTACAGTGTGAGTTTTTTTTTAGACAAACGTGATCTCTATTGCTGTCAGTTCAGGCACTTGGTAAAAGGTGCTGGCCATTCTGGTTGGAGGTACCTGGGCTCAGTCTTCATTGTACATATTAGGGGAAGCTCTGATATAAACAGAGTGGACGTTGTCACTTATGTAGCAGTATGGATTAAACTGCAGAAGATCATCATACTGTGAGGTCTCCATACCCTTTTACACAGCAGAGTAGATTTCCCTTGCTTTCAGCTGCCTGCTTACTTATATTAAATATTACTGCATGTACTTTTACTTTACCTTATTTTCTATTCTAAGCTATTGCCTACTTATTTAATTAAAGTAAGCAATAGTAAATTTTAAAAATAACAATCAATTACCTGTACAAGTAACATAAAATGGGCGTGATGAATAAGCCACGTAGAGATACCAGAAAACAAAGCTAATAAAGAAACACATTGTGTAAGTTTAGAGTAGTCAGTGAGCACCGAAACCATGAAGAGCTTGTGTTGACATTTACACGAACAAAGTCAGTTATATTTGACATCCAGAAGGCTGGTCACACCCATGAGAGAAATATGTAGAGTGGTCCACCTAACTCAGAAATTAGAAAGTGATAAAGTCACAAACTTACAAAACCAGCAAAAACAACATTCAGTGTATTTAGTATTGAGCTCTGTTTCTTCAGGAAAAGGGATGGGTTATATCTGCATGGAAAATGGGACAAGTATTTTTTAAGCTGATTCTCCTGGGAAGTTGCTAATGAAATCATTCCAGTGATGCTCTGACACAGGATTGTGAAGAGGACGTTGACCCCTGGTGGTCGTTGTCAGCAACACGGATGCTCAACCCTGGTGGGTGCCTTTGTTACCGTTTTGTCCACAAGAGATTTTAGCCTGTCATGTGCTGCATGCAGGTGAGTTTTTAACCCTCAGATGAAAAAAAATAACATGACCACCAAGAAGATGAGGAAATTGAAGACGTCACTTCATCAACCACATTCCACTGATGAGAACTGTTTACACAGAGAGCCAGGGATGAGCTGGGAAGAGGAAGGGGTTGGGGAAGATCATCCATAGAAGGACACATCCAGCCTGCTTGAACTCCCTGTGGAAGGAGGGTTTAAATGTTTGTCTTCAGCTAATCAGGGGTATTTCGAGACCTTCACAAGCTTTCAGAGAGAGTTTTCATGAACAAATATCCATGCATTACTCAGAGTTGTATTTTTTCATATTTATTCTTCTTCTCTAGGCAGCTCCACAGAAGGGTGTTCTCAGAATTCTCCCTGATCTTCCTTGAGGTCCTGATGCAGCTCCTGGAGGAAAAGCCTGCATGGGGGAGGGAGCCCTCCTCATGTGCAGCCCTGAGGCTGTCCCATCACCTCACCCACCACTGCCCTTCAGTCAATTGGTGAACATTTCTGAGCTAATCTTCCTGAAACGTGTGGCTTTGGGCAGTATGTTCACCAGGTTACAAAATACTTAAGCTCTGTCTATTTCCACAGGCACGTATTCCTTTCCGGAGCACAGGTTGGTCTTGAGTGTGTGGTAGTGGATAATTAGTGAGAGCAGGTTTGTGCGCATCTTGTCATCTCCCAAAGTGCACCCTCTATGGAGTTGACACCCACAAACAAGCAGATGGACTTGCTCAGCTGGAGGATGACAAACATTTTCATAACCTATGACCTCAGTGGTGCTCTTTATCTGCAAGACCAATCATGATCATGCCTCTGGCTAATGTGCACTCATCAAGGGCAAGCAGTGCCCACCTCTGTGAGGGCTGCTTCAGGTGCACACTCCCTTTGCAGAGGGAAGCTTTTGTTCCTACCTGGGTCCCATGAATGTGTTTGCATTTGCTGCACAAACCACCTTACTCAGACTCACCACCCAAGAGCTCACAGTGCACCTAATCCAACTCTAGGGCATTATACATGGAATCTCTCATTGCCAGGGTCTCCAATTCCAATGAAAGGATGTTCATTATGGGATTCCCCAGAACTTTCTGGTCTTTTAGAGACATGAACTGGCCTCTAAAAGCTTAAAAATCTTACTCTCTGGGAAGGAGCATTGTAAACCAGAAGTAAGATAAGCTCTAAATTAATATATATTTTGTGGATTTTGGAAGAAAGAGTTCAAATAGTAATAGCCTTACCCACTTTCCCTCTGACTAATATCAGTTCTAGAAAACACTGAAAAAACCGTGGAATCTTGAGATACTTAGGCTTGTTATATTAGGAGATCACCAGAAAAAGAAAGAACCAAGCGTCCTTGGAGATTCCTCCATTGTAACTGATTTGTGACTGCGGTGCAGGATGGTCGTAGTGGAGGAGGCTGTGCCTGTGTAGGGCAGGGAGTCATGGGAATTCTCACGCCTCCTGTGCAATTTCTTTGTAATCCTAAAACTGCTGTAAAATAAACTTTATGATAAGGAGTGACAGAAACATTTGAAGGAAACTTTTGGCACTTTTTAAGAATCATTCTTAGTCTCACCACATGATCAAATAACCTTGCTCCAAATCATGTATTCATCCAATTTGAAAACTTGTTCACAGTAGCACCTTCATGGAATGTTTGTATCAACGTTATAGAGTGTGGCCTTTTCCACTCTGTGAATTTGGCTTATATTACGACTCTTGAATGGAATATTTATCTTAAAATTAGAGTATGTACTTGTTTCTACTGTTCTTTTTTTCTCAAATATATAACCCATTTTGTAAACAGCCTTAAACCTAATAACCCCTGTCATCTCCTCAGCCCGGCACAGCTGCCTTCTCCCTCAGGGTTTCTGACACTCTCAGGATGTGGGTTTTCACACTGTGTCTCTCGCACAGTAATACACGGCCGTGTCCTCAGATCTCAGGCTGCTCAGCTCCATGTAGGCTGTGCTCGTGGATTTGTCCGCGGTAATCGTGACTCTGCCCTGGAACTTCTGTGCGTAGTTTGCTGTACCAAAGATAGGGATGATCCCTCCCATCCACTCAAGCCCTTGTCCAGGGGCCTGTCGCACCCAGCTGATAGCATAGCTGCTGAAGGTGCCTCCAGAAGCCTTGCAGGAGACCTTCACCGAGGACCCAGGCTTCTTCACCTCAGCCCCAGACTGCACCAGCTGCACCTGGGACTGGACACCTGTGGAGAGGACACAGGGGTGAATAAAATCCTCTTTAACTAAACCAGGATCCCTTCCTCAGCCTTAGGACTAGGAAGCCCCTTACCTGTAGCTGCTGCCACCACAAAGAGGAACCTCCAGGTCCAGTCCATGGTGATGAGCTGTGCTCCCAGGGGCTTCTTCAGAGGAGGAATGTGGTTGTTATGTGATGCTCTCAGGGCACCAATATATCTATATTTATCTCAGAAGACCTCAGGTTATTTGCATATGCATGAGGCAGGGTATTTCACAGCTCAAAGCCTGATCTAGGATGAGAAAGAAAACACAGATGCCACATCAGCTGTACAAGTGTGGGATGCTGAGAGACCAAGCCCTAAATCCTGCCTGAGGAAAAGCATCTCTTGCCCCATTTCTAAGCTTTCTGTGCACAGCGCTCTTCCCGCTGCAGAACAAACCCCAACCCCAGGATGCACTCCTCACTGTGAACCCACATTTTATTGGCCTAAAGATTACCTGGGTTTTTTGTGGGACCATTGCTGTCTCTGACATTGAGCAGGCACCTAGACCCATCCTGGTCCCATTAGGAACACTCAGAGCTCACTGGTAACACTGAAAAGGTGGCCACTCGTTACCCTACATGAGTGTCCAGCAGGACCCATGGAGAGTTCTGAGATCTGCTGGGCACTCCCAAGACAGGGTCCCCAGCACTTTCCTGAGGGTCCTGACCTCCCAGGTCCTTCAGTGGAAAGACTCTTGGTTGACAGATTTGCCGTCTGATGTGTGATTGGTTCTGAGACTTCCCTCCCATTGACAGTAGGAATCAGGGGTTGAAATAGAAATAGGAATTTGAGTTTCTTGGTGAACTCATAGCTCCCAAAATAATTACCAAGTAATTTGTATTTTGAATAAGTTTGTGTTTTATTTCAAACTGCATTAAATAGAATTATTTGAAGTATTTACATGGTTTTAGATCATATCCATAGATCATCATCTTTACATGCTGATTTCTGTTCTGCTTGGTCTGGGCACTTATCACACTCTTCAATCCACTGCTTCCAAGTCACAAGCACAATGTAGGAAACATTACTTATCTCTGAAGTCTGAATACCTTCTTCATAGGAATATAGTATCTCCCACAGTTATGTGCCCATTGAGTTAAAAAAAAACCATCCATATCCTTCATATTCTCACTATTCAGATATTTATTATCCTAGAACCCCCCTTGTAAATATAGCTTTCATTGCTTTTTGAGTGATATAAGTGGCCCAGTTTCCATATCCTTCATATTCTCACTATTCAGGTATTTATTATCCTAGAACCCCCCTTATAAATATAGCTCTCATTCCTTTTTGAGTGATATAAGTGGCCCAGTTTCCATATCCTTCATATTCTCACTATTCAGGTATTTATTATCCTAGAACCCCCCTTAGAAATATAGCTCTCATTGCTTTTTGAGTGATGTAAGTGGCCCAGATGAAATAGAATATTTAGATGAGTATCAGCAACTTGCTGAACACTTAATTTAGAATGACTTGTTGAATAAGGAAGACTCAGGCCCTGGAAGAATATTTGCTTTTATTTATCTCCAACAAATAAGGGAGAATATATAATATCTGGTTTTCTGTTCCTGAATTAGTTTTCTAAGAGTATTGACTGCCAGTTCCATCATGTTCCTACAAAGGACATAGTTTCATTCTTTCCTTAGCTGCATAGTATTCCATGGTTGTATGTACCACATTTTTCTCTATCATTCTGCCAGTGATGGGGATTTAGGTAAATTCCATGTCTATGCTATTGTGGATAGTGCTGCAGTGAACCTACATGTTTATATTCCTTTAGGTATATGTCCAGTTGTAGGATTGTTGGGTCAAATGAAACTTCTGTTTTAGGTTATTGGAGGGATCACCACACTGCTTTCCACAATGGTTGAACTCATTTATATTCCCGCCAAAAGTGTATAAATTTCCCCTTTTTTCTGTAACCTTAAAAATCTGTTATTTTTTTTTTAAGATTAGCCATCCTGACTGATGTGAGACGGTACCTCATTGAGGTTTTGATATGTATTTCTCTAATGATAGTGATATTCAGCATTTTTTCCTATGCTTGTTGGCCACATGTAGGTCTTTTTTGAAGTGTCTTTTCATGTCCTTTGGTCACTTTTTATTTCTTGTATGTTTGTTAAATTTCCATGTATATACTAAGTGTCGGACCTTTGTCAGATGTATAGGCTGCAAATATTTTATTTCCCATTCTGTAGGTTGCCTGTTTACTCTGTCGATAGTGTCTTTTGCTGTACAGAAGTTCTTTAATTTACTTAGGTCCCATTTGTCAATTTTCAATTTTGTTGCAACTACTTCTAGCATTTTCATTATAAAACCTTTGTCAGTTCTTACCTCCTAAATTCTGTTTCCTATGTTATTATCCAGAGGTTTTATAGTGTTAGGTTTTACATTTTGATCTTTAATCCACATATAACTTTTTTCAATTGATGCTGAAAACGCATTTGATGAAACAACATCCTTTCACAAAAAAAACATAAAAAATGGGTATAGAAAGAACCCATCTCGACAAAATAAAAGTTACATTCGAGAGACTTTCAGGTAGTATCAGGTTGAATGAGAAATAACTAAAAATCTTTTCTCTAAGATCTGGAACACGCCAAGTTTCCCACTTTAATCACCAGTAAAGCATAAACCCTTCTGCTGCCACCATAGCCGGCTCTTACCTGCGAGCACCACCTACTGGCCTGACGTTCAAACTGCATGACCTCATACAAACTCAATACCACCAGTGTACAGCAGTTGAAAATGAGATTAGCTTCTCATTACTTCGGTGATTCCAACCCCGCAAAAGACCACGGGCCTGCTCACATACCCAGTATATTACTACTACAACGGGAATTTGAAACAGCCACCACACTAAAGCTCTTAATAACAAAAGAAACCACACTGAGTAGATGCCGCTCAGCTCGCCATTTCCATCAAGGCTGGCGCTTTTGCTTGCCAGGCTCGGTGGCTCATGTGTGTCCAGCTTGGTCCACCTCTCAGGGGCTGAGCAGGGAACTCAGGTCACTGTGCATTTCATAGACCAGTCCATCGCCTGAGGCAACAGAGAGCTTCTCCCTGTGCACAGATATCAAGCATGCACTCAACTGCTTCTACCAGAGTCAGCTCTAATCTGTAAGGACATCTACTAATGTGGAGGGTGAACTTAACAACCCAACACAAAATCTGCTGAAACAAAGGCATTCCAAATGAGAAACAGTTCCTGAGGCCTCCACTATCTAGGACCTGCAGGGGGCAGTGAGCCTACTCACAAGTCCAGTACTTTGGTACTAAAACCACCATTTCAGAAAGCCACTAAATAATGGCTATCTATAGACAAGGAACTCTTACAGAGTCTTTGCCACTAAGTAAACCAAGAACCAAAATCAAAATACCCACACAATGTACATTATATTCACATTCTAAAGGGAATTAAATATTCATCAAAATCAGAATGAATTAAAAAATAAGAAGAAGCGATAGTTTAGCTAATGAAAAGCAAACAGATAAGCAATTCAGGAAGTATGAAAAAACAGAGTTACAAAACCCCAAATATCACCTTAACTCTCCAGCAATAGAATCTAAACAACATGACATATTTGAAACGTCTGATAAATAATTCAAAATGTTGATTTTAAAGAAGCTCAATTAAACCTTTTTCTCTAGTGGCTCAGTAAGCACCGGCACTGAGACAAGCACTATGAAGACAATTGCAGCCCACCCCCTGATGAACTGACCCCTGTTCCACAAACCATAACCCCAGCTTTGATTGAACACTACAGTGATATCAGGAACTTTCTCCTAATCCGAGACCGCTGACCATGGCCTGGCTCTGGCCGTTCACAGAGGCTGCACCCTGAGTACCTTTGTGTCTCTGCTTCTGCTGTTTGCACATAGGGCCTGACTGGAATGAATTTAAATGCTAAGTCTCCACTGGTAAGTGAACAGGGGTCATACGTTACAGACATGTTTGTTCAGTATGCATGTGTGAGGACCACCTCCATGAACATCAGTAGCCCCTCCTGTAACCTGTTGATTATGTCTCTTTAGCCAAACCCTTCAGCATAAAGCTTCTGCCCAACCCCTTCTTCGTAGGAGTGCCTTTTTCTCGTCTTTACCAAGAGCTATGCTTTTCAGCACATGGGTGGACTCTTATCTCTCTTTTTCACTCATTTTCTTAAGCTGCTAGGGAGAATAAAGTGTCAGGTCCTATTTTTGGTGCCTTGATGCTGATGAATTAAGGTTTATTCTCCCTCATCCTTGTCCCCCACACATGGGAAATCTAGTAAGAAATCATGGAAGCTCCCTCATGTGATGTCAGTGTGAGGTTTAAATCACACAAGCTCCTTCTCCTGAGTAGAAACGCCCCCCCCCCCCCCGCCGACCCCACCACCAAATCATTATAAAGCCCTGAGCCAGCCTCCTTTCCTGCTCTACTGAGGAAATTCCAATCTGTAATTTCTTGAGAGGACTGTGCTGCTCTCAGCAGACACCTCAGAAATAGAGCTAATAAATCTTTTCATATTCACCTGGAGTGTGAGTGTGGAAACATCAAACTCGACATCCACACTAACCATTGGTGGGGTCTCTCTTCCTTTGCCTGGCATCACCTACAATTGGAACTGTGGGATTGGAGTCCTGACAATGACCACCACGGGGGCTTTCTTCTCTTGCACTGGATGCTAACTCCTTCTGCCCCAATGCCCAGCATGCTCATTATCCTGGCTGCTGCTGGCTGGCCTTTGGAGTTCTGTTGAGCTGGGCTGCAATGCTGAGTTAAACACTGCACCTTTATAGATTTAGCTGATTAACTTCAGAAGCATTGATAACTTATTGACATTGAGAAACAGGAGTAAGTGACTGTAGGTGACTCTGCCTTTGGTGCATGTGAGAAAGTTTTTCTCTTGTTACGACAAATGTTTCTTCTTCAGAGACTTCACAGGAAGAACAGGATAAGGAATCCAGAGATATGCCACAAAGGAAACTGTTTCATGGAGAGGAAGCCACAGGGCTGACAGGAAACCAGACCTTAAACCCCATCTGCACCTGCCCTGAGGTTGGCTCTTGTGCTCAGTGGGTCCTGTGCGCCCCCAAGTGGTCCTGTGCCCACTTCAGGGAGGCTTGTTTCTAGGCTCACACTGACATTTTTTCTAATTGTTTTCACAAAAATGGAGACAGAGTAAATGGTGAATCCATGCATCTCAGAGAACACAGAACAGCAGAATAACACCCCATGCTCCCCCCACACACATTTAGGTAAATCTTATTAAAATTGTTGAAAACCAAAGACAAATAGAAATACAGGCAGACAAGTGGAGGTGAGTAGAGGGGGCATTCCTTCCAAAAGAACAGAAAAGACCATGACAGCATTCTTCTGGTTAAAACCTTATAAGCAAGAAGAAAATTGATGGTGTCTGTAAAGTGTTGGAAGAAAAGCCAGCCCATTATTTGATAACCCATGGATGTTCGCTATGAAGTGAAAAAAAAAACAGTTCTATTTCTCTTTGACAGCATGAGGGGCTCAATGAATCCATGCCCTCATGAGACCAGTGAAAATTATTTTGGGAAATTACAGGTTTGGAAAGACTCTAACAGCACACAGTGAGTGAAGAAACATTTATTCAGGAAAATCTAGAAAACTCAGTAAGGCCAGTCATCATATTTGATCTAAGATGCTCTTCCTTCCTTCCACATCCCAGCTCAGCATGATGTAAACTCCACTGCGGACAGATGCAGCCAAGAAGACAGGACACCTTCTACCAACTCCCACCAGAGGAAACGCTTTCCCAGGGGCCAGTACGTTGGCCCTCTGACCCTGCACACAGCACATGATGCTGAGGTTCAGTGCTGGACGAGAGCTACTGAGAGCCAGAGACTCACTTCTTCCATAGAGCCCCACTCGTGGATGGAGGCTCTGCCCTGGGTCCAGTGCCACTGGGAACATTCAGTCCGCGGTTTCTAGCTCTGCCCTATGGCACCGATTCCGCCCCACCAGAACCAAAGTGCTGGGATGGTGGGAAGCTTCTGCCCAACCCTCCAATTAGCGCTCATCTCCTAGGCTGAGGAAGAAAAAAGCTCAACTTCGTCTCCACCTGCAGAAACTTGGTTATGCACTCTGTCCCAGGAGAGAAGGGGCACTGGAATTCAGTCATAAAATATGATCCTTAAGTTGGTCCTAAACATCCTAACTTCAATAACAACAGAATGCGGAAAAGTTCAAAGCCTGCCTGTGATCTCAGAAACAGTGGAGGGTGTGGGGGAAGGTGCTTGGAGGGAGATGGGTGGATGCATGGGAGATGCAGACTAAACTGCAGGGCTGCTGGCTTGCAGGAGAGAACCGAGGAGGGGGGAGAGCTGAGGGACGTTCTCTTGTGGTTGGAACAAATGCCGGACGCTGTTCAAAGGAGCCCGTGTTTGTGTCGTTCAGTCTGTGAAGTAGTTGAAACCTCACTGCATGGTTGAAAATAGGATTTTCCATCTGCAAGTGGTGGAGCTCAACATCTGGGTCTGGTCAGGAAAGAGACACAGAAAGTCCAGCCCAAACCACTGACACCTGAGGATGACCGTGGTGCTTACAGCTGTGTCCCTTTGATCTTTGAGACTGGCTTCTCTCACTTAGCACAATGTCTGGAGTTCACCTGCAATGGTTTATGTATTGGTCACTTGTTTTTTTTTTTATTGCTGGTGGTATTCAATTTATAGATGCTTCCTAGTTCTTCACCTATTCAAATTTTGAGACATTTATGTTATTTTTACTTTCTAACACACATACACACGATATCTTGAATATTTGAATAGAAGTTATGCGTGAATGTAAGATTGTTTTTCTCTGATGCAAATATTCAGGTGTTAAGGGTATGTTTGATTTTAGAGAAAACTAAAAATTATTTTCCTGAGTATCTGTTTCATTTTGCATTCCCGTTAGCAATGTTTTAGCCTCTAGCAACCTGGTATGCTCACCAGCATTGATGTTATCTGTATTTCTTCTTAATTTCAGCCATTTTGAAAAGTGTACAGTGGTGTCTCTTTGTGGGCTTGATTTGAATTTCTCTAATGGAAAATCCTGTTGAGAGCCTGTTTATATGCTTCAGTGTCATCTGCACATCTTCTCTGACGAAATGTCTGTAGAAACCCTTGCCTAATTTATCCATCAGTTGTTTCTTTTTTATTCACAGTTGAGTTCTGAAGGTTCTTATTATAATTACATTGGTGGTTATATGACTCGCAAACAGTTTCTCATCTGTAACCGGGCATTCATTTTCTTACAGTCACTTGAGTAGAAAAAGTTTTTAAATTTAATGAGGTCAACTAATATCAAGTTCATTTATTGATCATATTCTACATTTTAATTTTAAGATCATTGGTCAATTCTTAATTATTTTATATTGTGCCTGTTATGTAATGACTCATCATGCTCCCACCTTCTGCCCACCCATCCTTCTAAGTCTCCAATGTGTATAATTTCTCTCTACAAATCCTTGTGTACACACTGTTTACCTCCCACTTACAAGTAATAACATGTGACATGTGACATTCTGTTTGTGAGTTAGTTCACTAATTGTATTGTCCCCCACTTCTATGCATCTTGCTGCAAAAGACACAGTTTCATTCCTTATTGTGACTGACTAGTATTGAATTGTGCATACGTGCTATATTCTTTTATAAAATCATTTGTTGGCAGACACTCAGTTTGACATATGTGCTATTGAGAGTAGTTTTATGGTAAGCATAGAAGGTGGGTATCTTTTTGAAATAATAGTTTATTTTCCTTTGGGTAGTTACCCAGTAGTGGGATTGCTGGACCAAATGGCAGTTCTATTTCTAGTTTTCTGGGAAATCTCCATACCATTTTCCACAGAGGTTGTACTCGTCTACATCCTCATCAACAATGTCTAAGAGTTGCCTTTATTTCCCATCCTCAGCAACATCTGATATTATTTGAGTTTTTAGTAACAGTCATTGTGACTGGTGGAAGATGATATCTTATTGTGGTTTTAATTTGCATTTCCCTGATGGTTAGTGATGTTGAGCATTGTTTATATATTTATTATCCATTTCTATGTGTTCTTTTGAAAATGTCTACTCATGTTCTTTGCTCATTTTAATGGGGTTATTTGGTTCTCGTTGCTGTTGTTGTTGTAGAGTTGTTTGAGTTCCTTGCAAATTCTTCATATTAGTTCCCTGTCACAGACAAAGTGTGCAAAAGTTTTCTGTCATTCTGCAAATTGTGTATTCACTCTGTTGTTGTGAAAAAAATTATTTAGGTTAATTAAGTCTCATCTGTCTATTTTTTTTTAGGTAACAGGAACCTTTCATGCTGAATCTTTGTCAAACAGGATACAGCTTCTGCTTGCACGAACCACTAACAGGGGACATGCCATTTATTAGTAAAGAAGAGGGAGGAAAACAAGGCTCTGAGTCAGATGGGGATGGGAAACGCAGGCCCTGGCAGGAAATGGCATCTCAGCCACACTATCCTGTTCTGCAGAGGTGGGGAGGGAGCACCACTGAGAAGCAGCCTGGGTTCTTGTACAGGAGGCGCCCTGGGCTGTGTCTCTGTGGTATCCGTGCACAGTAATACGTGGCTGTGTCCACAGGGTCCATGTTGGTCATTGTAAGGACCACCTGGTTTTTGGAGGTGTCCTTGGAGATGGTGAGCCTGGTCTTCAGAGATGTGCTGTAGAATTTATCATCATCCCAATCAATGCGTGCAAGCCACTCCAGGGCCTTCCCTGGGGGCTGACGGATCCAGCTCACACGCATTCCACTAGTGCTGAGTGAGAACCCAGAGAAGGTGCAGGTCAGTGTGAGGGTCTGTGTGGGTTTCACCAGCGCAGGACCAGACTCCTTCAAGGTGACCTGGGATAAGACCCCTGTGGAGAAGACATAAGAAGATGAAGCCCACAAAGGAGAGAATAGATTTTTTGCTTCTGAAGTACTACCTGACCACAGCACTCACAGGACGGGACAGTCAGTAGCAGGAGCGTGGAACAAAGTATGTCCATGGTGGAGAGCAGGATTCACTGAGCGAGGCCCTGTCCTCGTCTTTTGAACCCAGGGGAGGGTGGAGCTGGTGGAGATTTGCATCCCCTCATCTGAGCCCTACTCTATGGGGTGCACTCAGGTCTCAGGACTCAGTAGGGGAGTGCATCTGTGGTGAGGAGCAGTGAGCCCTCAGGTGTGGGGGTCCACGTGTGCTCTCCATCAGGGAATCTATCTCATTTCAGCACCATGGCTCTCAGTCAAGTCTTGACGCTCCTGCTTCTACAGACAGGATCTTCTTCGATGCTCCCGCACTGGACATGCAACCTTCTGGTTTTAGTCCTAGAGGATTAGAGTAGAAATCAAGAGAGCTGCCGTTCCTCCTCCCTTCAAGAGTAGTGATGTTGGGCATCTGGCAGGCAAGGGGCTCCCCACAAGCATTCTGATCAAAATCCTCTTTGATTATGGGGAAAAGTGATGAATTTGTGTAAAAAAATTGGAGAGAATAAATAAGAAAATACAGTTACAAGTAATTATGTAAAGAAGTGTGTGCTTAGCAGTGTGTGTGCACACAGCTGCATTCCTAGAGGCATGTTCCATGAAAAATCGATGTTGTCCTTGTGCCCCGTCAGTTCTGTGGAGAGAGTAGACTGCATGAATGACTTCCCTTTTCTCAGCCCATGAATGAGCGGATGCTTTGGACAAGGGAATTGGAAGACTCCTGAGGGAGCAGCAGGCTGACTGTTGCAGCCTTGCTCTGCACCTGCACTGGATGTGGTCTCTGTGCTCATGAGGCCATGGAAACTCATCAATCCAGGTTCAAGAAGTTAACTGCAGAGTTATATTCATTTGTGTTTTCCTTTGTAACAAGAAAGTTCTGAGTTACAGATGATATAGTGGGTGGTCTCCTTAGGGTTGGATGCTGTGAAGCAAAAGAAGACAACCCTAGATTGTAGTCAGAGGTTCTCTGGCTGGTTCCTTGATGCACCTGCTCCTAAATGGGGCTCTGTCTTGGCTGAGTTCTGAGTTTCTTCTGCTTGTCCTCTGCTGCCCATACAGCCCAGATAAAGGAGGGCCAGGGGATCTGCTTCTGAGATGCCCAGTCCTATGTCTGGCTCCAAGCCAGGAGCTCAGCCAGTCCTGGGGGCTGAACCTTGGATCTCTCCTGTGAGACCTCACCTGTGCACTGAGCATCCTCACACCTCACAGCAAGGTGGCAAGGTCAGCTTCACAGAAATTACTGTAGACAATTTTCAGCAAATCTAATTGCAGTTCGACTATATAATTAAGGAATCATTTTTACTGGGGTGTAAGTGACTGACATGTCCCCCCCCACACACACACGCACACACACATAAACAGTATGGACATTAATTTACATTTCCCAAAAACTGGACACATTTTTAATTATTCCTGATGAATTCACAAAATTCTGAGGTTTGAATCAGAAACTAAAATGTAACATTTTCTATAACCAAACTTACAAATGAATAAGATGGGGTCAGAAAAATCAAGATTGAGTTATTACCTGCAGTCTAATGGTGGTAAGTTACATAATGGAGCTGTGATGAGACAGGCTTCCAGGTGCTCTAATTCTTAACCCCTCAATTACAGCTGACCAGCAATCTCTGAGAGTGAGGAAGCTAGAGGTTCCCCACACGGGAAAGCTCTCTGACTCCATAAAACTTCTCTGGGCTTCTCTGCAGGCTCAGAGGTGTGCAGACTCCTACCCCAGATTCTGCAGTCAGGCAAATCCCTGCTCTTTCCCGGGGACACAAGAGATAGTGTGGATAAGGGCCAGATGTGCTCTACTCAAGGTCTCTGCACATGGGGAAAAACCAGTGAAAGTGGAAAATGGATGTTCTTGATTCTTGGAACAATTCCCATGAAAAACTCAACTCTGCACCAGGACCTCATGCACAATTATAAACAAATGTAATTAAAATAAATGTGAAAATTACAATTGTTTGCAGGTGCACATTTGTTCATATATTTTTCCAAAAAGTAAAGTAAAAGCAGGTGTTCTCTATAAAAATCCAAAAACAGCGTGTTGGCCCTGAGAATGCACGTCCCTCCCTCCTCCTACAGGCAGCAAAATGCAGGTGGGTCAGGTTCCCAGCAGCTGCTTTCTGACATCTGTGGCATGGCAGGTGCTGAGGCCCATGTCCTGTGGTCTACTCTAATGAAAGGAGTGACTCTGCAGGGATTCCTAAGCAGAGCCATTATTTCTGGGAGTCATGGGGATCCCCTGAGAGGCAGCACTGACTTGCACAAGACTCAATTATATTTTGCACCTTCCTTGCACAGCACAGAAATATAGGGACCTTCCACCCAATCCAGCTTCCCTCTCTCTTTCACTCAGGGACAGGCTTCCACCATGTGCCATCAGCTTCCCAGCCTCATTCCACCCCCTGTGCATTTTCTCTCAAAGGGATGAATGTATTTCTCACAACGGATGGATTATTCATGAGTCCCCTGGGCAATTCCCGAAGCTGAGGTTTCCTCCCTCCTTTGTACACCATCTAGGGAACCTGCCTGATGTTGCCATGGCATGTGTAAACCATCATGGCGCTGAAGGGAGTGGCTTTCAGCATGTTAAGGCATTATAATGAGCAGTGAGGATGAACAGAAATCACTTTTGTTGCCATCTTGGTTTTGGTGGGCTTTGCCCAGCTTCTTTACTGTAACCTTTACCAGCAAGGTCTTTATAACCTGGATCGTGTGCAGACCTCCTATCTCATCCTGTGACTAAGGATGCCTTAGCTTACTGGAAATGTAGCCCAGCAGGTCTCAGTCTTATTTTTTCTAGCCCTTATTCAAGATGAAGTTGCTCTTGTTCAAAAGCTTCTGACACGAAAAATGTAGAAAGGTATTTGTAATATGAGCATGACTGTATTGCCAAATATAAAATAAAACATAATAATGGCAACAATTTTCCCTGCCACCTTGACTAGACCACAGTCTCACCTACTCAATCACACACTAGCCTAGGTGTTGCTCCCATGGCATAATGCAGGTCTTAGTAGAGCCTGCCACTAATTTTGCCCAAGTCACGAAGAGTGTTCTAGATAACCTAGGTGGGCCTGATTCAATCAGAGCATAACAGAAGACGATGGGACTCCATGCTGGACGGCAGATGCAGGTTTTCCTAGGAATCCCAGCCTGCCTTTCCCGAAGGCCAGCAGTATTGACCTTAGGCTGCCTAGCCAGACCCTATAATTACTATTACCAGAGCTCACAGCACAATGGAGTGTCCATCCTCAGCTCTCCTAAAGTCACAGGGGAGAGCATAAATTCTGTGACAGTGTGAGAAGCACAAGATCAGCTCTACATCCACATCCCTTTGGAGAAAACTAGTATTATTCCCTTCATGACTAATGTTCATTTCGTTTTCCAAACACCTCCACACACAAAATACAGCAGGAGTGTCATCAGCCTATGGTGAGTGAGAAAGTCCCCTCAGCCTACCCAGGTCCTGCAGACCTGATCTCTGGGATTTTGACTACAGAAAACACATCCTCTGTTTTCAGGAAAGAGAAGAAGAAAGGGAACTGTGAGAATCAAGTATGCAGAGAAGGAAAATGGATTAGCAGAAAGGGGGTCAAGTGAATCAGTCTGAGTCATATGTACACAGTTTTACAAGACCAGGGGGGATTGCTGTGAAAACCACAAGGTTTTAAGGACTCTGACCCTGGGTGAGCGTCTCTCTTGGCTCCTATCAGAACTCAAAGCCTGTTCTAATCAGAGATTCCTGTGGAGGTCGCTGCCCTGAGTCTAACTGGCAAACACTCTTCGGGTTCCCCTGAGATTCCTCGGAACTTTCATCCTGCTGACCACAGAAGGATCATCTGCCCCCAAAGTGACACTGTGGCTTCTGTGGAGGTGAGGGTGTGTCCTCCTGTTACAAAAACAAAAATACAAAAAGAACAAAAAAGTTTTGCATTTAGAGACATGAAATGTCAGTACAGAATTGTAAATCTGGAGAAGTTCCCTGGAGAAATTTGACAACGAGGCCGCCCAGGCCATGACAGGGAAGCCAGGCCTCAGCAGCACCTGCACCTGCCCTGGAGACAGCCCCGTGCACAGTGTCCCGGGCGCCCCCTGGTGGTCCTGGGGACCCCTGCAGGGAGGTTTGTGTCTGGGCTCACACTGACTTCCCCTCACTGTGTCTCTCGCACAGTAATACACAGCCGTGTCCTCGGCTCTCAGGCTGTTCATTTGCAGATACAGTGAGTTCTTGGCGTTGTCTCTGGAGATGGTGAATCGGCCCTTCACAGAGTCTGCGTAGTATATGGTACTACTACTACTAATGGATGAGACCCACTCCAGCCCCTTCCCTGGAGCCTGGCGGACCCAGTTCATGTAGTAGTCACTGAAGGTGAATCCAGAGGCTGCACAGGAGAGTCTCAGGGACCCCCCAGGCTTTACCAAGCCTCCCCCAGACTCCACCAGCTGCACCTCACACTGGACACCTGCAAACAAAGAGACAACCTGGTCAGAAACTTCCACACAAATCCACTGTTTATCTCACTCTTATCCACTCACACTCAATTTTTCTATTTCTCCATGAATTACCTTTTAAAATAGCCACAAGAAAAAGCCAGCTCAGCCATGACTCCTTGGTGGTCCTCTGTGTTCAGTCCTGATCACCAAATGAAAACACCTGAAAATCCCAGGGCTGGGGCTCCTGTCCCAGAGCTGCAGGGTCAGGGCTGGGCTGGTTTTCATAAGCAGAGGGAGGGCTCTATTTCCATGTCTCCTACTATATAGTAAGCTCTCTGGTTAGAGGCCTTTGGAGAGAGTGGGGCTCAGAGCACGTGACAGTGTCCTGGGGAGATTTGTGATATTGATAGCATTTGGGAAATTGTGGTTTCTTATGGTAAATCTGCTCTGTGATAAAACCTTAAAACCTATAAATCTTATAATTTTGTAATTTTTATTTTAAAACAGTTCTATTGAGGTACAGTAGATCAACAGAAAGTGCATATGTTTAAAGTTAGAACAAATCATCTTTTATTTTTTCATATGCAGTGAAACCATGGTATGTAGTATCAATGTTATTTCCATGTAACAGATGAAAAATTACCAGCAAAATCACAGATCGGTTGTTCAATCTCCCTAGAGTTCACATTTGGTCAGGGTGACCTGGGTATCTGGGCCTGTGCTTCTCACCACCGAGCCTGACTGCTCCCTGAACTAAGCACAGCACACAGGGCGTCGCACCTACTGAGGTTTGCAGAACCTTTTCTCTGTAACAAGAATATGGTGTGATGTGTACGCACTGTTGTGATTACCTAACAAATGTGAAGAAAAGCACGTTTCCTACAGTTTTATTTTCTTGAGTGTCATACATTTCTCATGTCAGTGTCTGTCTTTCCATCAATCTTTATCTAACAAATTATCTATTCACTTATTTCTGATACCCTTATTGAGGCATTATTGCTGTATAATAAATATTGCATAATTAAAGTGTGCAGTGTAGTAAGCACTGAAGCTGAGCATGGTGGTGCATACATAGGGCAGAGGGAGGAGGATTGCTGGAGACCCAGGGTCTGAGGCTGCAGAGAGCTGTGATCTCACCACTGAGCTCCAGCCTGGATGACAAAGCAAGACCATGTCTCCAAAGGGAAAAAAAAAATGTAATTTCTCATGTGCTCACCTGTGCATCCAAAATACAATAAAAACAACGATGAATTACACTTAAAAGCTTCCTTGTGTTCCTCTCATTCCTGCCTCCCAGTCATTTCCCTCTCACCATACTGAGTCAACCTCTCATCTTTGTTAATTCAGATCTATTTTTCGAGATTTTGTTAAAGTGAAATCTTACATTTTCAATTTCATTTGTGTGGCTTCTTGCACAGCATAATTACTTGTGAGTCAGTAATTTGGTTGTGTATAAAGAATGTGTTGATTCTGATGAGGAAGAGCATTCCAGTTTAAGACAGCAACCATAGTATTTATTTAGAAATCTCCTTAATATTTGCATAATTTCCAGTTTCTGAGTATTACAAATAAAGCTTCTACTCAGCTGGGAGATGTAGGCATCCCATAAAATATATTATTTTTACAACAACAATTAACTTTACTGACATGCAAATTAACACATTTTCTTTAATAAATCAGATTATTGATGTTATAGGACAATCAAGAGACCTTACATCTTGAGAAAATCAGTGACTTGCAGGAACAAACAGAAGAGAATATGACCTTATCTGGGGCAGAGGCCTGCAAATGTCATATAATCTAATGCAAAATTAAATTAGACATATTCATTGGATTGTTTAAAATTGAGTATAATAAAGAAGTTATTGTTTATTCTCAGAGGACATACGACTGAGGGAATCCTATTGCTATTGAAACCTTTTCTGCCAGGATTGAGGACACATCAGAAAAATCTCCAACCTCTCCCTCCCGAGATGGTTCTGTGTGGGAAACGGAACAGCAGCTGTGGCTGAAATGCATCCAGACCCACCTCCCTCACCACCACTACATGACCAAAGAATTAACATGCAGGGGCAAAGCCACTAACACCTCTGTGTTACAGGCACTGGAGGAACTCATAGAATCTGGGAAGGAAGAAAGAAAAGCTCCAAAGCTCTGTCCATTCTCTCAGGAATAACAGCCTCATCTCCCACCTCCTCTCTCTTCCCTCAGGAAAAATAGCCTCATCCTGCTGGGAAGGGCAGAAAAGAGGAAGCTGAAGACATCAGTGGAAGACATAGTGGCTGCTGGAAGAAGATCTGGGAAAAAACAACGAGACCCTCTACCCAGGAATGGGAGGAAGATGCATGGATCAGCATCACACCTGCAGGAGGGGCAGGGATACTTGGAAGGACACGTCCTCAGCCAGGACTGTGATGTCTGCCTGGAGTGTGGCTCCCTCAGAAGGACAGAGAGTGCCCGTTCTGTGCGACCCTTCCCACCACATTGACAATTATCAGGTCCATGTGGCTCTGGGATGACCTGGGTGAGATGAAAGACAGAGTCTCTCTGGAACACACAATTTAAGGCCCAATGCCAAGCAGAAAACAAAATTAAGGTGTCATTAGAGTAATCTGAGTGTCTGGTGGCTGAAGAGGAAATGCACTTAGATTCTGGGAGCCACTGTGACAATGACTTTCAAATGCAGCCCTGACTAGTTTCACACAATTTTCTACAATAAAGGCCAAGAAAAGAAAGAATCTGTCTGCAAAAATTGCAAAAAAATCATAAAACAAATAATTAGCTGATATAATGAACCTGATAGAAGAATCTGTGGAATGTAGATTTTGAAATAACTGCATAAATGCTTTGAAACATTTACACTTGATCCCATTGTTAGTCTATGCATAACTTCATAAGAAATTGCCAACATGTGCTATAACTAATACTAATATAACTAATACTATATTAATATCATGCTTGTAACAAAGACCACAGAGTAGGTTCTGTTAGAACTATCGATGAAAAAGCCAACTTTGCAAAATATTTGGAGAGATTTATTCTGAGCCAAATGTGGGGACCATGCCCTGTGACACAACCCCAGAAGATCTTGAGAACATGTTCCCAAAGTGGCTTGATGGCAGCTTAAATTTAATGTCTTAGAGAGACAGACTTCAACCAATACATGAGAGAAACGTGTTGATTTGGTCCATAAAGAAAAACTGCTAGAAGTGAGTCAGTATGGGCAGGGGATTACACCTTACAGGTGAACTCAAAGATTTTCTGATTGGCAATTGGTTGAAAGACTTAAGTTTTTTTCTAAAGACCTGAAAGCAGTAGAAAAACGTTTCTAGGTTAAGATAACGGGTTTTGGAGAACAAGATTCTTATTATGTATATGAAGTCTCTTTTTTCATATATATATATTTTTTTATTATACTTTAAGTTCTAGGGTACATGTGCACAACGTGCAGGTTTGTTACATATGTGTACATGTGCCATGTTGGTGTGCTGCACCCATTAACTCATCATTTACATTAAGTATATCTCCCAATGCTATCCCTCCCCCCTCCCCCAACCCCCACAACAGGCCCCGGTGTGTGATGTTCCCCTTCCTGTGTCCTGTGACCACTTTTAGAGGCAGTGGATGGGAAATGTTTTCTATTAAGACCTTTAAAAGATACTAGACTCTCAGCTAATCTCAGTATAACAAAAACACCTGGAAAGGGAAGGAGATTCTCTACAGAATATAAATTTCTCTCACAAAAGATAACTTTGCAGGGCGATTTTAAAATATGTCGAAGGAATATTCTAGCCTTTGATTCCTTTCAAAGTCTGCTCTCTGTCATGTGATGCTATTCTTGAGTCAAGTTAGAATTTGGCATTTTGCTGCTACAAAGAATCTGTTTTCTGAGGCTTAAGATCTGTTTTTATAAAAATGCTGGTTAGTTGTGCTTGAATTCCAAAGGGGGGAGGGTATAATGAGGCATTTCTGATCCTCTATTTCTAACATGGCGTGAGCTAGGTTTTCAAGTCTCTGGAACTCCTTGGTGAAGAGGAAGGGTCCATCCAGTCAGTTGGATGCTTAGAATCATAATTTTAGTTTCTAGGACAGATATGAGATTTATCTTAGGGGTACCAGAAAATATTTACGAGATAATCACATTGAAGTTGAGACTTGAAAGATGGTCCCAGATTCTTCCCTGCAAACTTTTTCTCCTGAGACTAGAAGAAGAAAACTTACCAGAAACAAATGTTAACATTTCTTCTATGTTCAAAATAGCCATCCATTAAGAAAACAGTTAAACTTGGGAGACTTATCTTTAGAAACAAGTAGTCCAGTTGATTTCTAAAGTCCTTTACAAACCCACAGACTCTGATTAGTTTACAGATTATGCAGCACATCCCATCTAACGGGTGTAGGGAGACCCCCTGAAACTATTGCTATGGAATAAAAGATGAAATCCTCCTGATTATTGTAAATATAAAATTGCACGCAGGATTGTGTAAAGACAATGCCAGGTTGGACTGCCAGAACAAGCCAACAGCGCGTGATGTGCTTCCCCCTGCAGAGAGCCTGTGAATGGACGTGCAGTCAGGGAGGTTTCACATCACCAAGATTCCTGTCCCAGAAAAGCAGATGTTCATAGCTCTGGGAATGGAATGCGACCCTTGTGGAGAGCCTATAAACGGACGCATGGGGGGCACCTGTCCATATGGATAAGATAGGGCTATAAACGCCCCCATCTTGCCACGGCTCTTCTAAGCCTCTTTAGGGTTAAGGCATACTCCCTTTTGAGAAATTCCGGTCTAACCCGTTGTCTAGCTTCACGTCCTGTTTCATGGATTGTTTGTAACCAGCTTTTGCTGCAACTGTTACTGCTGATTAATATCTTGCTAATCACAGGTTATGGAAAGACTGTGTTTCTGTTTTAAGGCTCTGTTAGAAATTATGGATGCACACACTATATTGTAAATTCTTATCTCTGTAACCTCTACATACAAATGTACTGTACTTCTGCATACAGATGTTATGTTAAAGAATTACTTCATCCTGATGTGACCATCTCACCTCATAATCAAATGATCCTAAATCCCTCACTAACCTACCCCCACCCTTACTAAACTTAATAATAAATGCTGGTATATCCAGTGCATTGTTGGCACCATGGGACCAGAAGGCGGTGACTCCCCTGGACTCAGTGTACACTATCTTGTGTGTGTCTATTATTTCTCAACCTGCTGATCCTCCTGGGAACAAAGAGAGAGCCCCATTGCATTGCAGGCTGCTGGCCAGATCCCACAATAAATGGGAATCTGCAATTAGCTGGATTCCTTGGCATTGGTGTTTTTTTAATGTTTAATTTATATAGATACATAATAGTTCAAAATCTTTAGGGGGTACAATTGATATTTTGATAATAGCATTTTATGTTCAATGATCAAATCTGGATAACTGGGATAGCCTTTATCTCAATCATTGATTACTTTTTGTGTTATGTGCACTCTAAATCTTATCTTCTAGCTATTTTGAAACATACAGTAAATTATTAACTGGAGTTGTCTATGTGTCGCTTTAGCATTCCCAGCAGCAAGGAGTGAAAGTTCCTGTTTTTCAACTTCCTCATCACCGTTTGATATTGTCTACATTGTGTATTTTACCCATTCTCATAGATTAGCAGAATTTTTAAAAATATTAAACAAACATGTACTTCATGAAAATCAAGTTGATCTCTTTTTATATATATTTTTAGATGTGGTTTCTATTCAGGTCTTTGCCCATTTTAAAATTAAATGTTGTGGTTTTATTGTTGTTCAATTGTAAGTTAATTTGTATATTTGTGATAAAATCCCTTTTCCAAATAACGGATTTGCAAGGAAATTCTCCAAATCTATAGCTTACCTTTTCACTCTTATGTAAGGGTTTATTTTCAAAGGCATAGGTTAGTTTATCCATATATGAAAAGAGGATAATTGTAATTCTACATTCTTAGAATCATTAGAATAATGTTGGTTAAAATAATCCCTGTATCCAGCACTTTGTAAGTTTTGGTATAATACCAGTGAGAAAAATTTATAGAGTGTTCTGCGAAGGCCAGAAATCAGAAGGTGATAAAGTGACAATCGTATTTGAATAATCCGGAGATATGAAGTGTATTGGGTATTCATCTCCTTCTATTTGTCTATGAAGAGAAAATGGATAGATGACATCTCCATGTGAAATGGGACACATAGTTTTTAAGATGATTCTGAAGGAAAGTTGCTAATACAATCTCTCAGGTGATGTTCCAACACAGGCTGTGGAGGGGATGGTGGCCGCCGGTGGTTGCTGTGGCCACTATTTTGTCCATGAGAGACATTAGACTGTGATGTACCACATGCAGGCGAGTTTCTTAATCTCAGATAAGGGGAGAACATGAGAACACAGAACACGGGAAAATTGAAGATCTCACTACATCAACCACATTCCACTGAGGAGAACTTGTCACTGAGAGACCCGGGGATGCTCAGGGAATGGAGAGGACTTTGGGGGATGTTATCCATGAAAGAACCGATCCAACTTCGTTGACTTCCCCATGGAAGGAGTGTTTATATGTTTATTCACAGAGAATGGTGGCTTATGTCAGGATTCCCACAGGTTTCAGAAATGGTTCTAATAACAAATGTCATACTTTGTTTAGAATTGATTTATTTTTTATAATTTATTTTCCCCCTCTAGGCAGCACCACAGAAGAATGTTCTCAGAATCCTTCCTGATCTTCTATGAGTTTCTGGTGTAGCTCCTGGAGGAAAAGGCTGTGTGGGAGGGAGCCCTCCTCATGTGCAGCCCTGAGGCAGTCCCGTCAGCTCACCCACCACTGCCCTTCAGTCACTTCCTGAACACTTATGAGTTAACCTTCCTGAAACGTGATATTTGGCAGTGTCTTTCCCAGGTAATAAAATACTTCCATTCTGTTTATCCCTGCAGGCCCCTGTCCCTTTCTGGAGCATGGGTTGCAGTTGAGTGTGTGCTAGTGGATAATCAGTGGGAGAAGGTTTGTGTACATCTTGTCATCTTCCAGAGTGCACCCCTCATGGGGTGGACACTGACAAGCACGCAGATATGCTTGCTCAGCTGAAGGATGACAGACGTTTTTGTAACCTGTGACCCAATCAGGCTCAGGCCTCTGGCTAAAGTGTAGTCAGCAAAGGGTACAGTGCCCAACCCTGAGAGCTCCTTCCACGTGCCAAACCACTTTGTAAAGGAAGCTTTGTTTTTCCTGCCTGGATCTCATGCATGTGTTTGCATTTTCTGCCCAAAGTGCTTTATCCAGAAACACCCACAAGATCTTACAGTGTTTTGAATCCGACTGAAGGGCATTATTCACGAAAGCCCTCATGACCAAAGTCTCCACTTCTCATTAAAGGACATTAATTATAGGATTCAGCAGAAGCCACTGGCCTTTTAGTTGCACAGACCTGCCTCTACACCAGTGGTCCCCAACCTTTTTGCCACCAGGGAACAGTTTCATGGATGACAATTTTTCCATGGATGAGGGAGGCAGGTGGTTATGGGATGAACCTGTTCCACCTGCAATCATCAGGCATTAGATTCTCATAGGGAGCGGTCGCCCTAGATCCCTTGCATGCACAGTTCACAATAGAATTTGGCTCCTAGGAAAATCTAATGCGCAGCTGATCTGACAGGAGGCGGAGCTCAGGCAGTGATGCTCACCCCCTGTTCATCTCCTGCTGTGCAGCCTGCTTTCTATCAGGCTGCTGACCAGTACGGGTTCACTGCCTAGGGGTTGGAGACCCCTGCCGTAAGTGCTTGGAGACCTTATCCTCTTGGTAGGGGCATATAAAACCAGGAGTCAGACGAGCTCTAAACCGCTGTACATTTTATGGACTCTTGAGGAGATCCCCTGCTGTAAATTCTTGGAGACCTTACCTTCTGGAAAGGGGCATAGAAAACCAGGAGTTAGTTGAGCTCTAAATCAATGTACATTTTATGGATTCTTGAGGAAACAGTGCAAAGAGGATCATCCCCACTCACTTTCCCTCTACCTGGCATCATTTCCTGTAACCCACTAGAAGAACCTGGGGTGCTTCAAGGTAATTTAGGCTTGTTATACCAGGGGCCACCAGGAAAGGAAACAATCAAGGTGTCCATGTGGGTTCATCTGTTGCAAGTTATTTATTACTTCAGCGCAGGGTGTTGATCATGGAGAAGTCTGTGCATGTCTTGGGCAGGAGTACATGGGAATGCTGTTTATTCTACTCAAATTTGCTGCAATCCTAAAAATGTTTTAAAATAAAATTAATGTAAAAGGAGTGGCAAAGACATTTTGTTAGAAATGTTGGTCACTTTTTAGAAATTATATTTAGTCTTACCATGTGATCAAGCAATCCTGCTCCAAATGATTTATCCATTCGATTTTAAAATTTATGTCCTCACAAAGGAATGTTTGCATCCACTCCATTGATTGCTGCCTTTCCCACTCTGTGAATGTTACTTACAGGGTGAAAGTTGAAAAGATTATTTCCTATATAATTGGAATGTATACATCTTTCTATTTCTACTTTTACTCTGTGACTTAACCCATCTTCTAAACACTTTAAACCTCATAAATGCTGTCATCTTTTCAGCCCCAGCACAGCTGCCTCCTTCCTCAGGGTTTCTGACACTCTCAGCATGTGGGTTTTCACACTGTGTCTGTTGCACAGTAATACACGGCCGTGTCCTCAGATCTCAGGCTGCTCAGCTCCATGTAGGCTGTGTCTGTAGACGTGTCCGCGGTTATGGTGACTCTGCCCTGGAACTTCTCTGCGTATATTGTTTCACCATCTTCAGGATCAACAAGTCCCATCCACTCAAGCCCTTTTCCAGGGGCCTGTTGCACCCAGTGCATGTAGTAGTCGGTGAAGGTGTATCCAGAAACCTTGCAGGAGATTTTCACTGTAGCCCCAGGCTTCTTCACCTCAGCCCCAGACTGTACCAGCTGGACCTCGGCGTGGGTGCCTGTGGAGAAGAGAAAGGAGTGGATGAGACACCACTTAACTGGACCCAGTCCCCTCATCAGCCCTGGAACTAAGGATTCTCTTACCTGTAGCTGCTGCCACCAAGAGGAGGATCCTCCAGGTGCAGTCCATGGTGAGGTGCTGCTCTCTGGGGGCTTCTGTAGGGGAGGGATGTGGCTGTTGTGTGATGCTCTCTGGGCAAGGACAGATCTGTATTTACCTCGGTAGACACCACTGCATTTGCATATTCATGAGGCAGGTATTTCATAGCTTAGGCCACCCCACCCTGGGGAAGAAGATAGGTGACACACGGACCATGCCACAGTGGGACACTGAGCTCCCTGCCCTGAACTTTGTTTAATGATATTTGTCCTCTGACACACTTAGAAGTCCATGAAGACAGAACTCCTCTTACAGAAACCCAGAATCTCACAGGGCATTGTCCTCACTGTGATTTCTTGTTCCTATGGCTCACTGACAATCTGAACTTTTCCTGGGCCTTGCCCTCTGCACATCTAACTTCTGGGATGAGTGTGTCTCCGGAGAGTAACACCCATTGAATTAATAAAACCACCCCTCAATTCCTAACTATAAATACATTTGAAAGGCCTAGACATTTCTCCTTTTAAATGTGTTTTGCGTTAAGTTATTGGGTTTGGTAGCCTCTGTGTATGCAAGAGAATACTAAAGACACATCAGTACTTGCTAAATTCTTATTTAAATTTTATGTCATTATGGCTTTGAAATAAGGAATATTCAATCCCTGAGAGAAAACCCCTCCACAGCCTCCTGTGCACCTGCTCCAGAGCTGGATCCTGTGCTGGGTGCATCCTGAGCGCCCCCTGCAGCTCAGCTCCTGCCCTGCAGGGAAGTTCTTTTCTGGGCTCACAGAGCATTTTTCTCCCAGCATCTCAAGCCCAGTATGACCTGGCTGTGCCCTGGCTAAGAATGCTCCTTCAGTGACAGCAACTACTTCTCACATCACTTCTTACACTAGAAAATAGACCTTAGGAAACCTAACATATCCCACAGGGAGACCTTGGCACAGGAAGCAAGGAATCACTAAATCCACCAGGGAGCCCCTTCCCTGGAGCTCCAGATGCACTGATATGGTCCAGACACATGGCGAGTCCAGGAACTGATGGGGACTTTGGGGCAGCCTCTTTTTTTTTTTTCTTTAGGATTCTGTGGTCGAAGTTTACATCAGATTATCACTTTACGCACACACCTTATGTTTCAAGGTCCACCCCCCACCTACCCCCCCCACACACACTCACGGTGGCATATTTGCACAGTAACAAGCCTCCAATTTGCTCTCCTTCCTAGTGTCTTGCCAATGAAAAGTGCTTCCAACACTGGCGTTGGAACTGGGGTTCTGCAAGCCCCCTGTTGCCCTGAGCATGCCCTGCTGGTCATGAGCGCCCCCTGGTGTCCTGAGTACCACCTGGTGGTTCTGAGCTCCCCCTGGTGTCCAGAGCGCCCCCTGGTTTCCTGAGTGACCCTTGGTGGTTCTGAGAGCCCCCTGGTGATCCTGAGCAATGCCCCCTACAACACACACCATGTCCTGAGCGCACCCTGCTCTGCTGAGCACCCTCTGCTGTCCTGAGTGCCCCCTGGTGTCCTAAGCACCATTTATCACAAAGTCCTCTCTTGTCTCCCTGCAGGGAGGTTTCCGTCTGGACTCACAGAAATGTCCCTCGCTGTATCTCTCACAGTAATACACTGCCTACCCCTGTGAGAGCCCCCTCAGCTTCCAAGTAGATTATTTTAAGGGAGACTGTGCTGGTAATTGGTGTCCCTGGGAATTGTGAATCTTTATTGTGCTGATGCAGAATATCACTGAGAACTTCCACTTGAATCAATCACTGTTACCACCCTCTCCAGCCTCTGTCCCCCAGCCATCTGGACTCAATTCATGCTGTAGTCAGTGAAGGTGAATCTTGATGCTTTGCAGAAGAGGCTAAGAAAACAGCCAGGCTGTTTTGCCAAAGATAAAAATATAGATCCAGTAAACATTTGAGGTTTCCCAGGAAGGTGGGGAGAAGGTGTGTGGATTAGGTGAAACACATTTTTTAATCACAATGAAGCTATCTTTTTTTTTTGAGACAGAGTCTCACTCTGCCACCCAGGCTGGAGTGTGGTGGTGCGATCTGTGCTCACAGCAACCTCCACCTCCTGGGTTCGTGCCATTCTCCTGCCTCAGCCTCCTGAGTATTTGGGACTACAGGTGCCTGCCACCACGCCTGGCTAATTTTTGTATTTTTAGTAGAGATGGGGTTTCATTGTGTTAGCCAGGATGGTCTCGATCTCCTGACCTCGTGACCCGCCCACCTTGGCCTCCCAAAGTGCTGGGATTACAGGTGTGAGCCACCATGCCCGGCCAATGAAACTATTTTTATGATATTCAATGATGGACACATGGCATAAAGAATTTCTGAAAACTCATATTTTTTGAGACAAAGTGTTAACCTAAATGCATACAACTTCGAAAGTATTTAGCAGGTCATGAAACACAAAAAAAGACAGCTGTATAAAAATATCTAACAACAATCAGAAGGTTTGAACTAATTACCCTGAAGAAGGTGGGGCATAAATATTGGACACAAGAAACTTGGAAAGAATTTGATGTTGCGATTGTAAAATATAAATAAGCTCCACATAAGCACTGTATTCTAGTTGATAAACATATTTTCAACAAGGGTCAGTTTAACAATCCTAAAGACGATTTGTGTATTTTGAAATTGTGCACTAAGTAAATTAATGTCATATGGTAGGAGAGGTTTTCTCATTTTGGAGTGTGGGATTATGGACAAGCAGAGAAAGAAGGCTATGAATGTCTATGTGGATGACAGTAGTGTGTAAAAGCCAGTGTGTTCTTAGGTTTAATGTAATATAGTTACAGAATATTAGACACATAAACACTTAAATTTTGAATCTTTGTGGGTAAATAGTACATGTATATTTTTATGGGGTACAGAACTCTGAATCAGCATGAACTGCATAATAATCACATTATGAAGAATAGTTTATACATCCTCTCAAGCATTAATAGAGTTACCAACATTCCATTCATAAACTTTTATTTTAAAATCTATAATTAAGTTATTGAGGACTATACTTATTCTGTTGTGTTATCAAATATTATGTGTTATTTATTATTTCTAATCACCTTTTCTACCCATTGACCATCCCCAATAATCCCCATCTAGCATAGACCTTCCCAGCTTCTGGGGACCATCTTTTCCCTCTCTATCTCCACGAGTTCAATTGTCTTAATTTTTAGCTTTCACAAACAAATGGGAACATGTGAATTTCGTCTTTCTCTTCTGGGCTCATTTCAATTAATATAATGAACTCCAGTTTCATCCATGTTGTTGCAAATGATAAAATCTCATTTTTTTATGGCATAATATTAACCCATATCCTATATGTACCATATTTTATTTATCCATTCATGTGTTAATCGGCACATAGGTTGCTTTCAAATTTTGACTGTTGTGAACAGTGCTTTAACAGCGCTATTACAGACATGGTAGTGCAAAAACATTTCCTTTTTAGGGGTATATACCAGCAGCAGGATTGCCAGATTATAATGATAACTATCGTCAGGTTTTGAGGAAACTCTAAGCTGTTCTCTATAGCGGTTGTACTAATTTAAATGCTCAACAGTTTATGAGTGTTCCCATTTCTCCACAGCCTCCCAGGATCCTGATGTGGAGCTGCTTTCTAAGAGATTCTTCCTGTTCTGAGTGCCCACTGGTGTTCTGAGCGCCCCCTGGTGTCCTGAGCGTCCCCTCGTGGTCCTGAGCTTCCTTCCCCTCGCGGTTCAGAGCGTCCCTTGGTTGCCTCAGCGCCCCCTGGTGGCTCCAGCACGCTGACATGTCCTGAGGTCCTCCTGGTGGCCCTGAGGGCTCCCTGGTGGTCCTGAATGCCCTCTGGTGCCCTAAGAGCCCCCTGGTGGTTCTGAGCGTCCCCCGCTGTATCCTGAGTGACCCCCTGGTGTCCTGAGCGCCCCCAGCTGTATCCTGAGGGCCCCCTTGTGTTGAGTGCCCGCTGGTGCTTCTGAGCAGCATCTATCATGCAGTTCCCTCCTGTCTCTGCAGATTTTTGTGTCTGGGCTCGTGCAGATAATCCCTCTCCTGTGAACCTCACAGTATTACACAACCTTGTCCTTGGCATTCAGGTTAGTCATTGTAAGGTAGAGTGCACGTGAAAGGGTGTCGCTGGACCAGTTAATTTATTTGTACTCATGAAGAGTAACCCTGAGCACTCCCACTTGCTGACTCACTGTTGCCAGCCACCACAATCCCTGTTGTGAAGCCTGCTAGACCAACCTCAGGCTGTTGCCAGCAAAGGTGAATCCAGCCACTTTGCATGAAAGTCTCAGTGAATCACTGGGCTGTACAACGTTTACCCCTCTGACTCCACCACTGAACTTCATACAGGACTTCTATGAACACAGAGGAAATAGACTGAGAACAACCCTATGAGCAGCCACAGCTGGACCTGATTTACAAGGGACACTAATATTGAGGGTGATGAGAAGGGAAACCCAGATCAGTGCAGACTCCATAGTGTGAACACTGAAGAAAGACACAGATATGGGGTGGCTCCTCACCAGGGCCTGAAGGAACAGGGGATGAGCTGCCTTTCATGAGGAGGGGATGGGACATATTTCCACGTCTTTCTCTTTGTGGTCGTAGGTGCACCACTCAGCGTTGCTCATCCATCCTCTGTGTCTCCATTTCAGGGAAGGCAGAGTCAAATGATTCCTGCATCTGGATGCACAGGGTTAATCTGCCCATTGCTCTTTCTTATTCTCTAATGTGGACACTGTTCAGGTATCTTCATGTGAGCAAACATTGTCAACAAATTAGTCCAGTAAGAACATAAGAAATACATTTCCAGAGAAAATGGAAATCTGACTGTAATCAGTGCATTTATAGCTGCAAACGACTGTTTCTGACAATGAGAAGAAGTTATGTTACAATGGACAAAATGCAGATCCACAGGTTTTCAGGGTTGGAGTTTATAATTATCATTATCTTGAGATCATTTTGTCGCAAGACAGTTTAACATTGGATATATGTGCTTGTGTCAGGAAACAGTCAATGTTGAAATATGTGTACTTATCTGAGTGAAGACTTCATTCACATTGAGACATGTTTGCTTATCTGAGACAAGAGTCCACATGAGGAAATGTCTGTTTTCTGAGGAAAGTGTAAATGTAAGGACATATGTGGTAGTCTGAGGAAATAGTCCATGTGGGGACATTTGTGTTTGAGGGAAGAATCCACATGAGTGAAGCTGTGTCTGTCTGACAGAAGAGGCCACATATTGACAGGTGTGTACCCATCTGAGGGCAAATGCCCATTCAGGTCAGTGTATGCCTGAACTAAGCTGAAGTTAGGGGAAAATCTTTCTCAACCAATGAAAGAAAAGAATCCTTTGGGTTATTTGCTTGTCGGGAATTAAAAACAAGGGTAAGGTAGAAAATTGATTTTTTTAAAATAAAAGGTCTTCAGTGAATGGAAACATTGTATATGCAAATAAGGAAAATTACTTCATTCTTTGTTGCATGTATCTCATAACATCCCCACTCTCACCAAATAAGTTATTGGATAATTTTATACAGTCTGCATTTAATCCTGGGGTTAATGAACTGCTGAATTTTTTTAAATTGAATATATTTAAGTTTATATTTTCCATCACAAAATTATTAGCTTAGACAAATTAGTTATGTCATATCTCAGCCATTGCATATCACTAAAAATAGTTTTATTTTTCTTAAACATCACTTTTTTTTGCTTATTTTATACCCACTCTCTAAATTCCTGGAACATCCTCTATCTGTTTACTTGACTATAGTTTAAGCATTTATGGAATTTCAAATAAATGAAATTATACAATGTAATTGAAATGACTTCATTGAAGAATGTGGAAAATGAAGTTGCTGACCTAAGCAACTCAGAAAACGAGGAAATTCCATAAGTTTAATGTGTAAAAAATCTGCACATAAGCACTCTATTCTAATAGATAAACATGGTTCCAAAAAGGGTACAGCTTTACACTTTAGATACTGCTATGCATGTGTCCTGAAACTGTGCAGCTAAGTAATAAAATTGCATATGGTGGAATGGGGTTTCTCACTTTGTAGTGAGTGGTTATGGAAACTCAAGGAAAGAAGACTAGAAAGGTCTCTGTGCTAACATAGTTGGATGGAGAGACCAGTGTGTTCTCATTTTTAATGTAATAGGGTTACAGAAGATTAGATACATAAATAGTTTCAATGAGTCCATAAACTTGGGTTCATATAAACATGCACGTTTACTGGGACCGTTGTTTGAGAGGTTCTAGAAGTACTCATACCACATTAACAACACACAGAGCCAGTATCACAATGTTTTATTTTAATACTATTCTTTAACATCAGAAACATGCAATCTTTATAAAAGTGGTTGATTCTATGTAAAAAAAAGGTAATAAAGAAAACAAGCTTAGAATTTATGGTAATACCAGGAAATACGCAAGTTTTCAAAAACAAAAAAATGAGGTGTGAGGTGTGCTGTAAGGATGCAGGATTCAAACAAAATGAGCTCCCAGCACCTAATAAAGCTGTGGTGCTTTGAACAATTAAATGAATGATGTAGCATGGATCTTTTTCAAAGTATAAAATGGACATCCATCAACCAATACTGATATTAATAGATGATCAATTAAAAAATAATAGGAAGAAGAACACATCTCCTTACAGAAGTATTCCAAATACATTAGATTGATGGTCCTCCAATCAAGCAGGTGAAGTTTAAACACTCATGAGTTGATTGTGGCCTGAGATTAGAGATATGGAAAAAATAATGACTATTAGTTTATTTTATAATGAAACTTCAGATATAATGCCAAAGACATGATCTATGAATGAATAAAATTATATATGTTTTCAATCTAAATTTGTACAAACACACACACACAAACACACACATTTTTCTGCGATACCTACTGATAAGGGAGTAAAAGGCAACCACAGACTTGGAGAAAGTACTTCCTGTGGGGTTCAGTCAGGCTCGTGGGAAAAATTTTAGTTATAATAGCCACAAATCCTCGTGGAAGGCTTGAGAGATTGCATAACTTCAGTAATAAATCTGGCTGAAGGCAGCCTAGTCCCCTTACCTTTAGTTTAGTAAATTTGAGTAGAAACAAAAGAATGTGGGGAGTTTATCTAACTAGCTTGTTCACTCATGTGGTCCTAAGACTCACCTTTGATCTACCTGGATGGTCAGTCAAGCTGGCAAAGCAGAATATCTGTGTGTCAGTGTACTTTATTCACCCGTTGTTGTGTCAGGACCTGCAGGACAGACCCCCACAGCCGGTGCCCCATGTGAGGATCGCTGCAAAGGGAGCGTGACAGACCCCATGAAAACGAAGGTTGAGGAAGACTGCGTGGTCAAGTCAGTAAAACAGTAAGTCATTGGTGCCCACTTGGGATCTCCAAGTTCAGGGGAGATTGTTCAGGCTGAGATTTCATCATGGGACAGCAGTTATCAGCTCAACACAAACAGCATATAAAAGTATTGTAACAGTTGCTTAAGGCTAGGGGAGCATCAGTTTCGCAGGCTCAATTAAGGCACCTAATGAAAACTGTTGTCTCACATAATCTGTGGTCCCAGAAGAAGGAAAGCTAGAAGTAAAGCTCTGGGAACAAGTAGGGAGAAATCTTGAACAACATTACACACAAGCGCAACGGGTCCCAGCATCATCTTTAACACTATGGGCTTTAGTAGAGATGGCTTTAGTCCCATTATACAAAGAAGAACCCAAAAAGGGGAAGGAGGAAGAAACGTCACTTGCCTTACCACCTGCTCTTCCCAAAATAACAAAGAGGAAATGGAGGTTTTGCCTGAGCCCCCTCTTTCAATAGATAGAAAAAATAGAGGAAATACACTACAGCTATATGTCCCTGTCTTCGACAAGCAGCATTAAAAGGGGAGCTCTTAGACTGCCCAGTAATGCAAGATCAGCAAGGCAATCAGGTACACAAAGGGTTAAGAAAAGGCATTAGGGGCAGGAGCAAGTGCAGGAAGCTCCCCTCTGCCGGCAGCAGCTGCTGAGCAGTGTGGGGAGGGAGCTGGCACAGAGGAAACGCGGTGGCGAAAAGTGGCTTCTAAGCAAGCACAAAGCGGCAGCCGCCCTGGGACCCGCCTGCTCCGCTCTCTGGCTCCGCAGGCGGCCCAAAGCAAAATTTGTTATGTTCCTTGTACACAAGCTACATCCCAGATTATAATTCTATGCTAATAGTTAAGTAAAATTCAAGGATTTGAGAAACCTCTTTCTAATAATGACCACTGTTATCTCTCTCTTATTCCTAACATGACTCCAAATCCAGTTTAAGTAAAACAGTAACCTCTAAAGGGAGAGACATTACAAAAAGCCCCTAAGTTAGTTAGGGAGCAATTAAAAGCAAGCTTTGCTCCCTAGTAGAAAAAAGTTTCCTGGCTACAAGAGTATTCATTTTATGGGTAATATTCTACTAACAGCCCTTAGAATTTACCCATTTTCATCATTCCCAAAAGGCCTAGTTAACGTGTTACCTACAAAAATAGTTTACTCCCCCATATTTAATGCTTTAGCACTGTTTACTGATAGATCTGGTAAACATGGAAAAGCAGCAGTCTGGTGGACACCACACAATTCATTCACTCAATCTGGGTTTACTAGCACTCAGAAAGCTAAAGTTGAGTCCTTAATATTGGGTCTAGAGAACTTTTACAGCCCTAATTAAGTCAACTCTGGAGCCAGCCCTGTGGACTCTTTTTCTCTGATTTCAGCAATTGCTAAATCAAAGTACACATCCTATTTTTATTACACACATTCCAGCCCACAGCTCACTGCGTGGTCCATTAGGTTATGACAATAATCAAGCCGACCTTCAAGTTATGATATCACTGCTTGACCAAGCCACCCAATTGCACCAATTTTTCCACCAAAATTGGAAAAACTTATCTAAACAATTCCAACTTACACAGAGACTGGCTAAACAAATTATCTTACAATGCCCAGATCGCCAGCTCACAGGTACGTCTCTTCCTTCAACAGGTATTAACCCTAGAACCTAATCTGTTGTGTCAAACAGATGTTACACACATCCCTGAATTTGGAAAACTTAGATAGGTACATGTATCCTTTGATATCAACACTCATTTAATTAGTGCACATACTCTGGCTGGAGAGTCTACTCGATATGTCATTAAACATCTTCTTTTATCTTTTGCATTTATGGAACAACCCACAAAAATTAGAACCGATAATTGTCCAGGTAATGCCAGCTCACAATTTCAACAATTTTTTCACATGTGGAATATACGACATTCCACAGGTATCCCATATAACCCCCAAGGACAAGCAATAGTGGAACGTGCCAACTCCACCCTTAAAATATGCACAAAAAACAAAAACGTGGGAGTATGGGTACAGACCCTGCAACACTTTTGGCACAAGCCTTATTTTTTTTTAATTTAGAAGACAAATTTGAATCCGCTGTAGAAAAGCACTTTGCTAAAATTTCCCAATACATGAAACCTGCAGTTTTATGGAAAGATGTAAACAGTAATGAATGGTGTGGTCCAAGTGAATTATTAATGTGGGGAAGAGGGTATGCTTGTATCCACACCCCCTCGGGTCCTCTTTGGGTTCCAGCACGACGCATCAAACCATACCAGGACATTGCTAGGACCCAACCCAGTACCAGAAATGAAGGAGTTAACCCTACAAGACCTACAGCCCCGGACGATGCAGCTTCTGTGAACAACACAATCCCCAGACATTACCTGGGGGATACTGAAAAAGACAACTCAGGAGGCTGAACGAATCCTGCTCCAAATGCAGACACCATTTACTCCAGATAATGTGTTTGGTGCTATGCTTTCTGTTGTACATTGCAACTCATGTAGGGTATTAATCCTTTTTATGCTCTCACTTTGTCTGCAACCTGTACCTGCTACACTCTATTGGGCCTCTATCTTAGACACACCTTTCTTTCACCCTGCCAAATGGGAAGACACTCCCTTCCCAGCCTATAGTAACGTGACTGCTTGGCTAGGAGGGATAGATTTACCCCACGTGGGGTCCCTCAATAATGGCACACATTGGACTAAGGTGGCAGATAACACTATATGTCAATCCACTATTATCCTCCCAGTGTGTGTAAGTTATAAAGACTCTAACCCTTACTGTGTACCTGCCCAAAAACAAGTATGGTTACATCATAGCAAAGGAAATGCCTTAACATTCTTAGCTGCAGATAGCCTCAAACTGAGCAATGCAATCCATGCCGCTGCTTCTTTCCCAAACATTCCTTCCTGTGCTAAGGAACAAAGCTGGGACAGTAATCGGTTCGACTTTAGCTGGGAGGTCTGTCATGGGAGACGAGCCCATAGCCTCCAGTGAGGTAATTATAACATCTTAGACTGGAGACCCAACGGCTGATTGCAGGGCAGCCTTACTAATACCTTCATCCATCAGAGCATCAATCAGTTTCATAGCCATGTCTTTTCCCCTATAATTTGTGCCAATGGGGGGATGGCACATCCAAGGCCCCAAGTAAAGTCCATGCCGCCCCAAGGTACTTTATGGTGTCTGGGACATCTTAGCACCTCCCTTAACACCTGGCATGGGACATACCATATTTCCCGTTGCAACTATGCTATAAGCTTTATTCATAATCACACTGATCAGTGCCTAATTTGCACTACCCATCCATACGATTTCCTTATGGGAACTAACATTTCCATTACACCTCAAAACTCCACGTTTGTGACCTGGATGCAGGGACAGGCTTGGTTTGCCTCATGTATCACTAATCACAGTATATCTAACTTAAAAATTACTAGCGCCATGGTATTAAAGAGAAAATCTGAGGCATTCTTACCAGTCAATCTGGCATGCAATTGGCAAGGTTCCTATGCCCTTGCAACCTTAGAACGTGCCCTGTCCCAGGTCAGACACAAAAGATTCATAGTTACACTTATGGCCTTTATAGTCTCAGCCATAGTCATCCTGGCAACAGCTAGTGTTGCTGTTGCATGTATTATTGACTTAGTGTAAACTGCTGCCTTTTTAGATAATCTGGCCAAAAATGTGTCTAATGAACTTCTCTTACAGCAAGGTATAGATCAAAAAATTATCACACGTCTGCTAGCCCTTGAGGCTGCTTTAGAATATGTCAGGGAGCGACAAGATGCAGTGGCATTCTGACAGCATTTAAACTGTGACTGGGAACATGAACATATCTGTATCACTTCTCTACCACGGAATCTATCAATACATAGTTAGGATGAGGTAAAACAATACCTCTGGGGAACCTTTCATGACAATTTAACAGCAGACGTAAAGTAAGTTCAAACTAAAATTTTAGAATCTCTTCACGCAATAGATCTACACCCCCAACAAACAGTCATATGGAAGGGTGTGTGAGATCATCTCTCCTGGTTAGACCCCGCTCCTGGGGGTCACTCTGACTGGAAAAGAATGTTGCTAATTCTACTCATGATTGTTTTATGTTATTTGCTAATTCTAGGATGCAAAGCCAGAATAAGAGCAATGACTGCCACACCTGACAGACATGTTGCTGCGCATATCTGCACGCTCCAATCCAAAAGACCTGATGTAGAAAACAAAAAATGGGGAGATGTGGTGGTCCAGTCAGGCTGGTGGGAAACATTTTAGTTCTAATAGCCACAAACCCTCTTGGAAGGCCTGTGAGTTTGCATAACTTTGGTAATAAATCTGGCTGAAGGCAGCCTAGTCCCCTTACCTTTAGTTACATAAAGTAGAGTAGAAACAAAGGAATGTGAGGAGCTTATCTAACTAGCTTGTTTACTCATGTGTTCCTAAGACTAACCTTTGATCTACCGCGGGTGCTTAATTGCTTTCCACTCAAGAGGTCCACAATGTCAATTACCTTCTAGTGGTGTTTACTCACGGCCTTTGTCAATTAATCTTTACTGAATAAATGTAAGTCTCCCTGACTGATCGAGGCGGTGGCTGTGACTAAGTGGCCCAGATGCTCAGTCGAGCTGGCAAAGCAGAATATCTTTGTGTCAGTGCACTTTATTCATTCGTCATTGTGTCAGGGTGTGCAGGACAAACCCCTGCAACTTCCAAGTCACATATTTGTTAAATGAATTCTTTTAATTTGTTAATTAACTTTTATAATCAATATGCAAGTAAACTTACAACTAATCAAAAGAAAACAGTGCTATTGAAAATGAACCAAATATCAGGAGAGGCATCTAACCAAAAATTATATGAAAATTGTTAAATATGAATTTTATTAGGGTCATGTGCATTTAAGCAAAAATTAGATACCATTACTCACCTATTATAATGGTTAAAACACACAATTCTCATAATGATAAATGGTAATATAATGTGGAAACCCAAGAACAATCATTCATTGATGGTGGGAATTCAAAGAGGTACATGGTCAAAATGAGACTCTTTTTGGCATTTTTTATAGAGACAAAAGTAGAGTTAAAATGTGATCTTGCGTCTCTGTTCCAAAACATTTACAACACTGATTCAGAAATTGATGTTTACAAAGATACCTTCAGAGGAATTTCTATGTCAGCTTTATTAATTTGATTAATTCTCCAATCCCTAGAATTTGCTTACAGAATAAATGTTGCATAAGAAATCTCTCAAATAATTACAATTTCTCAAATACACATTTATATTGTTCCTTTTTGTAAATGACTTAATGCTATTTTCTAAGAAAGTCTTCAATCTAATAATCTTTGTCATCTCCTCCATGCCAGCACAGCTGCCTCCTCCCTGGGGTTCCTGACTCTCTCAGGATGTGGGTTCTCGCACCGTGTATCTTGCCCAGTAATACACAGCCGAGTCCTCAGATCTCAGGCTGCTCAGCTCTATGTAGGCTGTCCTCAGGGACATGTCCCTGGTAATGGTGACTCTGCTCTGGAACTTCTTTGCATAGTTGATGTTACCATTGTAAAGTGTGATCCATCTCATCCTTTCAAGCCCTTGTCCAGGGGCCTGTTGCAACCAGTGCAAGGAGCAGTAGGTGAAGGTGTATCCGGAAGCCTTGCAGGAGACCTTCACTGAGGCCCCAGGCTTCTTCACCTCAGCCTCAGACTGCCCCAGCTGCACCTGGAAGCAGACACCCATTGGAGGGTGGGACACAGGAGTGGATGAAAGCCTCCTTGACTGTACTCAATCCCCTTCTCATCACTGGGACTTGGGAGCACCTTACCTGTAGCTGCTGCCACCAGGAAGATTAGCTCTAGGTCCTGTCCATGGTGAGGAGCCATGCTCTCGGAGGATTCTCTAGAGGCGGGATGTGATTGTTGGGTGACGCTCTCAGGGCACAGACCATATTTACCTCAGTGGATCTCAGGTATTTACATATTCATGAGACAGGGCATTTCATAGCTCAAAGCCTGATCCATGATAAGAAAGGGAAGACAAATGACACATCAGCCTTGCAAGAGTGAGATGCTGATGGTCCAAGCCCTAATCCTGCTTGAGGAAATGCATGCCCCTGTCCATTTAGGAATATTTGTGGACAGAGGTCCTTTCACTGAAGAAGAAGCCCCCTCAGAACGGCCCCTCACTGTGAAACTACATTAGATTAGCACAGAGACCACTTGGATCATTCTGGGGACCATCTCGGTCCATGACACAGAGCAGGTGCCTTGGCCCTATGCTGGACCCGTCAGACACCAGCACAGCTCACTGATGACTCTGAGCAAGTGACGCTGATGTCCCACGTGAGTGGCCAGCACGTTCTTCTGAGATCCCTGGGGCGCTCCTGAGACAGTTTCTCCAGAACCTTCTTGGTGTCCTGATTCCTCAGGATCGTCAACAGAAAAACTCTTAGTTTACAGATTTGCCCTGTGATGCATAATTGGAGATGATTTTCTTATGTCATGGACACTAGGATTCAGAAGTTGAAACAGGAGTTAGGAGTTCTTTATGAACTCATGCTCCCATAATAATTTCAAGGGAATTTGTGTTTGGATAAGTTTGGGTTTTATTTCCTACTGGATTTATTAGAATTTCATGAACTGTTTACATACTTTCAGTTCATGTGCATAGATCCTCATCTTTACATGCTGATTTCTGACTCACTCTCAGATCCACACTCTCGGATCCACCACTGCCCTGTCACTCACACAATGTAGGCAACTTTACTTAACACTGAAATCTGAATTTTTTTTTTGGAGATGGAATCTCGCTTTGTTGCCCAAGCTGGAGTGCAGTGGCGCAATCTCAGCTCACTGCAAACTCTGCTTCCCACGATCACTGCCAGCAGCATTGTCTGAGGCTGTAGGTCTTGTAGGATTAAATCTCCTGCCTCAGCCTCCCGAGTAGCTGGGACTACAGGTTCATGCCACCCCACCTGGCTAATTTTTTGTATTTTGAATAGAGACAGGATTTCATGGTGTTAGCCAGGATGGTCTCCAGCTCCTGACCTCGTGACCCCCTCACCTCAGCCTCGCAAAGTGCTGGCATTACAGGCATGAGCCACCAGCCCCAGCCTGAAATCTGAAATTATTATTCATAGAAATATAGTGACTCCCATAATTCTCTCTGCATTGAATTAGTAAGACCATCCCTATTCTTCATATTCTCACTATTAAGGTATTTATAATCTTAGAAGCCGACTTTAAAAAGATAGTTCTCCTTGTCTTGAATTGTGGGAGCAGCTCAGATGTGATAGAATATTTAAAAAGATAGTTCTCATCGCCTTGAATTGTGGGAGCAGCTCAGATGTGACAGAATATTTAAAAAGATAGTTCTCCTGGTCTTGAATTGTGGGAGCAGCTCAGATGTGATAGAATATTTAAAAAGATAGTTCTCCTTGTCTTGAATTGTGGGAGCAGCTCAGATGTGATAGAATATTTAAAAAGATAGTTCTCATCGCCTTGAATTGTGGGAGCAGCTCAGATGTGATAGAATATTTAAAAAGATAGTTCTCATCGCCTTGAATTGTGGGAGCAGCTCAGATGTGATAGAATATTTAAAAAGATAGTTCTCATCGCCTTGAATTGTGGGAGCAGCTCAGATGTGATAGAATATTTATAAAGATAGTTCTCATCGCCTTGAATTGTGGGAGCAGCTCAGATGTGATAGAATATTTAAAAAGATAGTTCTCCTTGTCTTGAATTGTGGGAGCAGCTCAGATGTGATAGAATATTTAAAGAGATAGTTCTCATTGCCTTGAATTGTGGGAGCAGCTCAGATGTGATAGAATATTTAAAAAGATAGTTCTCCTGGTCTTGAATTGTGGGAGCAGCTCAGATGTGATAGAATATTTAAAAAGATAGTTCTCCTGGTCTTGAATTGTGGGAGCAGCTCAGATGTGATAGAATATTTAAAAAGATAGTTCTCCTTGTCTTGAATTGTGGGAGCAGCTCAGATGTGATAGAATATTTAAAAAGATAGTTCTCATTGCCTTGAATTGTGGGAGCAGCTCAGATGTGATAGAATATTTAAAAAGATAGTTCTCCTTGTCTTGAATTGTGGGAGCAGCTCAGATGTGATAGAATATTTAAAAAGATAGTTCTCCTTGTCTTGAATTGTGGGAGCAGCTCAGATGTGATAGAATATTTAAAAAGATAGTTCTCATTCCTTGAATTGTGGGAGCAGCTCAGATGTGATAGAATATTTAAAAAGATAGTCCTCATCGCCTTGAATTGTGGGAGCAGCTCAGATGTGATAGAATATTTAAAAAGATAGTTCTCATCGCCTTGAATTGTGGGAGCAGCTCAGATGTGATAGAATATTTATAAAGATAGTTCTCATGGTCTTGAATTGTGGGAGCAGCTCAGATGTGATAGAATATTTAAAAAGATAGTTCTCATCGCCTTGAATTGTGGGAGCAGCTCAGATGTGATAGAATATTTAAAAAGATAGTTCTCATGATCTTGAATTGTGGGAGCAGCTCAGATGTGATAGAATATTTAAAAAGATAGTTCTCATGGTCTTGAATTGTGGGAACAGCTCAGATGTGATAGAATATTTAAAAAGATAGTTCTCATCGCCTTGAATTGTGGGAGCAGCTCAGATGTGATAGAATATTTAAAAAGATAGTTCTCATGGTCTTGAATTGTGGGAACAGCTCAGATGTGATAGAATATTTAAAAAGATAGTTCCCATTGCCTTGAATTTTGGGAGCAGCTCAGATGTGATAGAATATTTAAAAAGATAGTTCTCATCGCCTTGAATTGTGGGAGCAGCTCAGATGTGATAGAATATTTATAAAGATAGTTCTCATGGTCTTGAATTGTGGGAGCAGCTCAGATGTGATAGAATATTTATAAGGATAGTTCTCATCGCCTTGAATTGTGGGAACAGCTCAGATGTGATAGAATATTTAAGGGCACACCAGCAACTTATTGAATTTTAGCTTTTTTCTCCCAAAGGAAGACCCAGCCCCTGAGAGGAAACCTTCTCAGCAGCCTCCTGTGCACCAGCTGCAGGGCTGGAACCCGTGCTGAATGGCTCCTGAGTGCCCCCTCCCGCCCAGCCCTTGCCTTGCAAGGAGGTTCTTGTTGGGGCTCACAAAGCATTTCCCCCCAGCTTCTCTAGCCCAGCGTGAAATGGCTGTGTGCTAGTGTAGAATACTCCCTCAGTGACACCATATGCTGGTGACACCATCTCTTGAAATAATTGATCAACTTTACTAAACAGATTGAACTCTGCCATGAGACTCAAAGCAAGGGTTCTATGACACAGGACAGAGCCCCTTCTCTGAAGTTCCAGATGCACTTAAGCAGTGGACCCACAGTGAATACAAAAACTTGCAAAAGATTTGGGAGTGCCTTCTTTCTTCATTGGGCTCTTGCAGGTGAATGTAGCATTGGAAAATACCAGCAGGTGCAGATTGATCGAGATGAAAGCCCGCTCCATATCCACTATTCCAATAACACTATAACACTATAACAATAACTTCCTAATAAGGAAGAATTTTCCCTTCTTCCTAATGCCTAGCCTATAGAAAATTCCTCCTACACTGACACTAGGCCCAGGTATCTGACTTTTTTCTCCTAGAGATCTAAAGGTCAATGAGGGAGTTTCCAAGACCTTGATCTTAAAAATGGTGATGTCAGAGGCTTCAGATTGCTTTGTCGTCCTTGTCCTACTCTCTGCCTTTGTCCTTTAGTTTTCCAGTGTTCTTCTCACATAGAGTCTGTGCATTGCCACACTTCCATCTTTAATCCAGAGCTATCACACTGGTTAGAATGGATTGTGCAGTGCAGGCAAGCACTGCCTGTTTTGACAATGGAAACCTAGAGACGCGATCGGCTTCCTCTTCTGGGCTGTGACTTTGACCAGGAATCTCCAGGGGAAAAGCTACTTTGGCCATTACTCCCTTTTGTGGTTTCAGTGCCCCTGGACTATTTACTTACATCTTACCCCTATTGGCTAACTTTGCTCATGTGTATAATAATGGAAGAATGGGAGAGAAATCTGGAATGGGAGAATTGTCTTCCTTTACATAGGACAAGGTTCTCGAAAAGTCCTTCCATGTAGAAGCTTTTGAAAAAGTCTCCCGTAATATTTTTCAGTAATTAATCTTCTCCGATCTGACAAATAGGAAATGTATTTGGATAGTATTTTTTAGAATCTGGAGGTTTCTGGTGAGAAAGTCCATAAAACATAGAAGTATAAGACCCTCTGGAACAGTCACATTTACTGAGTCCACATCTGTCTTTAAGACAACTATAGTGCTTATCATGTAAGTGCCCTCAACAACTTGTGGCTTCTGTAGATTCTCTTCCAGTTAAACAAGTGTCAACTGCCATTCTGGACATGGCTGTCTATCCAGGTTCTTGAGTGGGTATTTTTTTTTCAATTTCAGTTACTTAGCAGATTCCAAAAAGTATTGGCATTCAGATTATGCAGATTTCCTTTGACATAAAAATGAATGTGATGAACATCATAATCTATGTGTCAGTGCATAAACCAAAAGTACAATCAAAGGTCTCCATTGATGTGTTACTGGAGGCAGAATTCTGATCTTATTACGTATAACAGGCACCTGGTATGACATAAATGAACAGGCAAGAAAACAGAGTAAGGACATGGCAGAACACTTATGAACAAGTCTCAGCAATTTTAATTTTCTTCTGAGGAAGTTGAAATTGTGAAAGTGAAACAGTGGGACTGGTCATGTCTCAGGTGATGTTGTCTTCTGGAAAGTGTCTCCAATCCTGGGCTGCATCCAGTAGGTGCACCTGGGCTCCCGAACCTGAAACATGGACTCTTATTCCTTAAACACAAGACATTCCAATGAGAAAGCTGTTCTCAGGTGAGCTACAGAGCAGGGAGCAGGAGATGTAGGTGTCCTTCGCTTCCTAGAATTACTGAAACTTGAAGACCAAGGCCTCCCCTGAGGGGCAGAGATCCACCTATGAGTACATCACATCAGTCTGTCTTCGGGAATCTTTGGCTTTATGGGAGGATAGGAAATGTGATTTATTCCTTTCTGCTAATGCAGTGTGCATCAGAGAAAATGAGTTGAAAATTTAATAAATATTTTTTTCCATATTAGGGGAGAGAACATGTATAAATCACGACAATACAAGTGCTCACTACAGAACCTGCAGGAGGAGCAAGTGCACAATTGAGAGAAGGCAGCGCCCTGCCCGAGGAAGCAGGTGCCCTGAGATCATCCCCTGGGAACTGTGCTCTAGGTGCCGTGCGCCAGTGGAACCTGGGCTGGGGCCTGGGATTTGTAGGTGGTGTGGAGAGCAGAGCGCAGCTCCATTCCTCCTCACTGTGTGACCTGGGATGTGGCATCTTCCTCTGAGCTTCATTCGGACAAGGTGTTAATATAAAATTGCAGCATTAAATTTACCTATAACCTTTCAATTAGGAGCCAGTGCTGTTCAGAATTGTTATCACTACTGTTGTCCAAACCCTTAAATATTATAAAATACCTGTGTGACCCCTCATCTCAGACCTCAGATGACCACATTGCAGAGAAGACACCTGCTTTGTTTCTGTCACGAACATGGTATTAGAACGGGAAAGTATGTGTAACCTTGTTATAGATTTTATGTTAATTAAGTTACAATGGGTAAAATTAGAATTAGTAAGTGATACTTAAAATTTAGCTTTGGGGATTTCTAGCAAAGTGTGGATGGTGTGTTTTGATTTCTCCTTGCTTAATATAGTATAATGTGAGAGGAGGAGATAAATTAAAGAAGAAACTATCCAGCAATGTGGAATCAGGTATTTTATATATAAAGAACGTTCTCACCTCTTCTGGAAACCCCATAAACTTAAAAAAAAGTGAAGGAACTTTAAGACATATTTCTATATTCTGGATACTTGACTAATAAAAACTTAGATTTAGGTGCAAAAACAGATACATGGAAGATGAAAATTCTGCAGCAGATAATTTTGTCAAGTAGGCAGCTTTATACTAGTTTGTAATTTTACCTAAATATCCCAAAGATAAACCCCAGAGAGATCCAAGTAAGAAATTATAACATTTCAATGTTAGATGACTGGTTGAAAGAAACTTGAACTAACATTATTTTGATGAATCATAACTCAATAATAAAACTGTGTCTAATGGTACACCTTTTCAAGAGTCTGCTTGAGTAAATAGTTTCTACCTCTCCTACTTGGGAGTCCTGGCACAACCCAATGTTCTCTAAACCTGGGGGCCACTAAGAACAGAGGCAGCAGTTTGAATATTATGAAGTTATTATGAATTTTTGAGAGATCCACACTTATTGACTGGGGTGATTGGTGAGGGTGGTCTCTATGACCCTAGTCTTTGAAGAGTGTGGCTCTTTGTTATGATGAGCAAAGAGCTGTTTGTTATGATGAACAGATAGCAAGAAAGACCGTCAAGGAAAATGAAGAAACACGGGAACATGGTCCAAACAGACAGACAACATAGAGGTCCAGAATCTGGCATCAATGAATATAAAACATATTGATGTTCTGGCAGAAAATTTGAAGTAAATATTAGAAACATGTTTAGTAAGCTAGTGGCAGCATGCAAGAACAAAGTGAGAATTTTAATAGAGATAAAAAAATTTAAGAGAGGACTAAACAAAAATATTTGTGTCGAAGAATACAATAAGTCACCCAACAATTTTAACAGAGCACACTGTGGGAGAGGCTCAGGCTTTCCTTTCCCCTAGAGCAGGCAGCCCTGAAATTTCCCTAGACATGAATCACTGTTTCCTCCCGCCCACCTTCCACATTCTCCTCAGAGATGCCCCTGGCTCCGGAGTTCAGGTTCTCACACGTTGTGTGACTTTGGGTTAAAACACACCTGAAACACTGAGTGGCTGTTGTCCTTGATCACTTCATCATCGTCCCCATTTTAGTTGATGCGATTTTTTTACCTCATTTGAAGAAATGAAAATAAATATGTAGACTCTATCTAGGCCAGATTTTCTTTCTCTCTCTTTCTTTCTTTTCTTTTTCTTTCTTTCTTTCTTTTTCTTTCTTTCTTTCCTTACTTCCTTCCTTCTTCCTTCCTTCCTTCTTTCTTTCTTTCTCTTTCTTTCTTTCTTTCCTTCCTTCCTTCCTTCTTCCTTCCTTCCTTCCTTCTTTCTTTCTTCTTTCTTTCTTTCCTTCCTTCCTTCTTCCTTCCTTCTTTCTTCCTTCTTTCTTTCTTTCTTTCTCTCTCTCTCTTTCTCTCTCCTTTCTTTCTTTCTTTCTTTCTTTCTTTCTTTCTTTCTTTCTTTCTTTCTTTCTTTCTTCCTTTCTTTCTTTTTTTATGGAGTCTAGCTCTGTCCCCCAGGCTGGAGTTGAAGTGGCACAATCTCGGCTCACTGCAAGCTCCGCCTGCCGGGTTCACGCCATTCTCCTGCCTCAGTCTCCTGAGTAGCTGGGACTACAGGCGCCCACCACCATGCCCAGCTAATTTTTTGTATTTTTAGGAGAGACGGGGTTTCACCATGTTGGCCAGGATGGTCCGGATCTCCTGACCTCGTGATCCGCCCACCTTGGCCCCACAAAGTGCTGGGATTACAGGCGTGAGCCACCGCGCCCGGCCTAGAGAGATTTTCTTATCTCTCTTTCCCTTGATAGATGTGAATGTAGCCCCAAATATGATAGGAATCAGTAGACACTGCAGCTCTTACAACACTTTCTCGGTCCGCTGGTCCAACAGTGTGGGCACCACCGTAGCACAATTATTTTATGAGACTAATTCTGTATCCAATGCAGACACAGTTTTTTTATGTACTGGGACCTCCAGTCCATCACAGCCTATGATTATGGGGAAGGAAGGAAACATTTTTCAAATTTCCATCATACATGTGGTAAGAGAAACTCATATTTCTGTCCAGTGGTTTCCAGACCCAGGTGTTGTAGCTCCTGGCCAGGGGGCACTGTAGTGCTCTCTGTTTGGGGGCATGTAAGCATCCTGGAGAATAGTATTATCCTCAAAATGGCCCTTCTTTAGAGATTAAATTTCCTGCTATAAAACAGAGGCATAAACTACCTGCTGTTTATCTCACATCAGACTGTGGAGACCTAAGTCAATGCTTCCATTGTTCTGCTGGGGTCTTTGTTTCTGGGCAAATGTGAAGGAGCAAGAACTGCTGGATCGCAGACTCATGTTCCCGTGATCACATCTCCTGTCCCTTAACTACAGCTACATTCCCTCGTGTCAGAACACATTGTGCAATGTCTCATTCTAGGGAATAAGATATTCAGTAACTTGGACAGTGACTCTAGTAGTTTCTCTATGATTAAAAAAATGTGGAGATAAAAGTTAATTCTTCTAAGTATAAATTACTACCTATCAGGCTTGGGCTTTAATTTTTTCAAATTGTCTCCATATGACTGGTGGGTATCCTTACAGTGTGAGTTTTTTTTTAGACAAACGTGATCTCTATTGCTGTCAGTTCAGGCACTTGGTAAAAGGTGCTGGTCAGTCTGGTTGGAGGTACCTGGGCTCAGTCTTCATTATACATATTAGGGAAAGCTCTGATATAAACAGAGTGGATGCTGTCACTTATGTAGCAGTATGGATTAAACTGCAGAAGATCATCATACTATGAGGTCTCCATACCCTTTTACACAGCAGAGTAGATTTCCCTTGCTTTCAGCTGCCTGCTTACTTATATTAAATATTACTGCATGTACTTTTACTTTACCTTGTTTTCTATTCTAAGCTATTGCCTTCTTATTTAATTAAAGTAAGCAACAGTAAATTTTAAAAATAACAATCATTACCTGTAGAAATAACACAAAATGGACATGATGAATAAGCCAAGTAGAGACACCAGAAAACAAAGCTAATAAAGAAACACATGTGTAAGTTTAGAGTAGTCAGTGAGCACCGAAACCATGAAGAGCTTGTGTTGACATTTACACGAACAAAGTCAGTTATATTTGACATCCAGAAGGCTGGTCACACCCATGAGAGAAATATGTAGAGTGGTCCACCTAACTCAGAAATTAGAAAGTGATAAAGTCACAAACTTACAAAACCAGCAAAAACAACATTCAGTGTATTTAGTATTGAGCTCTGTTTCTTCAGGAAAAGGGATGGGTTATATCTGCATGGAAAATGGGACAAGTATTTTTTAAGCTGATTCTCCTGGGAAGTTGCTAATGAAATCATTCCAGTGATGCTCTGACACAGGATTTTGGAGAGGACGTTGACCCCTGGTTGTCGCTGTCAGCAACACGGGTGCTCAACCCTCGTGGGTGCCTTTGTTACTGTTTTGTCCACAAGAGATTTTAGGCTGTCACGTGCTGCATGCAGGTGAGTTTTTAACCCTCAGATGAAAAAAAATAACATGACCACCAAGAAGATGAGGAAATTGAAGACCTCACTTCATCAATCACATTACACTGATGAGAACTGTTTACACAGAGAGCCAGGGATGATCTGGGAAGAGGAAGGGGTTGGGGAAGATCATCCATAGAAGGACACATCCAGCCTGCTTGAACTCCCTGTGGAAGGAGGGTTTAAATATTTGCCCTCAGCTACTCAGGGGCATTTCAAGACCTTCACAAGCTTTCAGAAAAACAGTTTTCATTAACAAATGCCCATACGTTACTCAGAGTTTTATTTTTCATCATTTATTCTTCCTCTCTAGGCAGCTCCACAGTAGGGTGTTCTCAGAATTCTCCCTGATCCCCCTTGAGTTCCTGGTGAAGCTCCTGGAGAAAAGCCTGCATGGGGGAGGGAGCCCTCCTCATGTGCAGCCCTGAGGCTGTCCCATCACCTCACCCGCCACTGCCCTTCAGTCAATTGGTGAACATTTCTGAGCTAATCTTCCTGAAACGTGTGGCTTTGGGCAGTATATTTACCAGGTAATAAAACCCTTAAGCTCTGTTTGTTTCGGCAGGCACGTATCCCTTTCTGGAGCACAGGGTTGTTTTGAGTGTGTGGTAGTGGATAATTAGTGAGAGGAGGTTTGTGTGCATCTTGTCATCTCCCAAAGTGCACCCTCCATGGAGTTGACACCCACAAACAAGCAGATGGACTTGCTCAGCTGGAGGATGACAAACATTTTCATAACCTATGACCTCAGTGGTGCTCTTTGTCTGCAAGACCAATCATGATCATGCCTCTGGCTAATGTGCACTCATCAAGGGTGAGCAGTGCCCACCTCTGTGAGGGCTGCTTCAGGTGCACACTCCCTTTGTAGAGGGAAGCTTTTGTTCCTACCTGGGTCCCATGCATGTGTTTGCGTTTGCTGCACAAACCCCCTTACTCAGACTCACCACCCAAGAGCTTACAGAGCATCTAATCCAACTCTAGGGCATTATACATGGAGTCTCTCATTGCCAGGGTCTCCAATTCTCATGAAAGGATGTTCATTATGGGATTCCCCAGAACTTTCTGGTCTTTTAGAGACATGAACTGGCCTCTAAAAGCTTAAAAAAATCTTACTGTCTGGGAAGGAGCATTGTAAACCAGAAGTAAGATAAGCTCTAAATTAATATATATTTTGTGGATTTTGGAAGAAAGAGTTCAAATAGTAATAGCCTTACCCACTTTCCCTCTGACTAATATCAGTTCTAGAAAACACTGAAAAAACCGTGGAATCTTGAGATACTTAGGCTTGTTATATTAGGAGATCACCAGAAAAAGAAAGAACCAAGCGTCCTTGGAGATTCCTCCATTGTAACTGATTTGTGACTGCGGTGCAGGATGGTCGTAGTGGAGGAGGCTGTGCCTGTGTAGGGCAGGGAGTCATGGGAATTCTCACGCCTCCTGTGCAATTTCTTTGTAATCCTAAAACTGCTGTAAAATAAACTTTATGATAAGGAGTGACAGAAACATTTGAAGGAAACTTTTGGCACTTTTTAAGAATCATTCTTAGTCTCACCACATGATCAAATAACCTTGCTCCAAATCATGTATTCATCCAATTTGAAAACTTGTTCACAGTAGCACCTTCATGGAATGTTTGTATCAACTTTATAGAGTGTGGCCTTTTCCACTCTGTGAATCTGGCTTATATTACGACTCTTGAATGGAATAATTATCTTAAAATTAGAGGAGTATGTACTTGTTTCTACTGTTCTTTTTTTCTCAAATATATAACCCATTTTGTAAACAGCCTTAAACCTAATAAACCCTGTCATCTCCTCAGCCCGGCACAGCTGCCTTCTCCCTCAGGGTTTCTGACACTCTCAGGATGTGGGTTTTCACACTGTGTCTCTCGCACAGTAATACACGGCCGTGTCCTCAGATCTCAGGCTGCTCAGCTCCATGTAGGCTGTGCTCGTGGATTCGTCCGCGGTAATCGTGACTCTGCCCTGGAACTTCTGTGCGTAGTTTGCTGTACCAAAGATAGGGATGATCCCTCCCATCCACTCAAGCCCTTGTCCAGGGGCCTGTCGCACCCAGCTGATAGCATAGCTGCTGAAGGTGCCTCCAGAAGCCTTGCAGGAGACCTTCACCGAGGACCCAGGCTTCTTCACCTCAGCCCCAGACTGCACCAGCTGCACCTGGGACTGGACACCTGTGGAGAGGACACAGGGGTGAATAAAATCCTCTTTAACTAAACCAGGATCCCTTCCTCAGCCTTAGGACTAGGAAGCCCCTTACCTGTAGCTGCTGCCACCACAAAGAGGAACCTCCAGGTCCAGTCCATGGTGATGAGCTGTGCTCCCAGGGGCTTCTTTAGAGGAGGAATGTGGTTGTTATGTGATGCTCTCAGGGCACCAATATATCTATATTTATCTCAGAAGACCTCAGGTTATTTGCATATGCATGAGGCAGGGTATTTCACAGCTCAAAGCCTGATCTACGATGAGAAAGAAAACACAGATGCCACATCAGCTGTACAAGTGTGGGATGCTGAGAGACCAAGCCCTAAATCCTGCCTGAGGAAAAGCATCTCTTGCCCCATTTCTAAGCTTTCTGTGCACAGCGCTCTTCCCGCTGCAGAACAAACCCCAACCCCAGGATGCACTCCTCACTGTGAACCCACATTTTATTGGCCTAAAGATTACCTGGGTTTTTTGTGGGACCATTGCTGTCTCTGACATTGAGCAGGCACCTAGACCCATCCTGGTCCCATTAGGAACACTCAGAGCTCACTGGTAACACTGAAAAGGTGGCCACTCGTTACCCTACATGAGTGTCCAGCAGGACCCATGGAGAGTTCTGAGATCTGCTGGACACTCCCAAGACAGAGTCCCCAGCACTTTCCTGAGGGTCCTGACCTCCCAGGCCTTCAAGGGAAAGACTCTTGGTTGACAGATTTGCCGTCTGATGTGTGATTGGTTCTGAGACTTCCCTCCCATTGACAGTAGGAATCAGGGGTTGAAGTAGAAATAGGAATTTGAGTTTCTTGATGAACTCATAGCTCCCAAAATAATTACCAAGTAATTTGTATTTTGAATAAGTTTGTGTTTTATTTCAAACTGCATTAAATAGAATTATTTGAAGTATTTTCATGGTTTTAGATCATATCCATAGATCATCATCTTTACATGTTGATTTCTGTTCCGCTTGGTCTGGGCACCTATCACACTCTTCAATCCACTGCTTCCAAGTCACAAACACAACGTAGGAAACTTTACTTATCTCTGAAGTCTGAATACCTTCTTCATAGGAATATAGTGTCTCCCACAGTTATGTGCCCATTGAATTAAAAAAAAACCATCCATATCCTTCATATTCTCACTATTCAGATATTTATTATCCTAGAACCCCACTTAGAAATATAGCTCTCCTTGCTTTTTGAGTGATATAAGTGGCCCAGTTTCCATATCCTTCATATTCTCACTATTCAGGTATTTATTATCCTAGAACCCCCCTTATAAATATAGCTCTCATTCCTTTTTGAGTGATATAAGTGGCCCAGTTTCCATATCCTTCATATTCTCACTATTCAGGTATTTATTATCCTAGAACCCCCCTTAGAAATATAGCTCTCATTGCTTTTTGAGTGATGTAAGTGGCCCAGATGAAATAGAATATTTAGATGAGTATCAGCAACTTGCTGAACACTTAATTTAGAATGACTTGTTGAATAAGGAAGACTCAGGCCCTGGAAGAATATTTGCTTTTATTTATCTCCAACAAATAAGGGAGAATATATAATATCTGGTTTTCTGTTCCTGAATTAGTTTTCTAAGAGTATTGACTGCCAGTTCCATCATGTTCCTACAAAGGACATAGTTTCATTCTTTCCTTAGCTGCATAGTATTCCATGGTTGTATGTACCACATTTTTCTCTATCATTCTGCCAGTGATGGGGATTTAGGTAAATTCCATGTCTATGCTATTGTGGATAGTGCTGCAGTGAACCTACATGTTTATATTCCTTTAGGTATATGTCCAGTTGTAGGATTGTTGGGTCAAATGAAACTTCTGTTTTAGGTTATTGGAGGGATCACCACACTGCTTTCCACAATGGTTGAACTCATTTATATTCCCGCCAGAAGTGTATAAATTTCCCCTTTTTTCTGTAACCTTAAAAATCTGTTATTTTTTTTTTAAGATTAGCCATCCTGACTGATGTGAGACGGTACCTCATTGAGGTTTTGATATGTATTTCTCTAATGATAGTGATATTCAGCACTTTTTCCTATGCTTGTTGGCCACATGTAGGTCTTTTTTGAAGTGTCTTTTCATGTCCTTTGGTCACTTTTTATTTCTTGAATGTTTGTTAAATTTCCATGTATATACTAAGTATCGGACCTTTGTCAGATGTATAGGCTGCAAATATTTTATTTCCCATTCTGTAGGTTGCCTGTTTTCTCTGTTGATAGTATCTTTTGCTGTACAGAAGCTCTTTAATTTACTTAGGTCCCATTTGTCAATTTTCAATTTTGTTGCAACTACTTCTAGCATTTTCATTATAAAACCTTTGTCAGTTCTTACCTCCTAAATTCTGTTTCCTAGGTTATTATCCAGAGGTTTTATAGTGTTAGGTTATACATTTTGATCTTTAATCAACATATAATTTTTTTCAATTGATGCTGAAAACGCATTTGATGAAACAACATCCTTTCATAAAAAAACCATAAAAAATGGGTATAGAAAGAACCCATCGCGACAAAATAAAAGTTACATTCGAGAGACTTTCAGGTAGTATCAGGTTGAATGAGAAATAACTAAAAGTCTTTTCTCTAAGATCTGGAACACGACAAGTTTCCCACTTTAACCACCGGTAAAGCATAAACCCTTCTGCTGCCACCATAGCCGGCTCTTACCTGCGAGCACCACCTACTGGCCTGACGTTCAAACTGCATGACCTCATACAAACTCAATACCACCAGTGTACAGCAGTTGAAAATGAGATTAGCTTCTCATTACTTCGGTGATTCCAACCCCGCAAAAGACCACGGGCCTGCTCACATACCCAGTATATTACCACTACAACGGGAATTTGAAAAAGCCACCACACTAAAGCTCTTAATAACAAAAGAAACCACACTGAGTAGATGCCCCTCAGCTCGCCATTTCCATCAAGGCTGGCGCTTTTGCTTGCCAGGCTCGGTGGCTCATGTGTGTCCAGCTTGGTCCACCTCTCAGGGGCTGAGCAGGGAACTCAGGTCACTGTGCATTTCATAGACCAGTCCATCGCCTGAGGCAACAGAGAGCTTCTCCCTGTGCACAGATATCAAGCATGTACTCAACTGCTTCTACCAGAGTCAGCTCTAATCTGTAAGACATCTACTAATGTGGAGGGTGAACTTAACAACCCAACACAAAATCTGCTGAAACAAAGGCATTCCAAATGAGAAACAGTTCCTGAGGCCTCCACTATCTAGGACCTGCAGCGGGCAGTGAGCCTACTCACAAGTCCAGTACTTTGGTACTAAAACCACCATTTCAGAAAGCCACTAAATAATGGCTATCTATAGACAAGGAACTCTTACAGAGTCTTTGCCACTAAGTAAACCAAGAACCAAAATCAAAATACCCACACAATGTACATTATATTCACATTCTAAAGGGAATTAAATATTCATCAAAATCAGAATGAATTAAAAAATAAGAAGAAGCGATAGTTTAGCTAATGAAAAGCAAACAGATAAGCAATTCAGGAAGTATGAAAAAACAGAGTCACAAAACCCCAAATATCACCTTAACTCTCCAGCAATAGAATCTAAACAACATGACATATTTGAAATGTCTGATAAATCATTCAAAATGTTGATTTTAAAGAAGCTCAATTAAACCTTTTTCTCTAGTGGCTCAGTAAGCACCGGCACTGAGACAAGCACTATGAAGACAATTGCAGCCCACCCCCTGATGAACTGACCCCCTGTTCCGCAAACCATAACCCCAGCTTTGATTGAACACTAGAGTGATATCAGGAACTTTCTCCTGATCCAAGACCACTGACCATGGCCTGGCTCTGGCCGTTTACAGAAGCTGCACACTGAGTGCCTTTGTGTCTCTGCTTGTGCTGTTTGCACATAGGGCCTCACTGGAATGAATTTAAATGCTAAGGCTCCACTGGTAAGTGAACAGGGGTCATATGTTACAGACATGTTTGTTCAGTATGCATGTGTCAGGACCACCTCCATGAACATCTATAGCCCCTCCTGTAACCTGTTGATTATGTCTGTTTAGCCAAACCCTTCAGCATAAAGCTTCTGCCCAACCCCTTCTTCCTGGGAGTGCCTTTCTCTCGTCTTTACCAAGAGCTATGCTTTCCAGGATATGGGATGGCTGTAACCCTTGATAAAAATAAACTCTCACTTTCCTAAATTGTAGATTGTGTTTTTTTTTTTTATTTAACACAACTGAAGATTAAATTCCGAAGTTCACCTAATTATAAGGCTACTTGCACTGGATGGTAACTCCCTCTGCCCCAATGCCCAGCATGCACTTTTTCCTGGCTGCTGCTGGCTGACCTTTGGAGTTCTGTTGAGCTGGGCTGTAATGCTGAGTTAAACACCGCACCTTTTATAGATTTAGCTGATTAACTTCAGAAGCATTGGTAACTTATTGACATTGAGAAACAGGAGTAAGTGACTGTAGGTGACTCTGCCTTTGGTGCATGTGAGAAAGTTTTTCTCTTGTTACGACAAATGTTTCTTCTTCAGAGACTTCACAGGAAGAACAGGATAAGGAATCCAGAGATATGCCACAAAGGAAACTGTTTTATGGAGAGGAAGCCACAGGGTTGACAGGAAACCAGAACTTAACCCGCATCTGCACCTGCCCTGGGGCTGGCTCTTGTGTTCAGTGGGTCCTGAGCGCCCCCAGGTGGTCCTGTGCCCACTTCAGGGAGGCTTGTTTCTGGGCTCATACTGACTTTTTTTCTAATTGTTTTCACAAAAATGGAGACAGAGTAAATGGTGAATCCATGCATCTCAGAGAACACAGAACAGCAGAATAACACCCCATGCTCCCCCCACACACATTTAGGTAAATCTTATTAAAATTGTTGAAAACCAAAGACAAATAGAAATACAGGCAGACAAGTGGAGGTGAGTAGAGGGGGCATTCCTTCCAAAAGAACAGAAAAGACCATGACAGCATTCTTCTGGTTAAAACCTTATAAGCAAGAAGAAAATTGATGGTGTCTGTAAAGTGTTGGAAGAAAAGCCAGCCCATTATTTGATAACCCATGGATGTTCGCTATGAAGTGAAAAAAAAAAACAGTTCTATTTCTCTTTGACAGCATGAGGGGCTCAATGAATCCATGCCCTCATGAGACCAGTGAAAATTATTTTGGGAAATTACAGGTTTGGAAAGACTCTAACAGCACACAGTGAGTGAAGAAACATTTATTCAGGAAAATCTAGAAAACTCAGTAAGGCCAGTCATCATATTTGATCTAAGATGCTCTTCCTTCCTTCCACATCCCAGCTCAGCATGATGTAAACTCCACTGCGGACAGATGCAGCCAAGAAGACAGGACACCTTCTACCAACTCCCACCAGAGGAAACGCTTTCCCAGGGGCCAGTACGTTGGCCCTCTGACCCTGCACACAGCACATGATGCTGAGGTTCAGTGCTGGACGAGAGCTACTGAGAGCCAGAGACTCACTTCTTCCATAGAGCCCCACTCGTGGATGGAGGCTCTGCCCTGGGTCCAGTGCCACTGGGAACATTCAGTCCGCGGTTTCTAGCTCTGCCCTATGGCACCGATTCCGCCCCACCAGAACCAAAGTGCTGGGATGGTGGGAAGCTTCTGCCCAACCCTCCAATTAGCGCTCATCTCCTAGGCTGAGGAAGAAAAAAGCTCAACTTCGTCTCCACCTGCAGAAACTTGGTTATGCACTCTGTCCCAGGAGAGAAGGGGCACTGGAATTCAGTCATAAAATATGATCCTTAAGTTGGTCCTAAACATCCTAACTTCAATAACAACAGAATGCGGAAAAGTTCAAAGCCTGCCTGTGCTCTCAGAAACAGTGGAGGGTGTGGGGGAAGGTGCTTGGAGGGAGATGGGTGGATGCACGGGAGATGCAGGCTAAACTGCAGGGCTGCTGGCTTGCAGGAGAGAACCGAGGAGGTGGGAGAGCTGAGGGACGTTCTCTTGTGGTTGGAACAAATGCCGGACGCTGTTCAAAGGAGCCCGTGTTTGTTTCGTTCAGTCTGTGAAGCAGTTCAAACCTCACTGCATGGTTGAAAATAGGATTTTCCATCTGCAAGTGGTGGAGCTCAATATCTGGGTCTGGTCAGGAAAGAGACACAGAAAGTCCAGCCCAAACCACTGACACCTGAGGATGACCGTGGTGCTTACAGCTGTGTCCCTTTGATCTTTGAGACTGGCTTCTCTCACTTAGCACAATGTCTGGAGTTCACCTGTAATAGTTTATGTATCGGTCACTTGTTATTTTTTTATTGCTGGTGGTATTCAATTTATAGATGCTTCCTAGTTCTTCACCTATTCAAATTTTGAGACATTTATGTTATTTTTACTTTCTAACACACATACACACGATATCTTGAATATTTGAATAGAAGTTATGCGTGAATGTAAGATTGTTTTTCTCTGATGCAAATATTCAGGTGTTAAGGGTATGTTTGATTTTAGAGAAAACTAAAAATTATTTTCCTGAGTATCTGTTTCATTTTGCATTCCTGTTAGCAATGTTTTAGCCTCTAGCAACCTGGTATGCTCACCAGCATTGATGTTATCTGTATTTCTTCTTAATTTCAGCCATTTTAAAAAGTGTACAGTGGTGTCTCTTTGCGGGCTTGATTTGAATTTCTCTAACGGAAAATCCTGTTGAGATCCTGTTTATATGCTTCAGTGTCATCTGCACATCTTCTTTGACGAAATGTCTGTAGAAACCCTTGCCTAATTTATCCATCAGTTGTTTCTTTTTTATTCACAGTTGAGTTCTGAAGTTTCTTATTATAGTTACATTGGTGGTTATTTGACTCGCAAACAGTTTCTCATCTGTAACCGGGCATTCATTTTCTTACAGTCATTTGAGTAGAAAAAGTTTTTAAATTTAATGAGGTCAACTAATATCAAGTTCATTTATTGATCATATTCTACATTTTAATTTTAAGATCATTGGTCAATTCTTAATTATTTTATATTGTGCCTGTTATGTAATGACTCATCATGCTCCCACCTTCTGCCCGCCCATCCTTGTAAGTCTCCAATGTGTGTAATTTCTCTCTACAAATCCTTGTGTACACGCTGTTTACCTCCCACTTACAAGTAATAATGTGTGACATGTGACATTCTGTTTGTGAGTTAGTTCACTAATTATATTGTCCCCCACTTCTATGCATCTTGCTGCAAAAGACACAGTTTCATTCCTTATTGTGGCTGACTAGTATTGAATTGTGCATACATGCTATATTCTTTTATAAAATCATCGGTTGGCAGACACTCAGTTTGACATATGTGCTATTGAGAGTAGTTTTATGGTAAGCATAGAAGGTGGGTATCTTTTTGAAATAATAGTTTATTTTCCTTTGGGTAGTTACCCAGTAGTGGGATTGCTGGACCAAATGACAGTTCTATTTCTAGTTTTCTGGGAAATCTCCATACCATTTTCCACAGAGGTTGTACTCATCTACATCCTCATCAACAATGTCTAAGAGTTGCCTTCATTTCCCATCCTCAGCAACATCTGATATTATTTGAGTTTTTAGTAATAGTCATTGTGACTGGTGGAAGATGATATCTTATTGTGGTTTTAATTTGCATTTCCCTGATGGTTAGTGATGTTGAGTATTGTTTATATATTTATTATCCATTTCTATGTGTTCTTTTGAAAATGTCTACTCATGTCCTTTGCTCATTTTAACGGAGTTATTTGGTTCTTGTTGCTGTTGTTGTTGTAGAGTTGTTTGAGTTCCTTGCAAATTCTTCATATTAGTTCCCTGTCACAGGCAAAGTGTGCAAAAGTTTTCTGTCATTCTGTAAATTGCGTATTCACTCTGTTGTTGTGAAAAAAATTATTTAGGTTAATTAAGTCTCATCTGTCTATTTTTTTTTAGGTAGCAGGACCTTTCATGCTGAATCTTTGTCAAACAGGATACAGCTTCTGCTTGCATGAACCACTAACAGGGGACATGCCATTTATTAGTAAAGAAGAGGGAGGAAAACAAGGCTCTGAGTCAGATGGGGATGGGAAACGCAGGCCCTGGCAGGAAATGGCATCTCAGCCACACTATCCTGTTCTGCAGAGGTGGGGAGGGAGCACCACTGAGAAGCAGCCTGGGTTCTTGTACAGGAGGCGCCCTGGGCTGTGTCTCTGTGGTATCCGTGCACAGTAATACGTGGCTGTGTCCACAGGGTCCATGTTGGTCATTGTAAGGACCACCTGGTTTTTGGAGGTGTCCTTGGAGATGGTGAGCCTGGTCTTCAGAGATGTGCTGTAGTATTTATCATCATCCCAATCAATGAGTGCAAGCCACTCCAGGGCCTTCCCTGGGGGCTGACGGATCCAGCTCACACACATTCCACTAGTGCTGAGTGAGAACCCAGAGAAGGTGCAGGTCAGTGTGAGGGTCTGTGTGGGTTTCACCAGCGCAGGACCAGACTCCCTCAAGGTGACCTGGGATAAGACCCCTGTGGAGAAGACATAAGAAGATGAAGCCCACAAAGGAGAGAATAGATTTTTTGCTTCTGAAGTACTACCTGACCACAGCACTCACAGGACGGGACAGTCAGTAGCAGGAGCGTGGAACAAAGTATGTCCATGGTGGAGAGCAGGATTCACTGAGCGAGGCCCTGTCCTCGTCTTTTGAACCCAGGGGAGGGTGGAGCTGGTGGAGATTTGCATCCCCTCATCTGAGCCCTACTCTATGGGGTGCACTCAGGTCTCAGGACTCAGTAGGGGAGTGCATCTGTGGTGAGGAGCAGTGAGCCCTCAGGTGTGGGGGTCCACGTGTGCTCTCCATCAGGGAATCTATCTCATTTCAGCACCATGGCTCTCAGTCAAGTCTTGACGCTCCTGCTTCTACAGACAGGATCTTCTTCGATGCTCCCGCACCGGACATGCAACCTTCTGGTTTTAGTCCTAGAGGATTAGAGTAGAAATCAAGAGAGCTGCCGTTCCTCCTCCCTTCAAGAATAATGATGGTGGGCATCTGGGGGGCAAGGGGCTCCCCACAAGCATTCTGATCAAAATCCTCTTTGATTATGGGGAAAAGTGATGAATTTGTGTAAAAAAATTGGAGAGAATAAATAAGAAAATACAGTTACAAGTAATTATGTAAAGAAGTGTGTGCTTAGCAGTGTGTGTGCACACAGCTGCATTCCTAGAGGCATGTTCCATGAAAAATCGATGTTGTCCTTGTGCCCCGTCAGTTCTGTGGAGAGAGTAGACTGCATGAATGACTTCCCTTTTCTCAGCCCATGAATGAGCGGATGCTTTGGACAAGGGAATTGGAAGACTCCTGAGGGAGCAGCAGGCTGACTGTTGCAGCCTTGCTCTGCACCTGCACTGGATGTGGTCTCTGTGCTCATAAGGCCGTGGAAACTCATCAATCCAGGTTCAAGAAGTTAACTGCAGAGTTATATTCATTTGTGTTTTCCTTTGTAACAAGAAAGTTCTGAGTTACAGATGATATAGTGGGTGGTCTCCTTAGGACTGGATGCTGTGAAGCAAAAGAAGACAACCCTAGATTGTAGTCAGAGGTTCTCTGGCTGGTTCCTTGATGCACCTGCTCCTAAATGGGGCTCTGTCTTGGCTGAATTCTGAGTTTCTTCTGCTTGTCCTCTGCTGCCCATACAGCCCAGATAAAGGAGGGCCAGGGGATCTGCTTCTGAGATGCCCAGTCCTATGTCTGGCTCCAAGCCAGGAGCTCAGCCAGTCCTGGGGGCTGAACCTTGGATCTCTCCTGTGAGACCTCACCTGTGCACTGAGCATCCTCACAGCAAGGTGGCAAGGTCAGCTTCACAGAAATTACTGTAGACAATTTTCAGCAAATCTAATTGCAGTTCGACTATATAATTAAGGAATCATTTTTACTGGGGTGTAAGTGACTGACATATCCCCCCACACACACACGCACACACACATAAACAGTATGGACATTAATTTACATTTCCCAAAAACTGGACACATTTTTAATTATTCCTGATGAATTCACAAAATTCTGAGGTTTGAATCAGAAACTAAAATGTAACATTTTGTATAACCAAACTTACAAATGAATAAGATGGGGTCAGAAAAATCAAGATTGAGTTATTACCTGCAGTCTGATGGTGGTAAGTTACAGAATGGAGCTGTGATGAGACAGGCTCCCAGGTGCTCTAATTCTTAACCCCTCAATTACAGCTGACCAGCAATCTCTGAGAGTGAGGAAGCTAGAGGTTCCCCACACGGGAAAGCTCTCTGACTTCATTAAACTTCACTGGGCTTCTCTGCAGGCTCAGACGTGTGCAGACTCCTACCCTAGATTCTGCAGTCAGGCAAATCCCTGCTCTTTCCCGGGGACACAAGAGATAGTGTGGATAAGGGCCAGATGTGCTCTACTCAAGGTCTCTGCACATGGGGAAAAACCAGTGAAAGTGGAAAATGGATGTTCTTGATTCTTGGAACAATTCCCATGAAAAACTCAACTCTGCACCAGGACCTCATGCACAATTATAAACAAATGCAATTAAAATAAATGTGAAAATTACAATTGTTTGCAGGTGCACATTTGTTCATATATTTTTCCAAAAAATAAAGTAAAAGCAGGTGTTCTCTATAAAAATCCAAAAACAGTGTGTTGGCCCTGAGAATGCACGTCCCTCCCTCCTCCTACAGGCAGCAAAATGCAGGTGGGTCAGGTTCCCAGCAGCTGCTTTCTGACATCTGTGGCATGGCGTGTGCTGAGGCCCATGTCCTGTGGTCTACTCTAATGAAAGGAGTGACTCTGCAGGGATTCCTAAGCAGAGCCATTATTTCTGGGAGTCATGGGGATCCCCTGAGAGGAAACACTGACTTACAAGAGACTCAATTATATTTTGCCCCTCCCTTGCACAGCACAGAAATATAGGGACCTTCCACCCAATCCAGCTTCCCCCTCTCTTTCACTCAGGGACAGGCTTCCACCATGTGCCATCGGCTTCCCAGCCTCATTCCACCCCCTGTGCATTTTCTCTCAAAGGGATGAATGTATTTCTCACAACGGATGGATTATTCATGAGTCCCCTGGGCAATTCCCGAAGCTGAGGTGTCCTCCCCTCCTTTGTACACCATCTAGGGAACCTTCCTGATGTTGCCATGGCATGTGTAAACCGTCATGGCGCTGAGGGGAGTGGCTTTCAGCATGTTAAGGCATTATAATGAGCAGTGAGGACGAACAGAGATCACTTTTTTGCCATCCTGGTTTTGGTGGGCTGTGGCCAGCTTCTTTACTGTAACCTTTACCAGCAAGGTCTTTATAACCTGGATCGTGTGCAGACCTCCTATCTCATCCTGTGACTAAGAACGCCTTAACTTACTGGGAATGTAGCCCAGCAGGTCTCAGTCTTATTTTTCCTAGCCTCTATTCAAGATGAAGTTGCTCTTGTTCAAAAGCTTCTGACACAAAAAATGTAGAAAGATATTTGTAATATGAGCATGACTATATTGCCAAATATAAAATAAAACATAATAATGGCAACAATTTTCCCTGTCACCTTGACTAGACCATAGTCTCACCTACTCAATCACACACTAGCCTAGGTGTTGCTCCCATGGCATAATGCAGGTCTTAGTAGAGCCTGCCACTAATTTTTCCCAAGTCACGAAGAGTGTTCTAGATAACCTAGGTGTGCCTGATTCAATCAGAGCATAACAGAAGACGATGGGACTCCATGCTGGATGGCAGATGCAGGTTTTCCTAGGAATCCCAGCCTGCCTTTCCCGAAGGCCAGCAGTATTGACCTTAGGCTGCCTAGCGAGACCCTATAATTACTATTACCAGAGCTCACAGCACAATGGAGTGTCCATCCTCAGCTCTCCTAAAGTCACAGGGGAGAGCATAAATTCTGTGACAGTGTGAGAAGCACAAGATCAGCTCTACATCCACATCCCTTTGGAGAAAACTAGTATTATTCCCTTCATGACTAATGTTCACTTCGTTTTCCAAACACCTCCACATACAAAATACAGCAGGAGTGTCACCAGGCTATGGTGAGTGAGAAAGTCCCCTCAGCCTACCCAGGTCCTGCAGACCTGATCTCTGGGATTTTGACTACAGAAAACACATCCTCTGTTTTCAGGCAAGAGAAGAAGAAAGGGAACTGTGAGAATCAAGTCTGCAGAGAAGGAAAATAGATTAGCAGAAATAAGGTCAACTGAATTAGTGTGAGTCAGATGTGCACAGTTTTTCAAGACGAGGTGAGATAGCTGTGAAAACCGTCAGGTTTTAAGGACTCTGACCCTGGGTGAGCCTCTCTCTTGGCTCCTATCAGAACTCAAAGCCTGTTCTAATCAGAGATTCCCATGGAGGTCTCTGCCCTGAGTCTAACTGGAAAAGACTTCCCAGGTTCCACTGAGATTCCTCTGCACTTTCATCCTGCTGACTACAGAAGGATCATCTGCCCCCAAAGTGACACTGTGGCTTCTGTGGAGGCGAGAATGTGTCCTCCTGTTACAAAAACAAAAATACAGAAAGAACAAAAAAGTTTTGCATTTAGAGACATGAAATGTTAGTACAGGATTGTAAATCTGGAGAAGTTCCCTGGGGAAATTTGACAATGAGGCAGCCCCAGACCATCACAGGAAGCCAGCCCTCAGCAGCACCTGCACCTGCCCTGGAGACAGCCCCGTGCACAGTGTCCCTGGCGCCCCCTGGTGGTCCTGGGGACCCCTGCAGGGAGGTTTGTGTCCGGGCTCACACTGACTTCCCCTCACTGTGTCTCTCGCACAGTAATACACGGCCGTGTCCTCGGCTCTCAGGCTGTTCATTTGCAGATAGGTGATGCTTTTGGAATCATCTCTTGAGATTGTGAATCTGCCTTTCACAGACGTGGTCTATTCTGTTGTCCCACCATTAGCTTTGTTTCTAATGAAACCTACCCACTCCAGCCCCTTCCCGGGAGCCTGGCGGACCCAGCTCATGTAGTAGTCACTGAAGGTGAATCCAGAGGCTGCACAGGAGAGTCTCAGGGACCCCCCAGGCTGGACCAAGCCTCCCCCGGACTCCACCAGCTGCACCTCACACTGGACACCTGCAAACAAAAAGAAACCCTGGTCAGAAACTGCCACACAAATCCACTGTTTCTCTCACTCTTATCCACTCACACTCAATTTCAATAGTTCTCAATGAATTACCTTTTAAAATAGCGGCAAGAAAAACCCAGCTCAGCCATGACTCCATGGTGAGTCCTCTGTGTTCAGTCCTGATCACCAAATGAAAACACCTGAAAATCCCAGGGCTGGGGCTCCTCTTCCAGTGCTGCAGGGTCAGGGCTGGGCTGGTTTTCATAAGCCGAGGGAGGGCTCTATTTGCATGTCTCCTACTACATGCCAAGCTCTGGGATGGGACGCCTGAGGAGAGAGTGGGGCTCAGAGCATGTGAGAGTGTCCTGGGGGAGATTTGTGATATTGATAGCATTTGGAAATTGTGGTTTCTTATTGAAAGTTTGTTCTGTGATAAAATATTAAACCTATAAAACTTATAATGTTGTAATATCTATTTAAAACTGTTGTATTGAGGTGCAATCAATGTACATAAACTGTGTATATTTAAAGTTAGCACCAATCACCTTTTATTTTTACATATGCAGAGGAAACATGGTATATAGTATCAATGTCATTTCCATGTTACAGATGAAAAATTACCAGCAGAAGCACAGATGGGTTGTACAATGTACCCAGGGCTCACATTCGGTCAGAGTGAGCTTGGTTATCTGGGCCTGTGCTTCTCACCACTGGACCTGACTTCTCCCTGAACCAAGCCCAGCACACAGGGGTTGCAGCTAGTGAGGTTTGCAGAACCTTTTCTCTGTAACGAGAACATGGTGTGATGTGTATGCTCTGTTGTGATTACCTAACAATTGTAAAGAAAAGCATGTTTCCTACAGTGTTATTTTCTTGGGTGTCATGCATTTTCTCATGTTAGCATCTATCTTTCCATCAATCTTTATTGAACAAATTATCTATCCACTTATTTGCAATACTCTTATTGAGGCATGATTGCTGTATAACAAATACTGCTTAATTAAAGTGTGCATTTTAATAAGCACTGAAGCCAAGTATTGTCTTACATACCAGTAGTCCCAGCTACGTATGGCAGAGGGAGGAAGATTGGTGGAGACGCAGGGTCTGAGGCTGCAGAGAGCTATGATCTCACCACTGAGCTCCAGCCTGGATGACAAAGCAAGACCATGTCTCCAAAGGAAAAAATGCAGTTTCACATGTGCTTACCTGTGCATCCAAAATAACAATCAAGATAACAATGAATTACACTTCAAGGTTTCCCTAGTTTCCTCTAATTCCTGCCTCCCAGTCATTTTCCGCTCACTACACTGAGTCAGTCTCTCATGTTTGCTACTTCAGGTCTATTTTTCAAAATTTGGTTAAAGTGAAACCTTACAGTTTCCATTTCATTTGTGTGGCTTCTTGCTCAGCACAATTACTTGTGAGTCAGTAGTTTGGTTGTGTATAAAGAATATGTTCCTTGTAATGAGGAACAGAATTCCAGTTAATGAGTGTGCCCGTACTATTTATAAAGCTCCTTAATATTTTTGTTATTTCCAGTTTCTGAGTGTTACAAATAAAGCTCCAACTCAGCATGGAGATGTAGGCATCTCAGAAAAAAATGTATTATTTTTACAACTAAACTTACTGAGCTGCAAATTAGCATATTTTCTTTAAAACATCAGATTATTGATGTTATAGGACAAACAAGGGACCTTACATCTTGTGAAAGTCAGTGACTTGCAGGAACAAACAGAAAGAGAATATGACCTTATCTGGGGTAGAGCAAATGTCATATAAGCGAATGCAGGGTTAACTTAGACATACTCTTTAGACCGTTTAGAGTTGAGTATAATAAAGAAGTTATTGTTTAAATTATCAGAGGACATACAACTGAGGGAATCCTATTGCTATTGAAACCTTTTCTGCCAGGATTGAGGACACATCAGAAAAATCTCCAACCTCTTCCTCCCGAGATGGTTCTGTGTGGGGAAGTGGAACAGCAGCTGTGGCTGAAATGCATCCAGACCCAGCTCCCTCACCACCATTACATGACCAAAGAATTAACAGGCAGGGGCAAAGCCACTAACAGCTCTGTGTTACAGGCACTGGAGGAACTCGTAGAAACTGGGAGAGAAGACAGAAACGCTCTAAACGCCTCTAAAATGGCCGCTTCGGGGGGCGGCTGTCCTTTACGGTCGCAGCGGGGGGATGAAATAAGCCCCAGTCTCCCGTAGCGCTCCCAGGCTTATTAGGACGAGGAAATTCCCGCCTAATAAATTTTGGTCAGACCGGTTGTCTGCTCTCAAACCCTGTCTCCTGATAAGATGTTATCGATGACAATGCGTGCCTGAAACTTCATTAGCAATTTTAATCTCGCCCTGGTCCTGTGGTCCTGTGATCTCGCCCTGCCTCCATTGGCCTTGTGATATTCTATTACCTTGTGAAGCAGTGATCTCTGTGACCCACACCCTATTCGTACACTCCCTCCCCTTTTGAAAATCACTAATAAAAACCTGCTGGTTTTGCGGCTCAGGGGGCATCACAGAACCTGCCGAACTGTGATGTCTCCCCCAGACACCCAGCTTTAAAATTTCTCTCTTTTGTACTTTGTCCCTTTATTTCTCAGACCGGCTGACACTTAAGGAAAATAGAAAAGAATCTACGTGAAATATCGGGGGTGAATTTCTCCCAGTATCTGGCTGAATTTCCCCCGATACCTCAGTATAACACAAACACCTTCAAAGGGAAGCGATTCTCTACAGAATGTAAATTTCTCTTGCAAAAAGATAACTGTGCAGGGTGATTTAAAAATATGTCAAAGACATATATTTTAGGGTAAAAGACTTTGATTCCTTCCAAGGCCTTTTCTCTGTCATGTGATGCTATTCTTGAGTCAGGTTAGAATTTGGTGTTTTACTGCTACACGGAATCTGTTTTCTGAGCCTTAAATCTGTTTTAAGGAAAATGCTGGTTACTTGTGCTTGAATTCCAAAGGGAGGAGGGTATAATGAGGGATTTCTGATCCTCCATTTCTGACACGGCCTAAACTAGGTTTTCTAGTGTCCATGGAACTCCTCGTTGAAGAGAAAAGTTCCCTTCAGTCAGTTGGGGTGCCTAGAATTCTACTTGCAGTTTCTAGGACATATATGAGACTTACCCTGCTCAGGGGTATCAGAAAATATTTACTGAGATAATCACATTGAAGTTGAGACTTGAAAGATGGTCCCAGATTCCTCCCTGCAAACCTTTTCTTCTGAAACTAGAAGAAAACTTGAGAAACAACTGTTAACATTTCTTCTATGTTCAAAATCGCCACCCATTAAGAAAATAATTAAACTTGCGAGACTTATCTTTAGAAACAAGTAGTCCAGTTGATTTCTAAAGTCCTTTACAAACCCACAGACTCTGATTAGTTTACAGATTATGCAGCACATCCCATCTAATGGGAATCTGCAATTAGCTGGATTCCCCTGCACCGTTTTTTTAAAAATGTTTAATTTATATAGATACATAACAGTTCAAAACCTTTAAGGGATACGCATGATATTTTGATAAAAGCATGTTATCTGCAATGATCAAATCCAGATACCTGGGATATCCCTCACCTCCATCACTGATTACTTCTTTGTGTTAAGAACATTCTAAATCTTATCTTCTAGCTATTCTGAAATATACAATAAAGTACTAACTGTAGTTGTGTATGTGCCTCTTCAGCATCCCCTTCCCACCCACAAGGAGTGAATGTTCCTGTTTTTCAACTTCCTCATCACCATTTGGTACTGTCTAAAATGTGTATTTTACCCATTCTAACAGGATATAGTATTTTTTGAATATTAAACATACATATACCTAAAAATCATGCTGATCACTTTTTATATTTATTTTTAGATGAGGCTTCTTTCTATACAGGTCTTTGTCTATTTTAAAATTAGATCATGTGGTTTTGTCATTCAACTGTAAGGTAATTTTTATTATTCCTGATAAAAGTCCTTTTCCAAATATTTGATTTGTGAGGAAATTCTCCATATCTGTGGCTTATCTTTTCACGTTCATGTAAGGATTTATTTTCAAAGGCCTTAAGCTTCCTAGATGAAGCCATGGCCAGAGGATTATGAAACAGGTTTCTCTCCACAACTTACAATGATATCACTAAAGGCCTCTTTACAGCAGTTTCTTTCACCTGATACATAATTTCTCCCTATAAAAATCATGATATATACTAAAAGAAATATATCATAGTGTGACAAGACAAAACAAGCATTAAAATGAGATTCAGCCATGCCATTTAGTTTGGAATTACCAAACAAAGAATTTAAGACCACTGTGATTAATATGCTAAGGTCTGTAATGAATTAAGCAGACAGCATGCTGGAACAGCTGTGTCATGCAAGTAGAATGAAGCAAATTCCAAAAAAGGAAAAAAAAGTAGATATCAAGAATTTTGTAACAGAATTAAGTAATGCTTTCAATGGACTTATATGTAGATGGGGCATAGCTGCGGACAAAAATCTGAACTTAAAACTATCTCAATAGAAATTTCCCAAACTGAAAAGCAAAAACAAAAAATATATTGTTAGAACAGTAAACACACAAATACAAATATACACACACACAGACACACACACACACATATATACACATATATACATATATACACATATATACATATATACACACATATATATACATATATATATACATATATACACACATATATACATATATATATATACACACACACACATATATACAAAAGAAGAACAGCTTACCCAAGAATGGTGAGACAGTGACAGAGGTATAACATGCACATAATGGGAAATAGAAAAAAATAGAGAAAGGCTAAGAAGAAATATTTAAACAATGATGACTGACAATATTTTAAATTAATGTCAGTCACCAAACTACAGACTCAGGAATGTGATCATTTCATCTGCAGGGATAGTTTGACACCCTCTCTTCCTGACTTGATGCTTTTTATTTCTTTCTCTTGCCTGCATGCTCTGGCTGGGACTTCCATGACAATGATGAACAGGAGTGGTTAGAATGGGTGTCCTTTTCTTGTTCTAGTTTTCAGGGGAAAATGCTTCCAGGTTTTGCTCAGTCAGTATAATGTTGGCTGTGAGTTTGTCATAGATGGCCCTTATTATTTTGTGGTGTATTCCTTCATGCCTGGTTGATGGTTTTTAACATGAAAGAATCTTAAAGTTTTTTCAAAACCTTTTCTGTGTCTATGGTTAACGTTTTCTTTCTTTTTTTTTTTTTTTTTTTGAGACAGAGTCTCACTCTGTCGCCCAGGCTGAACTGCAGTGGCGTGATCTCGGCTCACTGCAAGCTCCACCTCCTGGACTCACGCCATTCTCCTGCCTCAACCTCCCGAGTAGCTGGGACTACAGGAGCCCGCCACCATGCCCAGCTAATTTTTTTGTATTTTTAGTAGAGACGGGGTTTCACCATGTTAACCAGGATGGTCTCGAGCTCCTGACCTTATGATCCGCCCGCCTCAGCCTCCCAAAGTGCTGGGATTACAGGCATGAGTCACCGTGCCCTGCCGGTTAACATGGTTTTTGTTTTTCGTTCTGTTTATGTGATGAATCACATTTCCTGATTTGCATATGTTGAACCAACCTTGCATCCCAGGAACAAAGTGTTGGTAGGTTAGGCTTTTTGATGTGCTGCTGTATTCAGTTTGTGAGTATTTCATTGAGCATTTTTGCATCAGGTATATTGGTCTAAAGTCATGTTTTTTTATTAAGTCTCTGCCAGGTTTTGTTATCAGAATAATGCTGGCTTCATGGAATAATTTAGGGAGGAGACCTTTATCCTCATTTTTGGGAAATAGTTACACTAGGATTGGTAGCAACACTTCTTTATACATCTGAAAAAATTCGGCTGTGAATCTTTCTGGTCCCTGGCTTTTTCGTGTTGCTACCACCTATCCATGTTGATTTCTGACCCCTGCCTGAGCCAGTAATAATCACACTGAATTCAGACAAAGCTGAATCCAATCCAGTGGTTACTGTAGTTCTTAACAGCTTTACTGGCACACCTAACTTCAGTGAACATTTCTTCACCCAAAACAGTTTCACTCTCAATTTTATTTAAAGATTTCCTTTGGATTTTTTTTCATGGCTTTCAGTGATGCAACTTATTTAAATCAATGTTGGCTTCTCTACATGCGTAATTATCATTCCAACTATTGTTGAATGGGCCAGCAACCCTCTACCCCTGCTTCTTCCCTCTGCATATCTGACTATCTGCAAGATCTCCCTAGGCCTCACGTCTCTATTGCAAAGGGAAGCTTTGAGAAATGTTAGATTTACTCAGTGCTACAAATACAAAAAGCTAATGGGAGCTCCTCTGACCATTGAGTGCTAGGCCTGTAATGTATCCCAGACCCTCCGTTATCTCCAGGTCTATCCCAGAGCCTCCATTTATGTTACTTCCAGTGAATTTTGTGTTTTCTAATATAATTTTAATAGACAAATAATGATTGTAAATATTCATGAGGTACATAGCGATGTTGTGAAACAGTGTGTAGGGGACAGATAAGGATAATTAATATATCCGTCATCTGAAACATTTTCTTTTTGTTGGGAACACTCAATATCCTTCTTCTAACTGTTTGAAACTACATATAATTGTTAAATACATTTATCCCACAGTGGTAAAGAACATTATAATCTATTCCTCCCACCTAACTCTAATGTATTCCTTCACAAATCTCTGCCTATCTCTTCCCCTGCACTTCCCAGACTCTAGTATCCTCTGTTCTACTATTTATTTCTATGAGACAAATTTTCTTTTTCCTTCCACGTATGAGTGAGAAAACAAGGTGTATTACTTGAAGTTCCTGGTTTATTTCATTTCACATAATGTCCTCCAGTTCCGTCTTCATTGCCAAAAACAACAGGATTTCCTTTCCTGTGGATGATGAGCATCTCATCATGTATATGCACCACATAATCTTTAACCATTCATCTGCTCTCTGACACCTGGTTTGATTTCATATCTTGGCCATTGTGAAAGGTCCTGCCATATACACTGGGAGTAAGAAATCTCTGATATAATTATTTTCATGCGTTTGGATACATTTGCAGTAGTGGAATTGCTGGGTCGTTTGGTAGTTGTATTTGTAGTTTTTTGAGGTACCTCCACGCTGCTCTCCATAGTGACTGACTGTACTAGTTTACCTTCTCCCCAACCTTACCAGCATTTGTTAGTTTTCTTTCTTTCTCTCTTTATTTCTTTTTATCTCTTTCTCTTTTTTCTTTCTTTCTCCTTTCCTTTTCTTCCTTCTATCCCTCCTTCTGTCCTTCCATCCTTCCTTCCTTTTTTCTCTCTCTCTTTCTTTTTTCTCTCTTTCCTTCTTTTTCTTTCTTTCTTTTCTTTCTTAATTTTTTTCTTTCTTAATTTCTTTTTCTTTCTTTCTTTCTTTCGTTCTTTCTTTCTTTCTTTCCCTTCCTCCCTCCCTCCCTCCCTCCCTCCCTCCCTCCCTCCCTTCCTTCCTTCCTTCCTTCCTTCCTTCCTTCCTTCCTTCCTTCCTTCTTTTTGAGACAGAGTTTCACTCCTGTCACCCAGGCTGGAGTGTAGTGGCGTGATCTCACCTCACTGCAACCTCCAACTCCCAGGTTCAATCGATTATCTTGCCTTAACCTACCGAGTAGCTGGGGCTACAGGTGCTGGCCAACACGCCCAGCTAATTTTTGCATTTTTAGGAGGGATAGGGTTTTGCCATGTTGGACAAGTTGGTCTTAAACTCCTGATCTCAAGTGATCCACCTGCCTCGGCCTCGCAAAGTGCTGGGATTACAGGCATGAGCCACCACGCCTGGCTGTTTTTTTTCTTTTTTGATAAGAGCCCTCTTAACTGAGATGAAGTGATACCTTCTACCATTGTGTAGGCTGTTTGTTCACCATGTTGATTATTTCTTTTTCTCTGCAGAAGATCTTTAGTTCAATTAAGTCCTCTTCATCTATTTTTGTTTTCGTTGCATTTGCTTTTGAAGTCTTAGTCATATTTTATCTGCCTAGGCCAATGTCCCGAGAATTCTCCCTACATTTTCTTCAAGTATTTTTATAGTTTCAGTTTATACATTTAATTATTGAATCCATATTCAGTTACTTTTTGTCTGTGGTGAGATAGAAGCCTGGTTTTATTCTTCTATGAGTGGCCATCCAATTTTCCCAGCACGACTTACTGAATAGAGGACTATTTCTCCAGTGTATATTTTTGTCAGTTTTGTCAAAGAATAGTTGGTTGTAGATATTTGGCTTTCTTTCTGGGCTCTCTATTCTGTTACATTAATTTTTTTTTTGAGATGGAGTTTTGCTCTTGTCACCCAGGCTGGAGTGCAATGGCAAGATCTCAGCTCACTGAAACCTCCACCTCCCGGGTTTAAGTGATTCTCCTGCCTCAGCTTCCGATGTAGCTGAGATTACAGGTATGGGCCACTAGGCCTGGCTAGTTTTTCATATTTTTACTAGAGACAGGGGTTCACCATGTTGGTCAGGCTGGTCTTGAGCTCCTGACCTCAGGTGATCCACCAGCTTCTGCCACCTAAAGTGCTGGGATTACAGGCACACCTGGTCTAATATTTTTTGTTTTGTTTTGGTACCAGTACCGTGCTGTCTTTCTTCCTATAACTGTGTAGTATAATTTGAAGTCAGGGAATGTGGGGCTTTCAGCTTTGTTTCCTTGTCTTAGGACGGCTTTTGCTATTATATGGAATCAAAAGGCTCTTTTTTGCTTCCATATAAATTTTAGGACATTTAAAAAAAATGTACTTAATTATATTGGTTATTTGATGGAAACTGCATTGACTCTGTATATTGCTTTGGGCAGTGTGTTTTAGTCTATTTTGCATTGCTCTAAATTAATGCCTGAGGCCAAGTAATTTACAAATAAAAGAGGCTCATTTGGCTTAGAGTTCGGCAGGCTGTGTGAGGAGCATGGCACCAGCATCTGCTTCTTGTGAGGGCCTCAGGAAGCTTACAGTTATGGTGGAAGGCAAAGGGGAAGCAGGCGGTGTCATATGGTGAGGGGTGGACGTGAGAGGGGAGGAGGGTCATCAGACTCCTTTTAATAATCAGATCTCCCAGTAGTTAATACAGGAATAATTCACCTACTGCCATAGGGTGGTTATTGAGCCATTCCTGAAGGATTTTTCCCCATGTCCCAAAATCTCCCAGTCGGCCCCACCTCAAATATTGTGGAGCACATTTCGCCATGAGATTTGGAGGGGACCATCATCTAAACTATATCATTTCACTCTTGTGCCCCCTGATCTTACGTCCTTCAGAGGTTGCAAAATGATCTTTTTTTTTAATAGTTTCCAAAAGTCTTAACTTGGTCAACCTCCAACTGAAAATTCCAAAGTCTTATCCGAGTCTTAAGGCAATTTCCCTCCAGCTATGAGCTGGCAAAATGTTTTAAAGAGTTATTTACTTCCAACATGCAAGACTGCCACAGATATTGGTTAAATATTGTTAATACAAAAGGAAAAAAATGTCCAAAGGAATGGCCAATAGGCCCCCCACACACCTAAAGCCTGTCTGGGCAGATATTAAATCTTAAAGCTACAAAATAATCTCGCTTCACTTGATGTACTTCAACCAGGGCACCCTGGGTTGAAGGAGTCCCAGAAACCTCAGGCTTTTCATCCTTATAGCTGAGCACAGCTTATTGGCCTGCATTCATAGGTTAGAGTCGAGTACCAGAAGTTTTTCCAGGCTGAGAGTGCAAGCTGCCTTTGGTTCTACCATTCAGGGACCTTGAGGGTCGTGGCCACATTCCCACAGCTTTAGTGTAAAATGCCCTAGTGGGGATTGTGAATTGGGGCTCCAACCCTCTCTTTCCCCATCTTTGGCACTGTCCTAGTAGAGGCTGTCTGTGGTGGCTGCACTGCTGCAGCCGGCCTCCTGCTGGGCCTGCAGGGCCCTCTACATATCCTCTGAAATCTAAGTCGAAGCTGCCCAGCCTCCTTCACTTTTGCATTCTGTATATCTGACAGAATCCAGTTATCCCAGCACCGTTTAGTGAATACAGAGTTTTATCCCCATTGCTTGTTTTCGTCAGCCTTATCAAATATCAGATGGTTTATGTGTGCAGGTTTATTTCTGTTTTCTCTCTTGTTCCATTTTTCTGCATGTCTGCTCATGTACCACTTCCAAGCTGTTTTGGTTACTGTGACTTTATGGTGTAGTTTAAAGTCAGGTATCATGTTGCCTCTGTCATGGTTCTTTCTGCTTAGAATTGCTTTGGCTACTCAGGGGCTTTTTGGTTCCATATAACTTTTAGAATATATATACTTTTTTTTCTAATTCTGTGAAGAATGATGGTGATAGTTTTATGTGAATAGTATTGAATCTGTAAATTTCTATTGGCAGTATGACAATTTTTACAATATTGATTATTCCAATCATGAGCATGAAATGTTTTCCCATTTTTTGTGTCATTTATGACTTATTTCTGCTGTGTTTTGTCATTCATCTTGCAGGGATCTTCCATCTTATTTGTTATCTGTGTTCCCAGGCATTTCCTTTTCTTTGTGGATATTGTAAGTGGGATAGAATTGTGTTCTTGATTTCACTCTCAGCTTGGATGTAGTTGGGGTACAGAAATGCTAGTGATTTTTGTACATTGATTTTGTATCCCGACACTTTACCAAAGTTGTTTATCTATTCTAGAATTATTTTGGCAGAGTCTTTAGAATTTTCTAGGTATAGAATTATATCATCAATTTGGACAGATACATTGACTTCTTTTCCTATTTTGATTCTGTATTAGTCCATTCGCACACTCTAAAGAAACACCTGAGACTGTGTAATGTATAAAGGTTTTTAATTGTCTTATGGTTCTGCAGGCTGTACAGGAATTATGGCTCTTGGGGGGGCCTCAGGAACATGACAATCATGACAGAAAGGGAAGCATCATGTCTTACAGGGCAGGAGCAGGAGGAAGAGAGAGGAGGGAGATGACACATACTTTGAAACCAGATCTCCTGAGGACCATCACGAGAGCAGCACAAGAGACGGAGACCCATCCTCATGATAGAATCACCCTTCACCAGACCCCAGCCCCAACCCTGGGAATTACAATTTGACATGAAATTTGAATGGGGCACTAGTACAAACCATATCGGCTGCGTTTTATTTTCGCTATTGCCTGGTTGCCCTGACTAGGATTTTCAGTGCTATGTTCAATAGGAGTGGTGAGAGGGCATCCTTGTCTTGTTCCAATTCTCATGGGGTTTGAGCTTTTGCTCACTCAGTATAATGTTGACTGTGGGTTGGTCATAGATGGCTCTTATTATTTTGAGGTATGTTTTTTGATGCCTAGTTTGCTGAGGGTTTTTATTATGAGTGAGTGTTGGAGCATATCAAAAGCTTTCTCAGCATCTATTGAGATAACATATGGTTTTTGCTTTTATTCTGCTTACACAATGAATCACAGTTATTGATTTGTGGATGTTGAATGAACTTTGCATCCCAGGGTAAAGCCCACTTGATCATGATGTGTTACATTTTAAAGTGCTTCTGGATTCTATTTGCTAATATTTTGTTGAGAACTTTTAGGTCTATGTTCATCACGAATATTCATCTAATATTTTCTTTTTTAATTATGTCTCTTCCTGATTTTGTATGCCAAAAAGACACAGTGAAGAAAGACAGTCTCCTCAATAAATGATGTATAACTGGACATCCATATGCAGAAGAAATAAAATTAGACCTTCTCTCACACCATGTACAAAAATCAACTAAAAATGAGCAAAACCTGAAACCACAAACTCATAGACAGCATGGAAAAACTTCCTGTCATTGATTCAGAAATGATTTATTTGAATTTAATACCAAAAGCACAGGAAAAAAAACTATGTGCAAATTACAAACGACCTGATAAAAGGGAAAAAACCTGGATAGACTTTTTTTCAGAAAACCCACTCATGAAAAACAGAGCCTAAAAAGGTTCCCAACATTACTAATTTTCAGAGAAATTCAAATCTAAAGCACGATGAAATATTGCCTCAAACCACTTAAAATGACTATTATCAGCAAGACAAAATATAACAAGTGTTCACAAGAATGTTGGGAAAGGAAATCATGATATGGTGTGGTAGGACTTGTTACTCAATAAATTGAAAAATAAAGTTATCGTACGATCTGGTGATCCCACTTCTTGTTATATATTCAAATGAAATAAAATTATTATGTTAAACACATGTTCACTGCCAGATTATTTATAATAGTGTAGATTTGTGAAAGAGTTTAATGACCATAGATTAAAGAATGTTTAAAGAAAATGTGTACACATAAAACTGAATTTTATTTAGCTTTGAAAAGAAGGAAGTTCTGGCTTTTGCAACATGGATGGGCCTGGAGGACATGACGCTGAGTGGAATAAGCCAGATGCAGAAAGACAAATGCTGCATGATCTCATTTACGTGTGGGATCTGAAATATTCAAGCTCTTGAAAGCAGAGAGTAGAATAGTGGGTCCCAGGACCTGGGAGGAGAGGGAAATTGGGTGAAGTTGGTCAGAGGGTACAGAGTTTCAGCTGTGCAGGGTGAATGAGTTCTGGAGATCTAACCTACGCCAATTTTCCTGTATTTAATACTGTACTGTAAAAGTGATTTTTGCTAAAAGGGTAGATCTTAGGTGTTCTCATGAAACACACACACACGCACACACTCACATGCAGTACATTTTTAAAATAATAAAATTGGCTGGGCGCTGTGGCTTGCATCTGTAATCCCAGCACTTTGGGAGGCCGAGGCGGACAGATCTCTTGAGGTCAGCTGTTCGAGGCCAGCCTGGCCAACGTGGCGAAACTCTGTCTTTACTAAAAGTACCAAAAAAAAAAAAAAATAGCGGGGTGTGGTGTTGAGCTCCTGTAATCCCAGCTACTCGGGAAGCTGAGGCAGGAGAATCCCTTGAATCCAGGGGTTGGAGGTTGCAGTGAGCTGAGATGGTGACATTGAACTCCAGCCTGGACGACAAGAGCAAAACTCTGTCTCAAAAATCAAACAAAAAATAGTGAGAAGATGAATATACAAATTACCTTAACCATGATGAGCATTTCACAATGTGCATATGATATGGTTTGGATCTGTGTCTTGGACCAAATCTCATGTTATATTATAATCCTCAGTCCTGGGGTGGGACCTGGTGGGAGATGACTGGGTCGTGGGGTGGGTCTTTCATGAGTGGTTCAGCACCGACTCCTGGTGCTGTTCTCACTACAGTGCCTGAGTTCTCACAAGATCTAGTTGTCTAACAGTGTGCAGTCCCCCCACACCCCGGTCCGCTTCCTGTGGCTTCCGCTCTGGCCATGTGACACACCTGCTCCCCTTTGTCTTCTGCCATGATCCTAACTTTCCTGACTCTCCCCAGAAGGAGAAGCCACTGCACTTCCTGTACAGCCTGCAGAACCGTGAGCCAATTAAACATATTTTTTTTCAAATTACTCAGTCTCAGGCATTTTTTATAGCAGTGTGAGAATGGACTAATACAACATCAAAACGTCAAGTGGGGCACCTTAAACCTATACATTTTAAAAAATATTTTATTTTTACCTCAATAAAACTGAAAAAAATTAAACTTCCTCTTACAATAAAGAAAAACATACTTCATATTTTCTCAACAAAATTGAGACAACATAGATAGAAAAACTTACACTAATGTATTTGTAACAGCTTTGCTTATAATATTCATATACTGGAAACAAATGTAAAATCCATCGACAACAAATAGATCAATATATTGTCATATATTTACTCAATGGACTGTCTCAGATATAAAATCTCTGTCCTTCCTCCCTCTCTCTCTCTCCATATATACATGAATACTTTGAGGTTTCATATCAGAGTCAGCCCATTAATTGAGTAAATGACACTATGATGATCTAATTTCATACATTAAATAGCATGAATTAACCTAAAAAATAGCAAAGTAGTCCCTTACCAAAAAAAGGTCTATAATGTTTGATTCCATTTATATAAAGCTCAAAACAGAAAAAAATGGATCTATGGTGTCAGAAATCAAAACACTTCCCCATGTAGGGGTTGACCGCAGGCACAGAGAAAGACGCATGTTGTGGGTATGGACTTGCTCTTTAGTCTACCTTAGGTGTTCGGGACAAGGGTATTCACATTTGCCAGAAACTCTCTAGTGACACATTTCAGATCTATAAATTTTTTCTTACATGTAAATTTTATCTCATAAAAACAAAAAATAAAAAAGTATAGAATAGGCTGTAATATGTTTGTTGGGAAAATTATTACCTTTATGTTGTTTTGAAAAACTAAAGCAAAGCATAATGAAATTAAATGTTTTGTGCTTATCTGGTACAACAGCATGTTGAGAAAACTGAACAGCACTGTAATCCTGAGGAGGTGGCCTGATCCAAAGAGAGGCATCAAATTAAAAAATATATAATTAAAATTTCATTGGAAATTGAGAAATTTTGGTTGTACCCCATATACTGATGGGGTACAAAGCTATGTTATGATTTATGAATGCAATGTGGAATAATTGAATCGAGCTAATTGACATATATATCACCTCAAATCTTCAAATCCTTATCATTTTTTGGTGACAAGAACATTTGAAATTTGTTCTTGGCTATTTTAAAATGACCAATTCACTATACTTAAGCTTACAAGTAGACATCGATTTATGTAAACCATAGAGAAGGATTGAAATCAATTATGGATTACTCTAATTTATATTTAGTTCATCATTAAGTTTAATTCTTTTAATTTAATTCAATTATTTTATTTAATTTATTATTTTATTATAATGTTAAATATAAATGACTACACATGTATGCATAGTTTCATGTATTCACACATATGTTTATAGATGTAAATTAATGTTGCATAGCTATGTAGTTGCTGATATCAACAGGTGTTAATAAAACTTTAGAGGAATAGGTGTAAATTACTAGGAAGAATTATTTCTTGAAGTTATGTATTTTTAAAAAATACCCCTACATATAAATGTAAAAATTACTAAAACACAAATATCAATAAAAAACACATGATAAATAACCATAATAAAATAGTGCAACCTCATAAGGCTCCAGAGTCCTGCAAAAACAAACCCGCCTCCTGCAGCTGACAGGAAACCGCCCCCTGCACCTGCTCCTGGGACCTGTCCCGTCCTCAGTGGTTCCCGACCGCCCCCTGGTGGCCCCACGCGCCCCTGCAGGGAGGTTTGTGTCCGGGCTCACACTGACCTCCCCTCGCTGTGTCTCTAGCACAGTAATACACGGCCGTGTCCTCGGTTTTCAGGCTGTTCATTTGCAGATACAGTGAGTTCTTTGAATCATCTCTTGAGATGGTGAATCTGCCTTTCACAGACGCGGCGTATTCTGTGGTGTAACTGTTAGCTTTGTTTCTAGTACGGCCAACCCACTCCAGCCCCTTCCCTGGAGCCTGGCGGACCCAGTCCATGTAGTGGTCACTGAAGGTGAATCCAGAGGCTGCACAGGAGAGTCTCAGGGACCCTCCAGGCTGGACCAAGCCTCCCCCAGACTCCACCAGCTGCACCTCACACTGGACACCTGCAAACACAGAGACACCCTGGTCAGAAACTGTCACACAAATCCACTGTTTCTCTCACTCACGTCCACTCACACTTAACATCTCTAGTTCTCCATAAATCACCTTGTAAAATAACAACAAGGAAAACCCAGCTCAGCCCAAACTCCATGGTGAGTCCTCTGTGTTCAGTGCTGATCACCAAATGAAAACACCTGGGAATTCTGGGGCTGGGGCTCCGCTCTCAGAGCTGCAGGGTCAGGGCTGGGCTGGTTTTCATCAGCAGAGGGAGGACCCTATTTGCATGTCTCCTACTATATAGCAAGCTCTGGGGTGGGACGCCTGAGGAGAAGGCAGTGCCCAGAGCAGATGTGAGTGTCCTGGTAAGCATGGGCAGTAATCCTATCTCTCAGGAAATTGTAACTTCGGATTATGTGATTGTGCCTTGATAATCATTTAGCAATCATCATCTTATTTTATTTTTACATATTTGCAGAATATATTTAATGCAACCATCAATGTTACATTTGTAGAGAAGATAAATTACATACAGAACAGAGCAGTTGTGCAATGTGTTGAATATCACACATCTGGCCAGACTTAGCCCTATTATCCGTGCCTGTGCGTCTAAACACTGGAGGAGACTGCTCCCCTGAGACAGCTCCAGGGCCGTGTGGGACATGCCTAGAGAGGTTTTCAGGATGTCCCACCTGTCATAACAACTGTATGTGATTTTGCTTCCCTAATGTTTGAGGCGGGGCCCGGTGGTTGTATCGTGGGTCCGGATTTATGAATAATGGTTAGCACGGTCCCCTTGCTATGATAGTAAATGAGTTCTCATGAGATTTGGTTGTTTAACAGTGTGTGGGACCTCCACCCTCACTCTTTCTTTGCTCCTGCTCCCACCATATAAAGTGGCTGCTCCCCTTTTGCCTTTCACTATCATTGTAAATTTCCTGAGGCCTCTCCAGAAGCTGAACAGATTTTTCATCATGCTTCCCATACAGCCAGCAGAATCATGAGTAAATTAAACCTATTTTCTATGTGAATTACTCAGTTTCAGGTATTTCTTTCTAGCAATACGAGAACACACTAATAAAGCGGACATCTCCCTCGTTTCACCAGGGTCCCTTGCAGTCTGCAACCACCCAGCTAAGGAGAGGGATGGTCCAATCTCCATGACTGACACCATCGAGGTGCTGCCTCAGGCCCAGATGGTTTGTGATGGATGTCACTTTACTAATCTTGAGTTCAGGGAGTATAATGCCCTCCTCCCGCATGCCTCACAGATGAAGAAGCCACCCTGTGATCAACTCTCTCTTCTTCTGTCTGAACCCATTTCTAAGTGTCAGCAATTCCGCAGTGGTGGAATCCCACATTGTGGTGTGTTTCCTTATTTCAGGTGGGAAATGTCTCTGGGGCTCGCCTCTGCTGGTGCAGTTGGCCCATTTTTACCTTGGTGGTAGCCACCAGATGTGTAGAGAGGACAGGAACCCCCATGGGCTTACCCCAAACTTCATCCTCCTCCCCCTAGAACTCTTTATGGGAACTAGGTCTTAGGGTCCCATGACAGTTTAGTCATCACAGCCGTAACTAATTCATGTGATGGCCAGAAATCCTTCAAATGTGCTGCTCCACAAGCGGCGGTCCCCAATTTGCCATTCTGCTTCCACAGGCAGGACAGAAAGGTCTCTGATTAGTCTGAGCTAGTCTGGCATGTTTTTCTAGGAGTAGCTCTTCTTGTGACTGACACACTGTAGCATACACAGTGAGCACTGTCTCAGTGGCTTCTCAGAGTGCAGTCAGGAAGAACCACTCACCTGATAATGCAACAGCCTGGACATCTGACTTTCACTTTGTAAGATGCACCCACTGAAGAGGTTCTTCCAGAACTTTTGGCATTGTGGCGGTATCCCCATACTCAGGCACTGGGCCCCATCCATCATGGATAACGGCTGTTGGGCCCCACGTAGAAATTAACAGCCTGCCCAAGGTTTCTGCAGGGGTCTCCTCTTTTTAGATTCCATTGTCTGGGTGCTCATGAGATTTTTTTTGGACCTTTTACCAGGTTGACTGGATGTCACGCCAGACCAATATGGACTCCAATAGGACTGGCATCGTGTACAACAGGCCAAACCAGTGAACAAGACATATAGTTTATTGAGGGCTTTCATATAGGGTGGTTCAGGAACAGCAGGCTGGACAAGAAAACTACAACCATTTGACAAAACTATGCAGCTTATGTAGTAATTTTTACTTAACACCCTCCACCTAGCAACTTTCATTTAACCCAAAAGAAAGAGCCTCAATCACCCCTAAATCCTGTGTTCCAAGGGATCGGTCAGGGGTTTGGATGTTATTCATAGATTAAAAAACAAGTCTCTGGGTCTGCCACTCCTGGATTCCTTAGCTTGGAACTTGAAACATACATTTCTTTTTTCCTTTCTGATTATTCTGGCTAGGACTTTCAGTAATACGTCCAGTAGGAGTGGTGAAAGTGTGCATTCTTGCTCACGTTCTTCAGGAATATTTTTGCAACTTTTTCTCATTCCATATAATGTTGTTTTGTTATATGTGGCTTTTTTTTTTAGTTAAAGTCATTCATTTCTTCACTACCAAGTCCAGCATATTGAATAAATCAGTTGCATAGGTTTTTACTAAATTTAAGAAGATCCCTGTTCTATTGATTTATTTAAGAGTTTTTTGTTGGTTGTTGTATGTGGCTTTTATAGTTTTGAGGTAGGTTTCTTTGATGCTAAGCTTGTTGAGGAATTTTTCATGAAGGGATATTGAATTTTATTGAATGACTTTTTTGCATTCATTGAGATGGTCTTATGTTTTCTGTTTTTAATTATGTTATATGTTGAATCATATTTATTGATGTGTTTATTTTAGACAAGCTTTGCATCCCTGGAATAAAACCCAATTGGTCATGATGTATTATCTTTTATTGTGCTGTTGGTTTCAGCTAGCTAGTATTCTGTTTACTATTTTGTATCTATGTTCATTAGGGATATTTCCCTGTAGCTTTTTGTTGTTGTAGTTGTATCCTTGCCTGATTTTGGTATTAGGTGATACGAGTATTTTAGACAAAGGTGGGAAAGAATCTCTTCTCTTTAATCCTTTGGAATAGTTCCAGTAAGAATGGTACATCTGGTAAAATTAGACCTTGAATTTATCTGGTTCTGGGCTTTTGGGGTTGGGAGATTTTCAGTTTCTGATTCAGTCTTATTACTCGCATTGGTCTATTTAGGATTTCTTTTCCTTCCTGGTTCAATTTTGGGGGGTAGTTGAATATTTCCAGAAATTTATTGATTTCCTCTAGATTTTCTAGTTTGTGAGCATAGACATATTCAGTATGTCTTGATAATCTTTTGTATTTCCATTGGGTCAGTTATAATACCACCTTTATCATTTCTGCTTGTGCTAACTTGAATCTTCTGTCTTTTTTTTTTTGTTGACCTAGTTAGTGCTCTATCAATTGTGTTCATGTTTTAAAATAACCACATTTTGTTTTGTTGATTCCTTATATTTTGCTTTTTTGTTTCAATATTTTTGAAATCTGCCATGATCTTTATTTATTTTCTTCTTCTAGCTCTGGGGTTGGTTTGTTCTAAAATATCTAGTTCCTTGAAGTAAATCAATAGATTGCTAGTTTATAATCTTTCTATTTTTTCATAGACATTTAGAACTATAAGCTCTTAGTACTGCTCTTCCTGTATCTCAGAGGGTTTGGTATGTTGTGGCTTCATTTTTCTTTGTATTTTTAAAAATTAATATCTTAATTTTATTGGTGAGCCAATGATTGGTCAAAATTGTGTTGTTTAATTACCTCATATTTTCATAGTTTCAACAGTTTTTTTGCAATTGATTTTTTTAATTTTATTTTTTTTATTACACTTTAAGTTTTAGGGTATGTGTGCACAATGTGCAGGTTTGTTGCATATGTATATGTGTGCCATGTTGGTGTGCTGCACCCATTAACTCATCATTTAACATTAGGTATTTCTCCTAATGCTATCCCTCCCCACCGCCCCTCCAACCCCACAACAGGCCCCAGTGTGTGATGTTCCCCTTCCTGTGTCCATGTGCTCTCATTGTTCAATTCCCACCTATGAGTGAGAACATGTGGTGTTTGGTTTTTTGTCCTTGCGATAGTTTGCTGAGAGTGATGGTTTCCAGCTTCATCCATGTCCCTACAAAGGACGTGAACTCATCATCTTTTATGGCTGCATAGTATTCCATGGTGTATATGTGCCACATTTTCTTAATCCAGTCTATCATTGTTGGACACTTGGGTTGGTTCCAAGTCTTTGCTATTGTGAATAGTGCTACAATAAACATACGTGTGCATGTGTCTTTATAGCAGCATGATTTATAATCCTTTGGGTATATACCCAGTCATGGGATGGTATATACTCAGTAATGGGATTGCTGGGTCAAATGATATTTCTAGTTCTAGATCCCTGAGGAATCGCCACACTGACTTCCACAATGGTTGAACTAGTTTACAGTCCCACCAACAGTGTAAAAGTGTTCCTATTTCTCCACATCCTCTCCAGCACCTGTTGTTTCCTGACTTTTAGATTTATTACATTACTGTGCAATAAATAACTAACATCTAGAATCTAACAAGAACACAGACAACTCAGCAACAACAACAAATAAATAAATTACACCATTAAAATGTGGGCAAAAGACATCAACAGACATTTTGTGAAGAAGATATTCAAATGGCCAAAAAGCATATGGAAATAAAAAGCTGAACAACATTAATCATTAGATAAATTAATATTAAAACAACAGTGAGACACAACTTTACATCAGTCAAAGTGCCTATTATTATGAAGTCAAAAAATTATAGATATGGATGAGAATTCAGAGAAAATGCATTTATACACTGTTGTTGGTAATGTAAATTAGTGCAACCTATGTGAAAAAAATTGTAAAGGCTTATCAAGCAACTAAAATAGATCTATCGTTCAATCAGCAATCCCACTCCATGATATGTACCCCAGAAAATAAATCACTGTTACAAAAAATGCCTGGTCTCAGAGCCAGTAATTCTTTGCCAAGGCCAATGCAGAGAAGAGTATTCCTAGGTTGTCTTCCTAGCTTTTTGTAGTTTGAAGTCTTAGTTAAAGCTATAATCCATTTTGAGTTAATTTTCTTTTTCATATGGTGATAGTCACGAGTCAAGTTCCCATCTTCTGCATATGGCTAGCAAGTTATCCCAGCACCATTTATTGACTAGGTTGTCTTTTCCCCATTGCTTGTTTATTTTTTTCAGGGTTGTCAAAAAACAGATGGTTGTGGGTGTGCAGCTTTATTTCTGAGTTTTCTATTCTATTTCATTTGTCTATGTGTTTATTCTTGTACAAGTACCAAACAGTTTTTGTTACTGTGGCTTTATAGTAGAGTTTGAAGTCAAATAGTGTGATGTCCCTGGCATTGTTCTTTTGGCTGAGGATTACTTTGGCTGTTTTTGTTCTTTTTTGGTTACATACAAATTTTAGAATACTTTTCTTATATTTCTAGAAGAATAAAACTGGTATTTTGATAATAACATTGAATCGATAAATATTGAAGGATAATATTGCCATTTTTGCAATATTATTTCTCCCATTCCATGAGCATGGAATTTTTTTTTCAATTTATTTGTTTACTTTCTGATTTCTTTCTGCAGTGTTTTGTAGTTCTTTTTTTTTTTTTGCTAAAGACTAGTTTACAAAATACTTTATTGAATCATCTTATTTTGGTTTGCAGTTTAGAGCAAGTTACTTAGATAAAATATATGTTCTCTACCTACTCAAGAGACATTAAGGATTTTCGTTGTAATTGTTTTTTTTAATTATACTTTAAGTTTTAGGGTACATGTGCACAATGTGCAGGTTTGTTACATATGTATACATGTGCCATGTTGGTCTGCTGCACCCATTAACTCATCATTTAGCATTACGTGTATCTCCTAATGCTATCCCTCCCTCCTCCCCCCACCCCACAACAGGCCCCGGTGTGTGATGTTCCCCTTCCTGTGTCCATGTGTTCTCATTGTTCAATTCTCACCTATGAGTGAGAATATGCGGTGTTTGGTTTTTTGTCCTTGCGATAGTTTGCTGAGAATGATGGTTTCCAGCTTCATCCATGTCCCTACAAAGGACATGAACTCATCATTTTTTATGGCTGCATAGTATTCCATGGTGTATATGTGCCACATTTTCTTAATCCAGTCTATCATTGTTGGACATCTGAGTTGGTTCCAAGTCTTTGCTATTGTGAATAGTGCCACAATAAACATACGTGTGCATGTGTTTTTATAGCAGCATGGTTTATAATCCTTTTGGTATATACCCAGTAATGGAATGGCTGGGTCAAATGGTATTTCTAGTTCTAGATCCCTGAGAAATTGCCATACTGACTTCCACAATGTTTGAACTAGTTTACAGTCCCACCAACAGTGTAAAAGTGTTCCTATTTCTCCACATCCTCTCCAGCACCTGTTGTTACCTGTTGTTTCCAAGGCTACAGTAACCAAAACAGCATGGTACTGGTACCAAACCAGAGATATAGACCAATGGAACAGAACAGAGCCCTCAGAAATAATGCCACATATCTACAACTATCTGATCTTTGACAAACCTGACAAAAACAAGAAATGGGGAAAGGATTCCCTATTTAATAAATGGTGCTGGGAAAACTGGCTAGCCATATGTAGAAAGCTGAAACTGGATCTCTTCCTTACACCTTATAGAAAAATTAATTCAAGATGGATTAAAAACTTAAATGTTAGACCTAAAACCATAGAAACCCTAGAAGAAAATCTAGGCAATACCATTCAGGACATAAGCATGGGCAAGGACTTCATGTCTAAAACACCAAAAGCAATGGCAACACAAGCCAAAATTGACAAATGGGATCTAATTAAACTAAAGAGCTTCTGCACAGCAAAAGAAACTACCAACAGAGTGAACAAGCAACCTAACGAATGGGAGAAAATGTTTGCAATCTACTCATCTGACAAAGGGCTAATGTCCAGAATCTACAATGAACTCAAACAAATTTACAAGAAAAAAACAAACAACCCCATCAAAAAGTGGGTGAAGGATATGAACAGACACTTCTCGAAAGAAGACATTTATGCAGTCAACAGACACATGAAAAACTGCTCATCATCACTCGCCATCAGAGAAATGCAAATCAAAACCACAATGAGATACCATCTCACACCAGCTAGAATGGCGATCATTAAAAAGTCAGGAAACAACATGTGCTGGAGAGGTTGTAGTTCTTCTTGTAGAGATCTTTCACCTCCTTGGTTAGCTGTATTCCTAGGTATTTCTTTTTTTGTAGATGTTGTAAGTGGGATCGTGTCATTTATTTTTCTCTATGCCTGGATGTCGTTGGTGTATAAAAAAGCTACTGATTTTCGTATATTTATTCTGTATCCTGAAACATTACTAAAGTTGTTTATCAATTCTAGGATTCTTTTGGCAGAGTCTATAGAATTTTCTATGCATAGGATCCTATCAACAGCAAAAATAGATAGTTTGAATTCTTATTTACTTGTGGGGATGCCTTTTATTTCTTTCTCTTGTTTGATTTCTCTGGCTAGAACATCCACTACTATGTTGAATAGGAGTGGTGAGAGTGGGTATTCTTGTTTTGTTCCAGTTATGAAGGGGAATGATTTGAGCTTTTGTTGATTCAGTATGGTGTCAGTTGTGGGTTTGTCATACATGGCTCTTATCATTTTAAGCTAAGTTTCTTTGATGTCTAGTCTGTTGAAGGTTTTTATCATGAAGAATGTTGAATCTTATTGAAAGTTTCTCTGGATCTATTGAGATAATTATATAGTTTTTGCTTTTGATTCTGCTTATGTGGTGGAGCACCTTTATTGATTTGTGTATGTTGAACTAGCCTTGCATGAAAGGAGTAAAATCTACTGGATCATAATGTAATAACTTTTTAATGTGCTGCTATATTCAATTTCCTAGTATTTTCTTGAAGATTTTTAGGTCTATCATCAGGAATATTGGTCTAAGATTTTCCTCTTTTGTGTATCTCCCAGATTTTTTGTTCCAAGGACACACAATAAGGAAAAGATTGCCTTTTTAACAAATGGTGTAAAAACTGAGCATCCATATGCAGAAAAAAATGAGACCTCATCTCATCTCATATACAAAAATCACCTAAAAATGTACTCAAGGCTTGGATATAATATGATATCTAAAATTGTAAACTCATAGAAGAAAACAGGGAAAAAAGAAGCTTTCCAGAGTTGATCTGGAAAATGATTTATTTGGATTCGACACCAAAATCATAGACAAATAAATTACTTGAAGCTATATATCTGACAAAGGGATCTATCTAAATGTGTAAAGAACCCATACAATAGCAAAAAAAACCCCTGATTTTTAAGAGGGCAAAACTGTACATAGACATTGTATTCAAGGGAAGACATATGCATGGCCAGCAGGACATGGAAAGGTGTTCCACATTGCTAATCATCAGGGGAATCCAAATCAAAACCACAATGAGATATCACCTCACGTTCATTACCATGACTATTATCACAGACACAAAAGATAACAAAATGCTGACAGTTAGCTGGTGAAAAGAGAATTATTCAGTGGAGTGGTAGTAAAAGTTATTTTATAAATTGAAAGTAAAACTATTACGTGATCTGGTGATCCCACTTCTGGCTGCGTATTCAAAGGAAATAAAATCAGTAAGTAAAAAATATGTTTATTACAAGATTATTCATAATGGCCTAGAATTTTTTTAAAGTTAGTGACCGTAGGTAAATGGGTGTATAAAGCAAATGTATACACATACAATGGAATATTATGTGACCTCTAAAAATAAGGAAATTATAACATTTCCAACAACATGGATGGGCCTGGAGAACATTATGCTAAGTGGAATAAGCCAGACACAGAAAGACAAATGCTGCATTATCTCATTTATATGGGGAATCTAAAATATTCAAATTCTTAGAAGCAGAGAGTAGAAAAGTGGTTCCCAGGGCTGGGAGGAGTGGAAATAGAATGATTCTTGTCAAGGGCATAAAGTTTCAGTTGTGCAGGTTGAATGGGTTCTGGAGGTCTAATGTAAAGCAATGGGACTATAGCTATCAACACTGTATTGCAAACTTGATCTCTGGTAAAGGGATAGATCTCAGGTGCTCTCATTGGACACACACATATAAATTAAAGGAAGAAAATGGCAAATGTAGGGTAACAGACATGCTAACTCCTTGGTCATAGTGAAAATTTCACAATTTATACCAAAATATCAAGTGGTGCACCTCAAATATATACAATTTTATTGTCAATTATAGTTCCATAAAGCTGAACAAATGAAGTTTACTTTTATGATGAAGAAATGGATATTTCCACATACTTTCTCAATAAAAATGAGAAAAGGTAAATAGAAAAACAAAAAATATGTGCAGCAGCTTTGCTTATGATGTTAATAAACCAGAAACAAATTAAAAGTGCATTGACAGGGAAATGGATCAGCTTACTGTCGTTTATTGTTAAATGCACTGACTCAAGTATAAAATTTCTCCCTCTCTCTCTCTCCCTCTCTCTTTATCCATATATATCAAAACTTTGAGATTTTATATCAGAGGCAGTCTGTTAAGTGAATAAATGACAATATACAGATGCAATTTTACATATGAAATAGCATAAATAAACGTCAAAAATAACAAAAGTAGCCCCTTACCAGAAAAGGGGTCTATAATGTTTGAATCCATTTATATGAAAATCAAAACATGAACAGTGAATCTACAGTGGCAGAAATCAAAACATTGTGTTAAATGTGGGAGCTGACTGGAAGCACAGAGAAGGTCGCTTGTGCTGGGGGAATGGGCCTCCTCTACATCCAACCTTGGCTGTTGGGGACAAGTGTGTTTACATTTGCCAGAAATCCTGTAATGGTACATTGCAGATCTATGCATTATTACTTATATTGAAATTACATCTCATGAAAATAAAAAATTTAAAAAATTATGTAAGAAAGTTTCAAATTCAATAAACAATGCAAATAATAAAATCATACTGAAAATGTGAACAATATAATATGAATTAATAAAATATACTAAACGATACCTGCTAGAATTAAATCCCAGAAATCAGAAAGATAAGGGTGACATCTGATAATAATAAGTTAATAAACACGTGTTTCATAGAGAAAACAAACTGGTCAAAAATATGTGGAATATGTATTTTGTTATTATCAAAAGTCGTTAAATAATTGAGATAATATTTTAACCTGTGTTATTAGTATTAATTATAGATATCATGTGTAAAATAATAACTGAGAACAACCTTTAGGGAAATAAGGATATTTGAGAGCACGTGTACGAAGTTAAATATAGTCTCAATGTTTTTCCAGATATTACTGCTGAAATTTCAAATTTTATCCTGGATTTCTAACAGAATCCTTACAGGCCCTTGGACAAATTAATTGTCAGAAACGACTTAGAAAAACAATCTCTAATATAGAGATATTGGTATCTCATTTCATAAAGAAATTTAAACTGTGTAATACATGTAAAGTCCTCAGAAGAAACCTTAGTACGTTGGAAAGGACTTACTCATAGTAGGTTGTGATGTTTATTGCTAAAATTATTACCTTGATTTTTGGGGGGAAAATTAAAGCAAAGCGTGATGAATTAAAGTGTGATGTTGCTTGTTTGGTACAACAAGGGGGTGAGGATAATGAAGAGCCCTGCGATCCCGAGGAGATGGCCTAATCCAAGGAGAGGGAGGCTCCAGGTCGTGTGGACTCTCACAGGGTGCCTGCTTCTGGCCTTCATGGAGCCCGTCTCAGAAGCCTGCGGGAGGCAGGCGTATGGATGGGTTTATCAGGACAATCCAATCAGCCATGGACAGGGGAAAAAAAGATTATGACCCAGGATGGATTAAATAACTGTCTTGAAAATTGACAAATTACGACTGTATCTATTTATGAGGTACAAAGCAATGTTTTGATATATTAATACAATATGGAATAATTAAATATAACTAATTAGCATATTAATCACCTCAAAATCTTTTCATTATTAGCATCAAGGCCATTTGAAATGTATCGTAGCTATTTTGAAATGACCAATATATTATGTTTCAGTAAAGAAATAGATATTAATTAATATAAACAATATAAAATTATTGAAATCAATTATGCATTACTCTGATAATTTATATTTAGTTCATCAGTAAGTTTGATCGTTTAGGATATATTTTAAAAATTATCTTATTATAATGTTAAATATAAGTCACTATACATTTATGCACAGGTTTGTGGCATTTAGACCTACGTCTACAGGTGTAAATTTATGCTCTCATAGCTATGTAGTTGCTCATAGCAATAGATGTTAATGAAACTCTGGAAGAATAACTGCAAATGAAAGTAAACAGTTTTAAAAAATAACACTACATAAAAGGTTTAAAATTATTAAAACTTAAATACCAATGATAATAAATACATACTAATAACTGTATGAAAATGTAGCAACCTGTAAGACTCCAGAGTTCTGAAAACACAAACCTGACTTCTCCAGCTGAGGAGAAAGAAAACCTACCGCTGCACCTGTTCCTGGGACCTGTCCCGCCCTCAGTGAGTCCCGAGCGCCCCCTGGTAGCCCCGCGCGCCCCTGCAGGGAGGTTTGTGTCCGGGCTCACACTGACCTCCCCTCACTGTGTGTCTAGTACAGTAATACACGGCCGTGTCCTCGGTTTTCAGGCTGTTCATTTGCAGATACGCCGTGTTCTTTGAATCATCTCTGGAGATGGTGAACCTGCCTTTCACCGACGCAGCATATGCTGTCGCGTAACTGTTAGCTTTGCTTCTAATACGGCCAACCCACTCCAGCCCTTTCCCGGAAGCCTGGCGGACCCAGTGCATAGCAGAGCCACTGAAGGTGAACCCAGAGGCTGCACAGGAGAGTTTCAGGGACCCCCCAGGCTGGACCAAGCCTCCCCCGGACTCCACCAGCTGCACCTCACACTGGACACCTGCAAACACAGAGACACCCTGGTCAGAAAGTGCCACACACGTCCACTGTTTCTCTCACTCATGTCCACTCACACTCAGTATCTCTAGTTCCCCATGAATCACCTTTTAAAATAGCAACAAGGAAAACCCAGCTCAGCCCAAACTCCATGGTGAGTCTCCTGTATTCAGTGCCGATCACCGAGTGGAGACAGCTGGGAATCCCAAGGCTGGAGCTCCTCTCCCAGAGCTGCAGGGTCAGGGCTGGGCTGCTTTTCATCAGCAAAAAGGGGGGTCTTATTTGCATGTCTTCTGCTACATAGCAAGGTCTGGGCTGGGACGCCTGACGAGAAGGCTGTGCACAGAGTAGATGAGGGTGTCCTGGGGGGTGATTGGTAGTAATCCTATCATTCAGGAAAATTTAATTTCATATTATGTGATTGTGTCTTGATATTCATTTAGGAGTAATCATCTTATTGCATTTTTTACATATTTGCACACTGTATTTCCCCTTATATTTTCTGAAGTCCCTTGGCTTGTCTGTTTGAGTGATGTCTCTTTCCTCGACACTGTGAAGGGTATGATGTCATCGTTCACAGGTGCAGTCCTGGATGTACACGCAGTTTCCACGGAAATGCTGTCATTTGGCAGTGTTGCCTTCGACAGCCTAATTACCTGATTGTTCTACTTGACCATTTGTGTCTCTTAACAAACCATGTAGATGTTACACTGTGCTCATTTCTGACATGTGACACTGTTTTGTAGCATAAATCGTTCAACAATCTGGTGCAATTAAATTTGGGCTTCTTTCCGGGGACCATTTTTGAGGATTGTTCTGACCCCAAAATAGCACTGATTTTTTTCAAGAAATTAAGTCTAGCTATGTTTCCAGGCTGCGCTTGAAATCCTGGGCTCAAGTGATCCTCTCACCTCAAACTCCCAAGTAAATTCAACTGCAGGCAGAGCCACAGTGCCCAGCTGGTTATTCTTAAATTATAGGTTTTCTAATTCTCTCTGTTAAAATGAGTGGACTATTGATTTCTATATTGCTGTCATGGAGCTGTCAGGTTTCTATTAATTACTTACCATGAAAACCACTAACATTTTAGATGAACTTTAGGGTTGAAACTATTCTCATTCTACTGCAAATCTGGTCACGCCCTTTAGAGAGAGCTTTCTATCACTGTTTTTATGCCCTGACTGTATCACTAGAAAAACATGCCAGTCTCTACCTTGGTGCAGAAGAAAGGGTTCAAGCAGCTCAGAAGGACACTCCTGCTTTAAGTACAGAAAACTGCATGGAAGTGATGGACTTGTATGATCTCACTGTTCCTCTCCCAGGAAGCTCCCAGAACCTCTGCCCTACAAGTGAGCTGGGGTGAGAATAATCGGGGTCCACCTGTTCTTGGTCTATAACACCTGACATGGAAACTATGTCTTGTGAGTGAGGCTGGGAGGAGAAAGGCATCCATCAAATCACAGGCAGGAATTTAGTCTCCACCATAAAGATCTGACATCATGACCTCAACTGAGATCTGGGGGAGAGGGAAGCACCACCTTCTTGTCAGTTCAGCCCAAGGTCAAGATTCTGTGATCCTGAGATGTAAAGAAGAGGTAATGCTCTTCTCTCAAGTATTGTGATCCTCACTGCACTTGCTAAGACTGTTTGAGTTGCTATAAGAGGATATCATGGACTGGGTGGCTCAGAAATAACATAAATGCATTTGTCCCAATTTTCAAGGCTGGGAAGTTCAAGATAAAGATGACTTAAAGATTGGTATCTGGTGATGTCCCAATTCTTTATTTATAGATTGCCACCTTCCTACTGTGACCACACCTGGTGGAAGGAAAGAGGGAGCTCTCTGGGGTATTGTATCAGGACGCTGATTCCATTCATGAAACGGAGCCTCAACACCTTTCAAAGGAGACCAAAGGCCCCACCTCCTGCCACCGTCACGATGGAGTTGAGATTCCAACATATGCCTTGTGGGGGGTCATAACCCTTCAGTCAACAGGAGGACTTTATGTCAGTCAATGGATTTCATTTACTGTGTGTTCTCAGAATAATTTTCCTTGATAGTACAGGTTGGGTTTCTATAATTTTTACCAGATTAGGTTGTCTCTTTGGAAATCTTGAAGTTTCTCACACCATCACACTGGTAATGAGATAACTCTATTTATATTCGTGATTGAAGCTTCCTCATTAGGGCCATAAGCATTTGGAATGTTCTTCTCTTAAATCATTTGCCGTGATGGAATAAACTTGTCCCCCCTCATCAGTATTATCATTTGTTCAGAAATACACTTTTTATATTTTAATATTGCAAATCCACCTTTCCTTTATCTTTCTTTAACATGGTGTCTTTCTTTATGTTTTAAAATTTGTAACTGATTATGTTTAAATTTTAGGGTAATTTTAGATTTTAAGGCAAGCCCCCTAGAGTAAGGTGTGTTCTCATGTACAACTTTCCAGGGTTCCCATACACTGATCCACACTCTACCAAGGCTGGGTCTCTCTCCGGCCATCTACGGGGCTCACTCTCTGAACAGTGTTCTGCTATCCACTGTCTAGTCTGTGATCTCCACACTTCTTGGCCTGTCTGGGATCTCAGCTCCTTTTCCTCAACTTCAAATCTACCTGGTTCCTCTTCAGCACTGTGGCCTGGAAACTCTCTTTAAAAAGTAGCAAAGCATGCGTTCATCAGAGGGCTCCTTTTGTATATTTTCCCCACCTCAGCAATCACTGTCCTTGTTATTTGATGTAAAATACCTTAAAATCATGTTTAAAAAATTTCACTGTGTTTTACAGTTATTTCTGGTGGAAAGATACATCTGGTCTCTGTTGTTAAAACTTTTTTGAAATGATCATCTTGAACATAAATATTAGAGTCAATTTTATAATGTTCACCAAGATTTATCTTGGAATATATATATATATATATATATATATATATATTCAATTCTCAATTCCAGGAGACATCCCTGTAGGGATACATTATAAAGCTTATATATTTACATATTTGGTAGACTTAATATTATATCTAATTTTTAAAATAGTCAAAATACCTATATTTGTCACACAAGAAAGCACAAGTTCTACGATGCCCTAATAGAAAAACTTATTTGTCTTTCTATGGGTTCTTCCCAAGGAAATAGAGGGAGACATCTTAGGACACTGATCCAGGGGTGACTTCAGAGACCCTGCCCAGAATATGACCCAGGAGGGATGTGAGAGATTTCCATCTCTGTGATTGGCATTCTGTCTCCTTCACAGGAAAATCTGGGATCTTCCTCCATCCCTGGGGTGGACTACTTCACCATTCTAGACACTGAGGGACAGACAGGGTGTGGCAGGTCACAGACATCAAAGGCCACAGTGTGGATGAGGATCGAGGTGCTAACTTGCCCCAGTGATAATAGAGATCCCCATGGGGCAAAGTCCCAGCAGATGATCCCAACCATGTGGGGATATGTGTGCCTGTCTGAGAGAAGCATCCACATGGGGACAGTGTGTGCCTGTCTGAGAATGAAGGCTCATTCATGAAGGTGTCTACCTAGACTGAGATTGTGTTTGGGGAAAATTTTTCTCACTCAGGAGATGAGAAACTTGAGTGATTTGTTTTTGGAAAAGAAAAATAGATCATGTAGAAACCCCATGTAGGAAGAGTCACTGGATAATATTTGTCAAAACACAGTTCATTTAGAAGGAATTTCCTGTTCATGTCCTTTGCAGGGACATTGATGAAGCTGGAAACCATCATTCTCAGCAAACTAACACAGGAACAGAAAACCAAACACTGCATGTTCTCACTCATAAGTGGGAGTTGAAGAATGAGAACACATGGACACAGGGAGGGGAACATCACACACTGGGGCCTGTTGGGGGGTGGGGGGCTAGGGGAGGGATAGCATTAGGAGTAATACCTAATGTCGATGACGGGTTGATGAGTGCAGCAAACCACCATGGCACTTGTATACCTATGTAACAAACATGCACATTCTGCACATGTACCCCAGAACTTAAAGTATGATAAAAAAGGACATTCCTATCTAAGAAGGAAAGCAATGTCTCCTTATAGCCTAAATACTGCCATAACTTGTCCTAGGCCACTTACAACATGAATATTGATATGCTTTATAGATTAACTGGATACCAAAGATAATGGTGCCATTTATTTTTCTGATACTTCACTAATACTTTATTATTTGAACAGTCCTCACTTAGAGACCTTTTCATTAAAATGTAATTTTTAATTGAATAAGCACTTCTACCATGAGACAAACTGTCTTCCTGGTGACTAAATATCCATCTCGATTTTGATATAATGCCCATGATGTTGACGATTAAGTTGGCATTCTCAGAAAAAATTGACCCAGGTTCAAGGGGCTAACTGCAAATTCATATTTATGTCTGTTTTGCTTCAAGACAAGAAGGACGTGAGTTACAGACAACCTAGTGGGTGGTCTCCTGAGGGCTCCATGCTGTGAAGGAAAAGAAGGCAACCCTAGATGGTGGTCAGAGGTTCCCTGGCTGGTTCCTCTCCGCACCTGCTCTTCCCTGGGGTTCTGCCTTGGGTGAGTTCTGAGCATCTCCTGCTGGTCCTGTGCTGCCCATGAAGTCCAGGTAAAGGAAATCTTGGAGATCTTCTTCTGAGATGCCAAGTTGTATGTCTGGTTCCTGGAAAATAGCACAGTAACGCTGGGAGCTGCACCTTGGATATCACCCATGTGACCTGGCCTGTGTAGTGAGCTTCCTCCAAGCCCAGAGACGGGATTGGCTGGGTGGCTCTCCCTTCAGACATTACTGGAGGCAATTTTCTGCAAATCTAATTGTAGTTTCACTATACAATTCAGCAATCATGTTTTTACTAATGTACTTAACTGACTATGTCCACTCAGTGAACCACACATGGCTGTTCATTTATATTTCCCAAATACTGGGCACATTAAAAAACATCCTGAGTAGTTCAGCAAATTATAGGATTTGAATCAGGAAACTAGGTGGTAACATTTTCTATAACCAAACTTATGAACAAAAAAGATAAGAAAATGAGGTCGCAAAAATAGAGCTTGCATTATTACCTGGAATCTGGTAGTGGTAATTTACATAATGGAGCTGCAGTGAGAAAGGTTACCAGGTGACCTCATTCTGAACCCGTCTTTAGAGCTGACCAGCAATCACCAGGAGTGGGGCAGCCCATAATTCCCCCACATAGAAAGACACCCCAACTCAATAAAACTGCACTTGGGGTCTCTGCAGCCTCTGAGGTGTGCAGGAGCAGCTCCCACCCCAAAGTTTGCAGTCAGTCAAGTCTCCACTCTTTCCCTTGGGGCATGAGAGATAGTGTAGATGAGGTCCAGACATGCTCTACTCAAGGTCTCTGCACATGGCTAAAAAGGCAGGTGTGAAATTCATGTCCTCAATCCATGAAACAATACCCATGAAAAATGTAACTCTGTTCCAGGACATCATGCAGAATGAAGAAATAATGCAATTGTGGTAAATTTGGAAATTACAATTGTTTGTGGACTGCACATTTTTTCATATGCCTTCCAATAAATCAGGTGAAAACGTGTATTCTGTATAAAAATCCACAGTGTGTTAGCTCTGGGAATGCACCTTCCTCTCTCCACCTACAGGCAGAACAGTGCACTTGGATCATGCACCCAGCTCCTGCTCTCTGACGTCCATGACGTGGCTCATGCTAAATCCCATATCCTGTGCTCCTTTCTCAGGAATAGAGTGAGCCTTGCACTCATCTGGGGCAGAGTCATTGCTGGGAGTGATGGGGGTTTCCTGAGGGGCAACTTTGACTTGCAGGAGACTCAGTGATAATCTGGAGTTTCTTTGCACAGCACAGAAATGTAGGAAAGTTCCACCCAATCCTGCCTCCCTCTCTCCTTCACTCAGGGACAGGCTTCCATCATATGCCATCAGCTTCCCAGCCTCATTTACCCTCCATGCATTTTCCCTCAAAAGGGTGGATGCCCTCCTTCGACCAATGCATGCACACTTAATCGGCTAATGGAGATTTATGCTCAGAAGACCAATAATAATATACATATATTTGCAAAATTATTTATAACATGAGTCTGATTCTATTGTCAAATATAAAATATTAATTAATATTAAATCAATATTGCATTGATTAATATTAGTATTAAAATATTAATCAATATAAAATATTAATCATGGTAATAATTGATTTTGTGTGTCACCTTGACTAGGACATAGTCTCAATTATTCAATCAAACACTAATCTAGGTGTTGCTCTGATGTATAATACAGGTGTTATTAAAGCCTGTCATCACTTCTCTAGGTCAGGAAGATTGTCCTAGATGAACTTGGTCGGTCTGGTTTAATCCTAGCAGAGGAGAAGACAATGGAACTCTATGGTAGACAGCAGCTGTAGGACTTCCCAGGAATTCCGTCCTGTCTTTCCTTTTGGCCAGCTCCATTGGCTCTGGCTGTGCCCACCCAGACCTCACGATTGCCATCATGCAGAGCTCACAGCCCAATAAAGTGTCCATCCTCAGCTCTCCCAAAAATCCACAAGTGAGAGTGGGGGCTCTGTGACAGGGTGAGAAGCACAAGATCAGCTCTACAACAGTATCCCATTTGAGGAAACGACTATGAGTGTCCACTTGCATTTCCCAAATGCATCCACGCATAGAAGACAGCAGGGGCATGCAGGCACCAGGGAATGAGAAAGATCCCTCAGCCTGCCAGGTCCACAGGAGCCATAGCCAGAGCCACACCTGAGTTCCAGGTAATGCATCTGAGGCCTGTGGTTTAGACCACAGGAAGCACACCCTCCATTTTCAGAATGAAGGTGAAAAGGGAAGTGTAAGAATGAAGCCTAGAGAAAAGGAAAATGGATTACAGAGAAAGGACCAAATGGGTCAGTTCTGAGTTAGATGTTCAGTTTTAAAGGACGATGGGGTTACTGTGAAAACTGTCAGGATTCTAAGGACCCTGGCCCTGGGTGAGCCTCCCTCTTGGTCCCAATCTGAATCCCAAAGCCTGTTCCAATCAGAGATTCCCACGGAGACGCCTGCCCTGAGTCTGATTGAAAAACACTTCCCAGGTCCTCCTGGGCTTCCTCGGGACTCTGATTCTGGTGACCAGGGCAGGGTCATTTCTGTCCCCAAAGTGACACTCGGGCTTCTGTGGAGGTGAGAATGTGTCCTCTTGTCACAAAAACAAAGACACACCAGGGAAGGAAAGTGTCACATTCAGAGACATTAAACGTAAGTACAGAATTGTAAATCTGAAAGGTTCTCTGAGGAAACTTGATGAATCAGCCCCAGATGCTGAGAGAAAATCAGCCTTTAGCACCACCAGCCGCTGCCACGGAGAGCAGCCCAGTTCACAGGGCCCAGGACACCCCCTCGTGGTCTCAGATGCCCCTGCAGCGAGGTTTGTGTCTGGGCTCACATTGACTTCCCCTCACTGTGTCTCTTGCACAGTAATACACAGCCGTGTCCTCGGCTCTCAGACTGTTCATTTGCAGATACAGCGTGTTCTTGGCGTTGTCTCTGGAGATGGTGAATCGGCCCTTCACGGAGTCCGCGTAGCTTGTGCTACTCCCATCACTATTAATACGTGAGACCCACACCAGCCCCTTCCCTGGAGCTTGGCGGACCCAGTGCATCCAGTAGCTACTGAAGGTGAATCCAGAGGCTGCACAGGAGAGTCTCAGGGACCCCCCAGGCTGAACTAAGCCTCCCCCGGACTCCACCAGCTGCACCTCACACTGGACACCTGCAAACACAGAGACACCCTGGTCAGAAACTGCCACACACATCCACTGCTTATCTCACTCATGTCCATTCACACTCCATATCTCCAGTTCTCCATGAATCACCTTTTAAAATAGCAACAAGGAAAACCCAGCTCAGCCCAAACTCCATGGTGAGTTCTCTGTGTGCAGTCCTGATCAGCAAGCAGAAACAGCTGGGAATCCCAGGGCTGGGGCTCCTCTCCCAGAGCTGCAGGGCTGGTTTTCTTCAGCAGAGTGAGGGCCCTATTTGCATGTCTCCTACTATATATCAAGCTCTGGGGTGAGACACCTGAAGAAAGAGCAGGACCCAGGGCAGATGAAAGTGTCCTGAGGAAGATGGGTGACAACAATGGGATTTGAGAAATTGTGCTTATTATGAAACTGTGCTGTGATAAAATCTTCACACTGATCACCTTATTTCAGATTTACCTATGTGTGTAAATTATGTTCTGTAAGAGTCAATGTTCTCTACTTACAGATGTAAGATAAATCCACACATGGATGGGCTCTCTGTGTATCTAAGAGCTCATGTCTGGGATGAGTGAGTTCTGGTATCTGGGCCTGCACTTCTCACCACTGGCCCTGACTCCTCCCTTAGCCAACTCCAGGACACAGCCGGCCAGGCCTAGTGTGGTTTGCAGAAGCCACTGCCTAATCAGAATATGGATGATTTTCCTGCACTCTCCTGTTTACCTTAAACTATGGAGAGAACTAGGGTTCAGGTAGATAAACTTTCAGGTATCTCTGACATTCAACATACTCATATCTATCTTTCTGTCACTCCTACATTGTCTAATTTTCAACTTGTTTCCTCATAATACATTTTATAAGATTTGATTGACAGATTATAAACTTTACATATTTAAAGTGTAAAACTGATAATCATGGCATAACTATTACCATTATAAGGAAGGTGGACAAGTGAAATTCCCTCAACTTCTTTTCTGTCCTTCTACTTCCTATTTCTATTTCCTTATCCTTTCTCCTTCCCTTCTGCCAACATATTCCCAGGAAACTACTAATCTTCTTTATATTACTTTAGATCAGTTTTCATTTTCCAGAATTTTTAAAAATAGAATCATACATACTCTTATTTGTTTGGCTTATTTTACTCAATTTAAATACTTGATAATTTTATCTTCTTATTTTGTGTATCAGACATTCCCTTATTATGAATGATGGGTAATATTCCAGCGAACAATGTTACCATGATTTGTTTTTCTATTAGGCAGCTGATAAATATTTGGATTCTTTTATTATTTTTGGTGTTAATAAAAATTTTGTTATTCAGGTTTGAAATGTACATAGATGAGAATTTCTTTTTTTTACAACAAGAATAAAATCAACAATAACTGTTAATCAGAGAAAATGGACTTTTGCAAATTTTCTTTAATACTTCAGATCATTGAAATTTTAAGACAATCAACAAATCTGAAATCTAGAGAGAGACAAGTTTTTGTAGGGAGAATCAAAGCTAGAGTATGAGCTGAACTGGGGCAGAGTTCACCAAATGCAATAAAGGCTAGTACAAGATAAAATACACTAATATACATTGAACTGTTTTGAGTCGAGTGTGATAAGCATGTTTTTAGTGAGAAATTCTCAGGAACCACATACTGGAGAGTTTTTCTATTCTTTTGAATGCCTTTCCCTTATAATGAGAATAGTCACAAAAATCTTCCCTTCCCAAAGTGTCTGTCTGGGGTGTATCAGAGCCCACACTTCTGAAATGCTTCCAGAGCCAAGTCTCTTACACCCACTAGAGAACTAAGAAATTACTCAACAGGGGCAAACCACCAAAACCAGTATCCTAAATGCACTGGTTTAACCCCTCAGGAACTGAGATGGGAACAGAGCTCCCCAGCAAGGTTCTACTGGGAAGCAGCTCCCCTCTCTTACGGAATCAGAGCCTTAGTCTGCAGAGCAGGGCAGCAGAGCTGGAAGGTGATGACACCGATGGAGAACACTGCAGCTGTGGGAGGGAACGCCAGGGAAACAGGGGGCTCCACTCCGGGGGAAGGGGAGCTGCGGAGCAAGGCAGAAAGGAGCCCCCATGTCAAACTTCGGGGTTCCAGGGAGGGAAGTGGAAGTGGCGCCTCCTTGAAAACCCGGGCAGCGGAGCAGCCGCTGTGCCCACCCCGCCTAGGGTGCGGGGTTCCTGGGCCTTGGGAGGTTCTGTGCAGGCTGCTTGGGCCGCGTCCCCAGGGTTCAGCCGCATGTCAGGGTGACCATGGAGGCCGCCACTCCCGACTACGGGCCGGGGTCGTCATCAGCTCTGCCCGGGCCTCCCTGAGCACCGGGGCAATGCGGGGAGCTTGTGGAGATGTCACTCCTGCCCTGGACGCCGGCCAGGGCCCAGAGAGGATCAGGAGCCCCTGCCCAGGCTGCAAGGAGGGGTGGAGGGGCTGATGCTCCTCGGAGCCGGTGGGAGCCAGGAGCAGGCAGCAGCTCTCATCTCTCAGGTGCGGCTCCAGCTGCGCAAACCAGGGCAGTGGGCTCGGACTCTGTGCTCTTGGAGGTCGAGGAACAGGAAGGAGCCCTGCCTCCCCGGCTGTGGCTGCAGCCTCCCAAACTGCGGCTGAAGACACGGGCCTCTCGCTCCATGAAGCCGGCAGAAGCCCTGCTCCGCAAACCGGGGGCTGCGGCCTCAGGCGCCCCTGCACTCTTGGGGTCCCCAGGAAAAGCCCTGTGCTCTTGCATGCTCCGAAGTGCCTGCTCCCACTTCCTGGCTTCTTCCTGCTGCTGGTGCCTGCTCTGATCTTGGAGCAAAGTCAGGGCGGAGCCCCAGGGACCATGAACTACAACAGGAGGCAGGAAGATTCCTGTGCACAGGGGCGGGTCCCCAGGAAGGGCCTGAAGGCTGGGCCGGGGCTCCCAGATCCTCAGACCAGAGTCGGGACTTGTGGTGCTTCCTACGGCCCACCCATGAGCACCCATGGACCAATGGGCTTGCACTTCCTCCCCTCGGAGGTCCGTAAAAACCCCTGGCCTCAGCTGGAGCAGGACAGAGGATGGAGAGACGACAGGACGACCAGCTGCAGGGAGGAGCTACCCTCTCTCCTGAGAAATGGGAAGACCACAGGACGACCAGCTGCAGGGAGGAGCTACCCTCTCTCCTGAGAACTGGGAAGACCACAGGACGACCGGCTGCAGGGAGGAGCTACCCTCTCTGCTTAGAGCTGAACACTCAACCAGTCTACCTGCCTACAGAGAGGAGCTACTCACTGGGGGTCTCCTCTGAGATGCTCTAATGCTTAATGAAGCTAGGCTTTGTCTTGCTTACCCTCCACATGGCTGCATACTTCATTCTTTCCACATGTAGGACAAGAACTCAGGCAAAAGTGCCACTGGCCACAGAGGGTTCTGGCCAGAAAAAGCAACACCCCAGTGACTCAGAAACAACCGTAGTGAATACTGTTGGCCATGGAAACATAGTAGTAATTATTTGTGTATCTAAACATAAAGAGATATAGATAAGTAAGGAAGTATAGCACCGTGGAACCACCATCTGTTACTGGCAGAAACTTTGTTATGCAGCAAATAACTGGATTTAAATTTCTGGGGGGAAAAAGCAGCCAACCAAGAACCTAAAATTGATAAAACATCTCTTATGAAATGAAGGATAGAGAAATACTTCCCAGACAAAGGAAAACTGAGGAAATTCATCATCACTAGAATTACCTCACAAGAAATGTCAAAGGATCTCAACTAGGTACCCAGTAGATTGAAGCTCCTGTTTCAGCCCCACCCTGGCATCTACCATGTGATTGTTCTGTGTAGATTTGGTTTATGCTGTCTTAGGGTTTTTCCTCTCTTGAGTCATATCTCCCTTCCCCTCCTTATTTTCAGTCTATCACCACAATTCATATTTAGCCAAGAACAGCGGAGCCTTTGGAAGAGATTCCTATCTTTCCTTCACCAGGTCTAATGAGCTCTCTTCATGGGTGTCCATCTCTGTTTTGCTTTCTCGCATTCCCGTGGGATGATGGCCTTGTTCCTATTTCAGCCCTGCCCACATTTTCATATACATGAGCCATCCTACAACCGCCCATCCAGGAACATCTGGAGGGAATGGACCTTACCACATGCCTCATCAGCGTCCATGTGCATGGTGATCATTCCTTCAGCTTTCACACATGCTCTAGGGCTTCCCACTCAAAAGTGCCTTTCACCACCCTCCAAAACTGCAGCTCTTACACCCTCAATAACTCCGAGAGAGATTCACCTTTCTGCTCCTCTGTAACATAACACCGTGAACTGTTCCCCAGTCTCACTAAATCTATACACAAGTCACCTTGTCTTTATTTGAAGCACTTTGTGGATGGGTTCTTACACATCATGGTTCATCTTGCAGTGTTTTGTGTAGGTAAAGGTGGCAGTGAAGTCAACTGGCAGTCACACAACACCTGACTCTTGAGCCCACAGGAGCACTGACCATAACAATGGAAAATAATTAAAATATGCTGAAAATATGCTATATAACTCTGAGTGCTTAAAGAAACTGTGAACAAAAACAACAAATAAAAAGTGAGGATCATATGCAGAAAATATCTACAGAAAGGTTGTAACTGTAGTTGTGCTCATTTTATCAACAGGGTGATTTCTGAGCAACACATGAAGCTTCCAATGTGGAATCATTTTTACTGACATAACATAAAGCAACAAAATATCAGTTTTGCGGGGTGATTAGAACAAGGGAGTGACTTGTAGTATTTGAGGTAAAAAGGTAAACAGATCCTACACAACACTGGATCTTATGGCATTGTTTCCATTTAGTGTGGAATGCACAATTCAGTAGCTCTTTATCTCAACATGATTTATTTATCAGGACTCTTCTTACTATCATTGAATTATATATTATTTGAAGGAAAATAAATATTCAGGTGACAATTATTGTTTCTATAGTTCATGTCCAATTTCAATTATTTATGTTTTATGGATATTTCTTGACTATTTTATGGGAGTGAAAACATGTGGTGTTTAGCTTTCTGTTCCTGGCTCTTTCAATTAACATAGAGTCTTATATGTTACATGCAAGTTTCTATGAGTGACACAATTTAATCTTTCATGGCTGTGTAGAATTCCATTATGTACATATTCCACATCATCTTTCTCTACTCACCTTATATTGAACACTTCGGTTGATTCAATTACTTGGCTACTGTGAACAGGGCTGCAATAAACATGGGAGTGAAGAAATCTCATCAAAATATTGATTTTCCTCTTCAATATATTAATTTCCTGTCCTTGGGACAAATGTTCAGTCGTAAAATTTCTGTATCATATGATTGTTGCATTTGTGGTTTTACTAACTTCTATACGTCTCTCCATAGTGGCTGTATGAGTGTACATTCTCATCAACAGTGTATACATGTCCCATTTTATCTTCATCCACATTAGCACTATTTTTATGTATTTGAATATGGCTATTCTGTCTGGGGTGAGATAATATTTCATTGTAGTTTAAATTTGTGCTTTCCTGATTATTAGCGATGGTGAGCATTTTTTCTCAAATATTTTCTGGCATCTTGTATGTGTTTCTTTGAGAAACGTCTGCTTATTTGGGTTAATTGTCTGTTATAAAATAAGATTATTTATATTTTTGTGGTTGAGACATTTATTTTTCTGGTATATTCTGGATATTAATAGCCTGTTTAATTAATAGTTTAAAATACATTTTACCACTTTTATGTTATCTATTCAATATTTGGATTATTTTACTGTGTAAACACTGTTTAGTTTGATAAAATTTAATTCGTTTGTGTTTTATTTAGTTGACTGTACTTTTGAGGTCTTATTTATAAAATTGTTTTCCAGACAGATTTCATGAAGCATTATTTCTAAGTTTTTAAGAGCAGCTTTATAGTTTTGGGTCTTCCATTTGAGTATTTAACTTATTTTTATTTCATTTTTATATACAGTTAAATGTGGGAATGTAAGTTCATTCATCTGCATATGGATATTCAGTTTTTCCCTACACAATTTACTGAGGATACTTTTCTTTTCACAATAAATATTTTTGGTGCCTCTGTTGCAAATAAGTTATCTATAAATATATGGATTAATGTCTTGGTTTCTCTACTTTTTTCCATGGATTTTTATGCCAGCACTACGCTGTTTTTGTTATTACAGTTTTATAATTTTTTTTGAAATCTGGTTGTTAATACCTCCACCTCTGTTTTTTATCCACAAGACTGCATTAGTCATTTGGGGTATTTTCAATTGTATACAAATTTTAATAATGCTTTTTAATATTTCTGTGAATAATGCCATTGGTATTTTCATAGAGATGACATTGAATATGTAGATTGTCATGTGCATTATGGTCATTCTAACAATATAAATTATTCCAGTTCATGAATACAGATTGTCCTTCTTATTTTGTGTTTGTCTCATTCAATTAATTATATCAGTGTTTCATAGTTTGTTCATTTACGGATTTTCACCTCCTTGGTGAAATGTATTCCTAGGTGTTTAATAGTTTTTGTAGTTACTGAAAATGGGATTTCTTGATTTTTTTTACCTAGTTTATTGTTTGTGTATAGAAACCCCACTGAGATTTCTATGTTGATATTGTATCTTGAAACTTTACTAAATTCATCAGCTCTAAGAGCATTTACAAGAGTCTTTAGTATATATATGATTATGTCATCTGAAATTAGAGGTAATTTGGCTACCTTTTTTCTAATTGTAATCCCCTTTATTTCTTTCTCTTGTCTAACTGCTCTGGCTAGTACCTTCAGTACTGTGTTGAATAAGTGCTGAGAGTTGGCTTCCTTGTCTTTTCCAGTTTTCAGAAGAAAAGCATTAAACTTTTTTTCTGTTAAGTATGATGTTAGCTATGAACTTGTCATGTGGTCTTATTGTGTTGTTCTTTCTACACATAATTGAGAGTTTTTTTCATGAAGAGGTTTTGAGTTTTATAAAGTACTTATTCTGCATCTATTAAAGTAAAAATATGTTTTTCATCCTTGTCGTATATACGTGATATATCATGTTTATTCACTTGTGTATATTAAAGCATAATTGAATCCCTGGGTTGAATTCTACTTTGTCATGCTGTATTAGTATTAGTATTAGTATTTAAATGCTGTTTGATTTGCTGTGCTAGTAATTTGGGTTTTTTTATTTATGTTCAATAGGATATAGATTTTTTAAGTGAGTCCCTCTCATTACTTTTTATTGGTCTGTTAAGGCTTTCTATTTTTTCCTTTTTCAATCTTGTCAGGTAGTATATGGCCAGGAATGTATCCAATTCCTCTAGGTTTTCACATTTATCACATAATTTATTATAGTATTTCCTAATTTATTTTAATTCTGGGATATCAGTTGAGACATCTTCTGTTTCTACCTCATTTATTCATGTCTTAGCTCTTTATATTTTTTTTGTTAGCCCAGCTAATGGCTTTCAATTTTGCTTATCTTTTTTAAAAAGACTATTGCTATTTTAATATTTTCTGGTATTTTTAGTCTTAATTCCATTTATATCTAATCTGCTCTTTATTGTTTTTAAAAATAATTTTGAATTTAGCTTTTTCTTGTTCTTCAAGTTCTCTAACATGCATTGTTATTTTGATTAATTAAGATATTTCTACTTTTTGATGTGGGCATTTATTGCTCTAAACTTGCCTCATAATAGTGATTTGACTAAACGCCATAAGATTTGGTATGTTGTGTTTCTTTGTTTGTTTCATACATTTTTTATTTTCTTCTTAATGTCTTCTTTCACCCATTGGCCATGTAAGAGTGATTTGTTTAATTTTTGTGTTTATATTTTTTTGAAATTTTCTCCAGGCTGGGTGGTGGCTCATGCCTGTAGTCCCGGCACTTTGGAGGCCGAGGCTGGTGGATGACTTTAGGTCAGGATTTCAAGACCAGCCTGGCCAACATGGTGAAACCCCCTCTCTACTAAACATACCAAAATTAGCCAGGAGTGGTGGCAGGTGCCTGTAATTTCAGCTTATCAGGAGGCTGAGGCAGGAGAATGGTTTGAACTCGGAAGGTGGAGGTTGTAGTGAGCCGAGATTCTGTCACTGCACTCCAGCCTGGGATACAGAGAAAGAGTCTATCTCAAAAAAAAAAAAAAAAGAAGTTCCTCCAGTTACTGATGTTTAGTTTGATTCCATCTTTGACTCTATCTTAGTCAGATAAAACGTCGGTATAATTTTATTTAAATTTTTTGATACATTTTCTGTATTAATATATGATCAACTCTGAAGAGTATCACATGCGCTGAAGAAAAGAATATGTGTTCTGCATGAAAAAATGCTCACCATCACTGGCCACCAGAGAAATGCGAATCAAAACCACAATGAGATACCATCTCACACCAGTTAGAATGGCAATCATTAAAAAGTCAGGAAACAACAGGTGCTGGAGAGGATGTGGAGAAATAGGAACACTTTGACACTGTTGGTGGGACTGTAAACTAGTTCAACCATTGTGGAAGTCAGTGTGGCCATTCCTCAGGGATCTAGAACTGGAAATACCATTTGACCCAGCCATCCCATTACTGGGTATATACCCAAAGGACTATAAATCATGCTGCTATAAAGACACATGCACACGTATGTTTATTGCGGCACTATTCACAATAGCAAAGACTTGGAACCAACTCACATGTCCAACAATGATAGACTGGATTAAGAAAATGTGGCACATATACACCATGGAATACTATGCAGCCACAAAAAATGATGAGTTCATGTCCTTTGTAGGGACATGGATGAAACTGGAAATCATCATTCTCAGTAAACTATCGCAAGAACAAAAAACCAAACATATTCTCACTCACAGGTGGGAATTGAACAATGAGAACACATGGACACAGGAAGGGGAACATCACACTCTGGGGACTGTTGTGGGGTGGGGGGAGAGGGGAGGGATAGCTTTAGGAGATATACCTAATGCTAAATGACGAGTTGATGGGTGCAGCACACCAGCATGGCACATGTATACATATGTAACTAACCTGCACATTGTGCACATGTACCCTAAAACTTAAAGTATAATAATAATAAAAAAAGATAAATAAACACATCCATTTAATTCTTAAAAAAAAAAGAATATGTGTTCTGAAGTTGTTTGGTGCAATGGTCTGTAAATTCAGGTCCATTTGGAATATAGTGCAGTTTAAATCCAATGTTTGTCTGTTAATTTTTGGCTAGGTAACATATCCAATGCTAAATAACGTGTTAAATTCTCCAACTATAATTGTATAAGGTTAGTATCTATCCCTTACTATGTAATAGATTTGCTTTACATATTTGAGTTCTCAGGTGTGGGTACATATGTATATATGTGTGTGTGTATATATGTATATATATACAATTATGTGTTCTTGTTACATATATATAACATATATGTATATATGTATATTTACAGTTGTTACGTATTCTTGCTACATTGATCATTTTTTATTATATAATGTCCATTTTGGTCTCCCTTTACAGCATTTGACTTAAAATTTGTGTCTGATATAAGTAGAGCTATTTGTGCTGTTGGTTTCTATTTTTGTAGCATATCTTTTTTCCACCCACTCACTTTCAGTCTGTGTGTAGATTCTCAGATGATTTGAGTCTCTTGTAAGCAGCATAGAGTTGGGACTTTAATAAAATCAATTTTTATACTGTATTTTTAATTGAGGAATTTTATTACATAAGGTTATTATTTATAAGTATTTACTCAAATTATTTTCTTTATTGTTTTATGATTGTTTGTATATATGTATATATCTCTATCTTTGTTTATTCTCTTTCTGTTTGGTTTTATGATTTGATGTTGTTTTGTAGTAATAATGTTTGTTTCTTTTCTCCTTTTTTAATTGTTTCTACCATTGAAATATAGGTTTTGTGTGTTTTTTTCCAAGCTGATGGTTTTCATATGCTGGCTTTTATACAAAAATTCCCTTGAATATTTCTTGTATGACTGGTCAAGTGTGAAGAAAATATCTTAGTTTATCTCACCTGAGAAATAGTTTATTTCTCTTTCATTTCGGAGAGAAAGACCATCTGGGTACACTATTTCTGAATTGCAGATTTTTCTTACTGCTTTTTAATTTACATTCACCAATTTTACTAGAAACTCCTATAGATAACCAGATTCAAACATTGTGTTTGGATTATGTCAAAAACTAAAACTGTTTTTCATGATGACTACACCATTTTTTAGTTGCACCATTATGAAAAACAGTATAGCAGCTCATAAATAAATCAAAAATGGAAATACAATATGACTCAGCAAACGCTTCTCTGGAAATACAGGGAAAGGAAATAAAATCATGAACTTGTAAAGACACCTGTGCTCTTATATTAATTGCAGCTCTATTTATGGCAGCCAATATATAAAAACAACCTAAGTGTTAATGCACAAAGGGATGAAGTAAATGTGGTATAAGAAAACACTACAATATTATTCAGTCTGATAAAAAAGAGATGCTTCCATTTGCCACAGGCTAGTAGGACCCCCACCATCACTACCAATGCACCCCATCCATTCCAGCCCTTTCCTGGGCTGGCAGATTCAGGCCCAGTCATAAGCACTGTTTGTGATGTAGTGGCCAGAGAGAGCATAAGTGATGCAGAAGGTCAGTGTGGGCTCTTCTAGTCTGGGCCTGACTCCTGTAGCTGCTCCAAAGACAGGGCACCTGGAGATATGAATAATCAGTCTCTGCCAGTCATGTGCAACCACATTCAACCCATAGAGCAGGGCTTTACATCTGAGACAGATTGGTGAGTTGTCAACAGGCAAAAAAAAAAAAAAAAAAATCACAATAAAGTCATCTTTTTCATGAACACAACTCTGCATTTCACAAGTACTTTAGCACTATCTAAGGAGAGAGCTTTTAGCTTCCAGAATCCAAAAGTGTATTTTTTCCTAGAGCTTGAATAATAATTTTGATGTGGGACAGCCTTGTTCTTATAAGGCAGAGAAACTGAGATCAGATTCCTGCTGTATTTTAATATTTTGCCGATTTATTTTGTGGTTGTCTTGAAGCACTCATTGCCAAAAACTATTTCCACTGCAGTTATTAAAATTGGCTCAATTTTCATTTTTCTATCTGTGACATATGAGCTTTTATGTCAAGTGACTGACATGTACACCCTACAGAAAAAATTACAAAGTAACTCTGTGAGTCATTTGTAATTCTTAAATGCGACACTTCCATTACCATCAAGAATCTTCTGGAAAGCTTGTACTAAAAAGAAATAGTAAATAACATTCTTAAATTAAAACTAGCAAAACTTTAAGAAGCTATGAACTCCATTTTCCAAAGCTACTTGCACTAGCACTTATGACCCATGGTTCACTTCATCAGAAACACATCCAGTACCACTTTATGATTTGGAATGTGGAAGGTCTGTGCATTTTTTTCTTTTATCTCCAGTGTTAGCATCTGCTTTATCACATGCAGACACAGCAAAATATTTTAAGAGATTGATGTGTTAGGCAGAAACACTGAACAATACATTGAGTTTCCCTTTCCATCATATCTTCCTAAAAATTCTTTATATGGTGAAAAAGCTCCCATTCTTTATGTTGGAAGAAATATCAGAAAAAAAGAGCTTCAAAGATTGTCAAAAGGGCATTAATATTAACACTAAATGAAGCAATTACTTCACGGTATAAATTCTTAGGCAGTTAAAGTTAAAATAAGAAGGGCTAAGTAAGTTGCTAAGTTGCTTTGAGACAATTTTCCTGGGCTGCAAAGATTAATAACAAGGGTGGCAACAGTGGAAAGTTGGACTCACAGTACATGAGGACATATCCTTGTGGGGGTAGCTTTTTCCTAAAGTTGTGGTGGATTTTGTGCAAGGTTGTGTTTTTTAGGCTCTATTTGTGGTAGTTCTTGTTACCAAGTGTAAGTGTATGAGAACCCTGCTTCTATGGCCTTTCCCAGTCCCATTTGCAAAAGTTTTAACAAAAGTGACTCCGTTTTGATTCTGACAAAATTCAAAATTTCTTCTGGTTTGCACAACAAAGAATCAATTCCACAGTCACGTTTCACTCTCACCAAACAAGCTTATGCCCTTCAGTTCCCCTGGGCCACTCAAATTTCCACATGAGTCCCCATGAAACACGGTGGAGGGTCCCAAGCACTGGGGAAAGAAGAAAGCCCCATCAGCCTCTCCCATGCGGCTGCAGGAGCCACAGCCTGAGCCCCACCTGAGCTCCAGCGGAAGAGCTTGAGCCTTGGAATTTAGACCGCATGGACCACATCTTTCTTTTTCAGGGAGCAGAAAAGAAAACGAAAAAGTGACAACAGCTGAAAAGAAAGAAAATGGATTGACAGCAAAAAGTGCAGCAGATGAGTGCTGATACTGCTTTGCATAGTCTCATATCAGGAGAAGGGGCAGACGTGAAACCTGTGAGCTTGTACGTGACACTGACTCTGGCCCAGCCTCTTTCTTGGCTGGAATCAGAAAAATTCCAGCCTTTTTTAATCAGGGAATGAAACGTTTTAAATCAGGGAATTATAGCCTTTTTTAATCAGGGAATTAAACTTAGTTTCCTGTCCCGAATGTGATTGGAGAAGACCCACAAGGCACCCCTGAGCTTCCTCAGGACTCTGATCTTGGTGACCGTGGTTGAGAACTTCTCATGCCTGGAAGTGGTGATCTGCATTTTGTGCATGTGAGACTAGGCCTTTATATTACTACCTTTTAAAAGGTGTATATTTGGAGATTTTTTTGGTAGGCACAGAACTCTAAATTAGTGAGGTTCTCTGGGAAACTGTCAGTTGGAGAGGGAAGTTACAAACACTATGAGAAAACCAGCTCCTACCCTGTATCTGCATCTGCCTCTGAGGTTGAATCTGATCAGTGGGTCCTGAGCGCCCCCGTAGCTGATTTACTTCATGTGTTTCTGCAGAGAGGTTTGTGTCTGGGCTCAACCTGACTTCCCTTCACTGCGTCTCCAGCACAGTAATACGTGGCTGTGTACTCAGCTCTCAAACTGTTCATTTCCAGATAAGAGTGTGTTCTTGGCATTGTTTCTGGAGATGGGGAATCAGAACTTCCCAGAATGTGCATAGCGTATGCTACTCCCATCAGTACTAATACATGAGACCCACTCCAGTCTGTTCCCTGGAGCCTGGCAGGCCCAGTGCATCCAGTGGCTACTGAAGGCAAATCCAGAGGCTGCACAGGACAGTCTCAGGGACCCCCACCCCCACCGCGCCAGGCTGTACCAAGTCTCCCCCAGGCTCCAACAACTGCGCCTCACACTGGACACCCAAAAACACAGGGGCATCCTGGTCAGAAACTGGCACATATTTTCAGTGTTTCCTTAACTGTTATCCACTCACACTCAAAATCTCTAGTTCACCCTGAATCTACTTTTAAAATAGTAACAAGTAAATCCCAAGTCAGCACAAACCCCATGGTGAGTTCTCTGTTCAGTGCTAATCACCATGTGGAAAAACCTTGAAATTCCAGGGCTGGGTCTCCCATCCCAGAACTGTAGGGTGAGGGCAGGGCTGGTTTTCACCAAAGAAGGAGGGTCCTTTGCATATTTCCAACTACATAAAAAACTCTAGGGTGGGACACGTGAGGAGAAGGCATTGCCGAGAGAGGATGATGGTGTCCTGCAGGAGTTTGGTAACTTATGGTATTTAGAAGATTTGCACTTTTACGAGGAAATTGTGCTGTGATAAACAGCATCAAACACCTTATTATATTTTAAATATGTGTGTAAATTATGTCTGTGAGACTCAATGTTTCTCCATGTACGGATGTGAAAGTAAACCCACACACAGAGTGCCTATGTATGTGTCTAAGTGCTCATGTCTGAGATGAGTGAGTTCCGGTATCTGAGCCCGTGTTCCTCATCACTGTGTTCCCTGAACTAACTCCAGGACAGAGCGGGACATGTCTAGTGTGGCTTGCAGAACTTACTGCCTTAATGAAAATATTGTGACTCTGTTACACTCCAGCGTTCACCTAAAATTATGGAGAGAACTAAGGTTCACGCAGATAAATTTTCAGGTAACTGGCATTTAACATATGTTACCCATTTTCTATCAGTTCTTTTTGTCTAATTTTTTATTTGTTTGCTTGTAATAAACTTTATAAGGTCTAATTGAGAGATAATAAACTTCATATACTTAAAGTATACATTGATAAACATGACATAACTATCACCATTATCAAGAAAGTGGACAAGTGAATTCGCCTCAATTTTTTCTCCTGTTCCACATTTCCTCCTATCCCTTTCCCTTCTTCTACCATTTCCTCAGGCAACAACTGTTCTTCATTAAATTATTGTAGGTTAGTTTTCATTTTCCAGAATTTATAGAAATGGAATAATATAGCATATATACTTATTTTTTTGGCTTATTTTACTCAGCATAAATACCTAGATATTTTAGTTTGTTGTGTGTATCAGATATTTGTACATTATAAATGATGGGTAACAGTCCAGTGAACAAATTTACTATAATGATTTTTCCTATTAAGAAGCTAATTAATATGTGGACTCTTCTGTTATTCTGGGTTTTACCAAAAATATCTGCTACTCAGCTTGCAGAAGTACTTAGATAAGAAATATATATATTTTTGTATTTTACAACAACAACATCAACAATAACAGATGAACAGAAAATAAGAAACTTGGCAAATTGTCTTTCATACTTCAGATAATCGAAATTTTAAGACAAACAACAAATCTGAAATTTAGGGAGAGACAAGTTCTTGTAGAGAGTAACAAAGTCAGGGTATGAGATTACCTGAGGCAGAGTCTGCCATATGAAATATAGTCTATTTCAAGATAAGGCTTCAAATACATTAATTAGGTTGCTTAAAGTCAAGAGTGGTGAATGTGCTCTAGTGTAAAATTCTCAGGGACCAAATACTGAAGAGCTTTCTTATTCTCTTGAATATCTTTCCTGTAGAAATGGGACAACCACATAAATCGTTCTGTACTAAAGTGTCTGTCTGGGAGAGAATGACAGCCTGAACTTCTAAAACACATCCAGACCCACCTCCTCCCTTATCACCACTACAAAACTAAGAAATTACACTTTAGGGGAAAGCCTCTGAAACCGGTATCCGAAGGGCTGAAATAGATACTCTAGAGGATGGAACAAGGTAACAATACAAAGCCAAGCAGAAAATAAAAAGCTATTGTTGCTGTTGATACCGTAATCAGTTGGCTCTAGCTTAGGTAGATTGGCATTGATAACCTGGTTGGGTCTGATTCCAATCAGAAAAGAATGGGAGAAGATAAAATAGTATGGTGTTTCAGCACATTCAGCTCTCTCTGAGACTTCCAGCCTGCATTTATTTACGGTTGCTCTTATGAACATTGAACATGCCTACACATCTCTCATAATTATTATACCCTGTATCCCACAGAAAATTGGCAAGTCCATCTGCAGCTTGTCAAACCTGAATATCAGACAGAAAGAAACTCTAAAGTAAAGTGGTATTTATTTGAGAATTAGCATTGCAATGGGAATGTGCACGGGCACATTTCGGTAGGTAAATAAGGAAAGTGTTTTAAAGAAAAAATGAGGAGGGCCACATATGCGGTTTTGAGACACTTAACCTGGGATAAAATGATCAATAACCAGGGTGGCATCAGTGTAATATTGCACAGGCACCTCTGGGCAGATGTACTTGGAGAAGTAATTATTTTAAGGTTGTGCTGGCCTTTGTGCAAGGTTGTGGTTTTGCAGAATCTATTTATGACAGTTCTTGTTATGGAAGGCATGTGTATGAGAACCCTCCCTCATGGCCTTCCCAGCTCCATTTCCCAGGTTTTAACACAAATTGTTGCAGTTTGATTCTGACAACTTTTACAGTCTCTTTCTAACACTATGGTGAGAAAAGTGACTCCATGACAATTTGCACAGCACAGGATCAGTCCACACCCACATCTCATCCCCTTCACTACTAATGACAATTTGCACAGCACAGGATCAGTCCACACCCACATCTCATCCCCTTCACTACTAATGACAATTTGCACAGCACAGGATCAGTCCACACCCACATCTCATCCCCTTCACTACTAATGACAATTTGCACAGCACAGGATCAGTCCACACCCACATCTCATCCCCTTCACTACTAATGACAATTTGCACAGCACAGGATCAGTCCACATCCACATCTCATCCCCTTCACTACTAATGACAATTTGCACAGCACAGGATCAGTCCACACCCACATCTCATCCCCTTCACTACTAATGGCCACGTGCAATCTCAGATGAGTCTCCACACAACACCGTGGAATGCCTGAGTCATGAGAAGGAAAGAAAGTCCCATCAGCCTCTTTCACGTGGCTGCAGGAGCCACATCCTGAGACCCACCTGAGCTCCCAGGAAAAGGCTTGAGCCCTGGAATTTAGACCACAGGGATTACATCTCCCTTTATCAGGAAGCAGGAAAAGCAAATGGAAAAGTGAAAGCCAAAAGTGAAAGGCACAACTAAAAAAAAAGAAAATGGATATAGCAAAAGAAATAACTAAACAACAACAACTAAAAAGAAAGAATACGGAAAGCAAAAGAAAAATCAAATCACTGCTGATACTGAATTTCATATTTCACTGTCAAGAGAAGGGTCATATATGGAAGCTGTGAGGTTCTATATGACACTGACCCTGGTCCAGACTCTGTCTTGGTTATGATCAGAATCCAAAAATAGTATCTGAATCATGGAATTTCACTGAGGTTACTGTTCTGGGTCTGATTAGAGATGACCCACCAGAACACTTAAGATTTTCCAGGACTCTGATGTTTTTGACATTGGTTGATAATTTTTCTTCTCTGTAAGTGTCAATCTACATTTTGTGCATGAGAAAATATGTCCTCGCATTACTATGATTATTTTATATATATATATATATATATATGTATATATAACAATAGTACACACAGAATTCTAAAATGAAGAGGCTCCCTAAAGAAAGTAATGGAAGAAGATGATGAAGTCCAATGTCCTGACAGAAAACCAGCCCCTAACCTCCATGTGAACCTCCCTCTGGAGTGGACTCTGATCAGTGGGCCTTGAGTGAGCCCTGTAGCTGATTTTCCTCCCAGCGTTCCTGTAGGAGGTTTGTGACTGGGCTCACACTGACTTCTCCTCACTGTGTCTCTTACAGTAATAGACGGCCATGGTGTCAGCAATGAAACTGTTTATTTGCAGATACAGTGAGTTCTTGGTGTTTTCTCTGGAGATGGTCAACCGGCCCTTCACAGAGTCTGAGTAGTATATGCCTCCACCACTAGCATTAATGTAAGACCCACTCCAGTCCCTTCCCTGGAGCTTGGTCCACCTAGTGCATGCCATAGTTACTGAAAGTGTATCCAGAGGCTGCACAGGAGAGTCACATGGACCCCCCAAGCTGTACCAAGCCTCCCCCAGACTCTACCAGCTACACTTCACATTGGACACCTGCAAACACAGAGACATTCTTGTCAGAAACTGCCACACAGATCCACTGTTTCTCTCACTCATATCACTCACAGACAATATTTCTAGTTCTTCTTGATTGCCTTTTAGAACAACAACAAAGAAAACCCAGCGCATTCCTAACTCCATGGGATGTCTTCAGTGTTCAGTGCTAATCACTGAATGGAAGCACCTTGGTACTGCACGGCTGGGGCTTGTCTCCCAGAGCTGCAGAGTCAGGGCTGGGCTGGTTTTCATCAGCTGAGAGAGGGCCCTATTTTCATGTATCCTAATATATAGAAAGCTATGGTTTGGGATGCCTGAGGAGAGGGGAGGGTCAAGAGAAGATGAAAGATTCCTGGGAGATTTACATTGAAAGTTAATATTGATCAATGAGATGATTGTGTGTGTGTGATGAATCACATTTACTGATTTATGTATATTTCAGAATGGAATACAACACAGTCATAAGAAGAATAAGATCATGTTATTTGCAGCAACATAGATGGAGCTGGAGGTCATTATCCTAAGGAAAGTAACACAGTAACAGAAAATTACAAACCATCTGTTCTCATGTATAAGTGGGAGCTAATCATATTGACACAAAGAAAACAACAGACACTAGGTCCTACTTGAGTGTGGAGGGTGGGAGGAGGGTGAGAATTGAAAAACTACCTACCAGGTACTATGCTTATTTCCTTGGTGACAAAATAATCTGTACATCAAACCAACAGAACTCACAATTTGCCTATAAAACAACACTTGCACAAGTACTTCTGAACCTAAAATAAAAGTTTAAAAACATTTTGGCTAGTTTTTCATTATTAATACAACACCTGAATACTCCTTAGTTATTGCAAATGCTCTCTAGAATATTTTTGTGTGTGTTTTTTTACTATCTTTTAACATAAAAAAACTTAGATTTATATAACTATACAAGTTAATAATGTATTTTGAAACTTCACAGTCACACCCATATATACAGACACAGACACACACACCCAGCAATGAAACATATATGTGCACAGGCAAAAATAAATGCATTTCCAAACATCAAAGTGACATACATTTGTTTCTGTGTTATTATATTTAATTTATATGGATTTATTTGTATTTATAGTTTAAGGTTTTAGTCCAAAGTAACATTCTTCTATGAGTAAGTCTGTCTATTCCAATGTAAATTAAGAAATATATGTAAATGCATGTTTTAATAAAACTTACTGTAACTGCCATTATTGACAAATCTATCATTGAAAAATACAATGGTATTCTTTACATACTCTGTGCTAGCTTATTTCCCATTTTTACTAATAGCATATTTTTTAAATAAATGTTTTAATGCATTTAATGTTATAAATAAATATAATAATCAATAAGGCAAGCATCTCTATTAAAATTTTATTACACGATTGGTTGAAATAACATTGTACTTTACAAAAGGCATCACCTTTTTCTAATTTAAATAGCATTTAAATATTAAATTAAAAAAATATTAAGTATTAAAAAATAGCAATTTCCAGTTTAAAGACTTTTTTCTTTTGCAATGGCTTCACATGAATTTTTAACATCAACTCGATAGGTTATTTGACAATATTCCTGGATGCTAGAGAATATCCATAAATATAGAATTAATATCAGCACAGGGTTCCCAGGATTCACTCACAATGACAACTTGCTAGAGGGTGGTCAGGAAGTGTGCAAACACGTTAGGGATTTAGGCTTTATCATCAAAGCACTAGTGAGCCCCAGGGCTGAGCACACAGTGGGCAGCAGGAGCTGCAGAGCCCACTCTGTGGTACTTAGGGAAGATAGAGGATGGGGTGGGGTGATGTCTGCAGGACCGTTGAAAGGGGTGAGGAGGGCAGAGAGTCTGCAGGTAGATGAGCATATTCTTAGAACTGTTGCCTGCCTATACTTGGTTGGCTTCAGTGATCATAAAGGGAAGTGAACTGATTCACCAGACATGGATGAGACATAATAAACGGGCTTGCTGATTCCTTGAATGGAAATTGAGGATTATAAAAGGTTTGGAAAGAAGAAGGGAAGGTGGAGAAACAGACTGAGGGGCAGAACACCAGGGGCCACCAAAGTGGAGGACAGGAGCCCTTAAAGTGGGGTTTCATCTTCACAATCAGCAAATGGAAGAAAAAGAAACTCAACACCATGCATATGCTGAGTTATTGTTAGAAAACATTTACAAAAGTGTGACTGACACAGCACAGTAACAAAAATCTGTGTAAATAGTTTGAAGTAAGCATACACAATTTCTTCATTTTAAAATTGTACTGAGATATTATTACTAGTATTATTACAAAAATATAAAGAATTAAAAGTTTAATTGAATTCCTGTTCTAAGTTAGGATTTTGTAGGTAAGAGAAACATGGATTCCAAGGAAGAAATGGCAAAAGATGCTGAGAAGAGTTTCACTTTACCAGGTCAGGAATCACAAGGCCTAAATAAAGAAACCCACCCTCCCCAGGGACCTGATGATGCACTGCTTCCTAAGAGAACCCTGATGTCCTGACCGCCCCTTGGTGTTCTTAGCACCCCCTAGTGTCCCGAGCGCCCCCTGTTGGTTCTGAGCTCCCCCTTGTGTCCTGAGCGCCACCTCATGTCCTGAGCGCCCCCTGGTGGTTCTGAGCTCCCCCTTGTGTCCTGAGTGCCACCTCATGTCCTGAGCGACGTCTGGTGATTCTGAGCAGCTCCTGATGTCCTGAGCGCCCCCTGGTGGTTGCTGAGCAGACCCTGGTGTCCTGATCCTCCCCTTGTGTCCTCAGCATCCCCTGGTGTCCTCACCACCCCCAGGTGGTTCTGAGCTCCCCCTTGTGTCCTGAGTGCCACCTCATGTCCTGTGCGCCACCTCATGTCCTGTGCGCCGTCTGGTGATTCTTTTTTTTTTTTTTTTTTTTTTTGAGACGGAGTCTCGCTCTGTCACCCCAGGCTGGAGTGCAGTGGCGGGATCTCGGCTCACTGCAAGCTCCGCCACCCGGGTTCACGCCATTCTCCTGCCTCAGCCTCCCAAGTAGCTGGGACTACAGGCGCCCGCCACTACGCCTGGCTAATTTTTTGTATTTTTAGTAGAGACGGGGTTTCACCGTTTTAGCCGGGATGGTCTCGATCTCCTGACCTCGTGATCCGCCCGCCTCGGCCTCCCAAAGTGCTGGGATTACAGACGTGAGCCACCGCGCCCAGCCGCCGTCTGGTGATTCTGAGCAGCTCCTGATGTCCTGAGTGCCCCCTGGTGGTGGCTGAGCCTCTCCTGGTGGTTCCTGAGTGCCCCCTGGTGGTTCTGAGCAGACCCTGGTGTCCTGAGCACCTCCTCGCGTCCTGAGCCGACCCTGGTGTCCTGATCCTCCCCTTGTGTCCTCAGCGCCCCCTGGTGTCCTCACCACCCCCAGGTGGTTCTGAGCGCCCCCTGGTGGCTCCTGAGTCTTCCTTTGTGTCCCCACTGCCTCCTGCTGGTTCTGAGCTCCCCTTGGTGGTTCTGAGCAGTGTCTGTCACACGGTCCCCTCCTGTCTCCCTGCAGGGAGGTTTGTGTCTGGGCTCAGACACAAATACAGGTGTCCCCTGTGTTAGGTTGCCACACGGATATCTCCTGTGTCTCTCACAGTAATACATGGCCTTCTCCTCGGCTCTCAGGTTGGTCATTTTGAGGGAGACTGTGCTGACAAGGGTGTCCCTGAGGATTATGATTTTTCTTTGTATTGATGGAGGGTACCACTAACAAATTCCACTTGAATCCCTCGCTTTTGCCTCCCACACCAACCCCTGTCCTGAAGCCTGCTGGGCTGAGCTCATGCTAGAGTCAATGAAGGTAAATTCAGAGGCTTTGTAAAAAAGGCTCTGAGAACAGTTAGGCTGTATCATTTCTCTTCCAGATTCCACCAGTGAACTTCTTGTAGGACTCTTACAAACACAGAGGGAACAGGCTGAGAAGCAGCCACAGCTAGGCTTGATCCACAGGGACCCTACCTCTGAGAATAAGAAGAGAACCCCAGATTAGCAGAGACCCTAAGGTGTGGACACTGAGGAAGGGCACCGACATCAGGTGGCATCCCCTTCATGGACAGGGGATAAGCTGTCCATGGGCCATTTTATGAGCATGGATGGGGGGCACATTTACACCTCTTTCTCCCTGTGGACAAGTGTGAACTGCTCAGCAGGGCTCATCCCTCTGCCTCTAGACTTCAGGGAGGGCAGGGTCAAAGAATCACTGAAACTGGATGCTCCGGCTTAATCTTTCCATCACTCTCTTCTTTTTCTCTAATGTGAGCCTGGTTTAGTTATTTTTATGGTATCAACCTTCATCAACAAATAAGTCAAGGAAGTACATGAAAAGAAAGTGTTAGGAAGAGTTCGTACATGAACAGGAACCTGTTTGCATGTCTCCGACTATAGAGTCGGTTCTTGGGTGAAATTCCTGAGGAGAGAGCAATGCTCATAGTAGGTGAGAGTATCATTTGTAGCATTTGGAAAAATATAATTTTCCAATCTGTCCTTAGGCAACTACTGATCTTTTTTTGTTACTTTAGATTCATTTTCATTTTTTATAATTCCTAGAAATAGAATCATACTTTATGCACTTTTATGTGTTGGCTTATCTTAGGATACATTTTTGTGAATACAACAATGTTGTTTTTTGTATCAAAGCTGTATTACCCAGAGTTCTCTAGAGAAATAGAACTAATATAACATATGTATATAGGAAATATAGTTTATTAGAATTTTCTCACAAAATTACAAAATGAAAGTTCCATGATAGGCTTTCTAAAAGCTTGGGAAGAGAGAGAAACTGGTAGTGGCTCAGTCTAAGTCCAGAAGTCTCAAAACCAGAAAAGCCAACAGTGCACACTTCATTCTCTGACCAAGGGCCCAAGAACCCTCAGCAAGCCCCTGCTTCACGCCCCATAGTTCAACTGCCAAAGAACGTGAAATCTTATGTCCAAGGGTAGGAAGAGCAGAAGAAAGCAGCCAGCAAGGAAAACAAAGCAAAACAAAACAAAAACAGAAGGCGCAGCAAGCAATGTTATCTCCTCTTCTTCCACCTGCTTTATTCTAGCTGTGCTGGCAGCTGAGTGGATGGTGCCCTTCCATATTGGGGCTGGGTCTTTCTCTTGCAGGCTACTTAGTCAAATGCCAACCTCCTCTGGCAAAACCCAAGAGACACACAAAGAAACAATACTTTCCCAGCCATCTAAGCATGCTTTAATCCAATCAAGTTAAACCTAATATTAACTATCACAGGCCAATCCCTTGTTGTCAACTTAGCATCCCTACATATCACCTGAAATCATGCTCGATCTCCAAATAAAGACAATAGTAAGGTCATAATTATGCCTAACATAATACAGCTATCCTTCATACAACTGAAAATGCACTAATCCTTAACCTAAATGCCACTATATACAGTTAACAACTCTCAAATGCTAATATGAAGTCGATAAATCTTATGTTACATGAAAAACAAAAAGAAAACATTTTCTTAGTACAGTTATATACATGCAGAAATATATTCTTAAGAAGATAAGAAAGACATACTCATGACAATTCCAGTCCTCATTTCTGGTTGATGGTCATACCTGGTATTGATAACAACTTTCTTGTATCTACCCATTCTGTATTTTTTGGCCTTCAGCAGTTACCTTGGCTGGTCAGTTTTGTTTCTTGTTCATTTGTTTGTTTGTTTACCTGGTGGAGTGACCTAAACTTTTACTCTTGAAGAATCTGAGCCATCTGTATGCCTGCCTGGATTAGGTTGTTGTAGTTTCCCATTGACCTTAATCACATGGCAAAGTAATGCTAAGAGATGCCCTAAGAAATCCCCCTGTATTCCAAACATACTATTTCTTACCTCCATTGTGGAGTAGTAGTATGATTCCATCTTGATAGCCTGGGTCAATCACCCCAGCCATACAAATTATAAAGAGTTTTTTTCCAATTTATGTAAATGCATTTCTTTGAAGTTTTGAATGGGAGTTGTTTTTTATATGGTGACAGATAGAGATCCAGTCTTATTCTTTTACATGTGGCTTCCTAGTTTTCCCAGTACCATTTATTAAATATGGTGTCTATTTTCCAATTTATATTTTTGTATGTTTTGTAAAACATCAGTTGGCTTTACATATTTGGCTTTATTTCTGGGTTCTCTATTTTGTTCCAGTGGTCTATGAACCTACTTTATATCAGTACCATGTTGTTTAGGTAACTGCAGCCTTGTGGTATAATTTGAAGTTCAGTAATGTGATGGCTCCATTTTTTTCTTATTAGGATTTATTTGGCTATTTGGGCTTTTTTGGTTTCATATGAATTTTAACATTATTATTTTTTAATTCTGTAAAAAATAATGTGGGTATTTTCATAAGAATTGCACTGAATCTGTAGATTGCTTTGGGCATTACGGTCATGTTCACAATATTGCTTCTTCCAATCCATGAGCATGGGATTCATTTCCATTTGTTTGTGTCATCTATGATTTCTTTCAGCAGTGTTTTGTAGTTCTCCTTGTAGAAATCTTTTACCTTTTTGGTTAAGTATATTCCTAAATATCTTTTTGTAGCTTCTGTAAAAGAAATGGAGTTCTTGATTTGATTCGCAGCTTTGTTGTTGTTGATGTATAGCAGTGCTACCAATTTGTGTACATTTATTTTGTAACCTGAGACATAAGTGAATTCATTTACTAAAACTAACAGTATTTTGGGGGAGTTTAGGGTTTTCTAGGTATATAATCACTTCATCTGTAAACAGTGATAGTTTGACTTTCTCTTTCTCAATATGGATGCCCTTTATTTTTTTCTTCTGATTAATTGCTCTGGGTAGAACTTCTAGCACTATGTTGAATAGAACTGGTGAACATGGACATTCTTCTATTGTTTCTGTTCCCAGGGGGAATGCTTTTAACTTTTTCACATTCAGCATGATGTTGGGTGTGAGTTTTTCCTATATAACCTTTATTAGTTTGAGGTCAGTTCCTTCTATGCCTACCTGACTTAGAATTTTTATAATTAAAAACGCTGAATTTTGTTAAATGCTTTTTCTGCATCTATTGAGATAATCCTATAGTTTTTGTTTTTAGTTCTGTTTATGTGATGTGTTACATTTATTGACTTGTGTATGTTCAAATAATCCTTCCATTTCTGAGTTGAAACCTACTTTTATCATGATGAATTATCTTTTGGATGTGCTGTTGGACTCAGGTAGCTATTTTTTGAGTATTTTTGCATCTATATTTACCAGGAAAATTCGTATGTAGAGAGTGTGTGTGTGTGTGTGTGTGTGTGTGTGTGTGTGTGTTTTCCTGGTTTGGGTATCTGGGTTATAGTAGCTTTAGAGAATAATTTAGGGAGGATTCTTTTTTTCTAAATTTAAAAAATAGTTTCAGAAAAAATGGTAGCAATTTTTCTTTGAATTTTGTGTAGACTTCAAATGTGAATTCACCTGGCCCTATTTTGTTGTTGGTATTGTTGGCAATTCTTGAATTACTGATTCAATCTCATTGTTTATTATTCATCTATTCAAAGTAACTGTTTCTTCTTGATTTAATCTAGGAGAGTTGTATGTTTCTAGGAATTTTTCCATTTCCTGTAAGTCTCCTAGATTGTGCACATGAAGTTGTACATAGTAGTCTCAAATTATTTTATATATTAGCAGTGTAGATTGTATTGTCTCATTTCATTTCTAATTGAACTTATCTGGATCTTTGCTCTTCTTTTCTTGGTTAATATAGCTAATGGTCCATGAATTTGATTATTTTTTCAAATAACCAACTTTTTATTTCATTGGTTTTTTGTGTTTTTTGTTTGATTTTCATTTAGTTCTGCTCTGATCTTTGTTATTTCTTTTCTTCTTCTGGATCTAGGTTTAGTTTGTTCTTATTTCTCCAGTTTCTTGAGGTGTGACATTGTTGCAGAAATTTAGGAGGGCAAGGGAGACCTCAGGGTATAGCAGGAGGATCCTTTATTGAGTGCACTCTGTCTCAGTGGACTCAACGTCCAAAAAACTGGGCCCCGAACAAAGACAAGGTTTTGCTTATATACCTACTCCTAAGTGGTGCAAACGCGAATGTACAGAGGCAAGACAAAGGCCGTTAAACAAACTAAGACAGGCTTATAACTCAAGTTTAGTATACTCCTTACTATGCTGCCCAGATGGTCATTATCTGCTTAGTTCAAAGGAGTCTCACAAAGACTCATCTTGCGACCCCCACTATGGCGTCTAGCTGGCTACTAGCCAGACCTGCTCAGGCTATACTGCTTAGATGCAGAAGCAGGAACCTACAATCATTAACTGTAGGAAAAACAGAAACTCCAAAAACTTACAGAGCAAGGAGCAAGATATAGTTTACATAGCAGAGGGGATGAGATTCGACGGGGAAGTTTACTTACACTAAAGGAGAGATAGGAAAACTTATCTCTTCACATCCTTATGTTGAGGGAGTGCTGGGAGAGTCTTCAGAGCACATTCCTCTGAGCTCTGGCCCTTAAATTACATTATTGAAACTTTGCGTGTTACTGCCTTTGACATGAGTCAGCCTAACACAGGCAGCTTGTTTCTTTCTCTTTTTTAATTTCTATTTTCTTTTTTTCTTAATTTTTTTCTTTTTTCCCATCTCATACCCTGCCTTTGATGCCTCCTATGTATGAAATTTTAATAGAAGTCATCACTACAACTTTGTTCTTCATGATAAGGCAAGTTTTCTTCGTTTGGTACAGCTTGGTATTTAGTTAGAGCCATTAGTCAAGTGGTGATGGTTTTGTCAACTACGGCGTCTATAGTTGATTGGATGCCCCTGATAAGGAGGGGTAAGAGGCAGGGGAGTATTAAACAGCCTCCTAATATAGCTAGTACTATCCCTATTAATGTTTTAAAACTGCCAAAACCTGAAAACCAACCTCCAAAAAGGGAATCTAGAGACCATATTGGCTTCCAGGTCTGAACTGGGACATGAGCTAGCTTTTGCATTCTTGCAGTTATTTCCATGATGGCCTTTCTGTTATCATCAATTTCTAAACAACAATTTGTCAGATTAAACTTCCCGCCTATGCCTCCTTCCTGGGCTAGGAGGTAGTCCAAGCCTAGCCTATTTTGATAAATGGCATTTCTCATCTTTGTGGCTTGCTGGGCCAGCAGGTCTAATGCATTTGCAGTTTCATTGGTGATGATTTCAAGTACTGCCTGCAACCTTATGATGCTGTTGAGCATGTAAATAGGGGTACAGTATCCCTGCATCCCATCTTGTGCCCATGTAGCTGGCCCATAGTATTAAATTATTCTTTCAGGAGGCCAATCGGTGTCCTTCCAATCTCCTATCTTTATATCTTTTTTTATGTCTATATTCCTTTTGCTCCTCCCCTTAATTTCATCATAGATAGGATACCCTAAAACCTCTCCCTGTTGTAACGGGTCAAGGAAGAAAGATGGTCTTATTGTCCCCAACACACAGGCCCCTGTCCAATTGGCAGGTAATTGCCAATAAGCTCATGGCCCACAGATCCAGTCGAGGCCAGAAGGTGCTTGCTAGGTGTTCATTTGGTGCCTCTAGTTGATACCAGGAGTGGTTTAAAGAGTGAAAATGGGAAAATGGATTATGGCATGGCAACCTGGTTGTATCTTTACCTTGCTTATTATTGCCCCGCCATAAAGTTTTCCCTAATGTCTCATTGTAATATTGCTGTCCTAGGCAGACTAATTCCCCTACTGGGTTTGTAAAGGCTTTTCCCCAGTGGGCAATGCAGAATCTTCCAATGACAGAAGATTTTAGCAGCCAGACACTTGAGCTCGTGAGTGCCGGCTCTGGGGATGAAAGGGTTAAAGTGTAATTTTCTTGAGGCGATAGCTCTTTTGTTTCCCAAGGCCACTGGTTTCCCATATTTGTTCCTCCACAGACAAAGCATGAGGAAACACCTAAGCTGCCAGCTGTTTTCAGCCAACCGTGCAAACAGATCTACAGCTATAGGAGGAGGAGCTTCAGGTACCTCCTGCTTAAAGTGCTCATTGAATGACTTAAAGACTTGGAACTGCTGCTGGGCAAGAAGGATTCAGGTTTTTTTTTATGTATATAATATAGACATAGACTCTTGAGTCTATTTCTTGGCTGCTGGCTTGTACCCTCAGTGGTGCTTTTAAACCTGTAGTCCATACGAGCCAATTTGGCTCCAAGGTGGTAAGATTCACAGGATTGCAAATGTTAGTTTTACAATCTGGTTCTGAAGGTATTTTGGTAAGCATGATTAGCCCTAGTGATTGTTGGTTAGTAGGCCATGTTGCAAAGCCCCAGCAAGTTGTTACCAGGGAACCGGTGGAGCAAGCAGGGGATGCACACTTACTTTTATGGCAGCTATTATAGTACTCCATGGAACTGTGGATTACGGGAAAGAGTGAGTCTATGGATGTTATCTGGCAAATATCAAAATACAAAGATGTGACTCCCTTGTGGGAGAGAGAAACTTCGGTCTTGTTTAAAAGACTTCCTTCCCTTGACCCAGTGCGAATCTCAAACCAGGCCCAGGTAAAAGCTTAGGGTCATAGTATACATAAAGCTAGCTATCCCCTGGGTCACAAACTGAATAGTTCGTTTGGTTGTACATACAAGTCCCCAGAGGGGTTCCTGTGCGTTCATAGTATGTATGGTACAATAAAGTCTTAACTAGTGTATTACCTATCCACGTAGTACACATGCAATGTGGACATTCCTCTATAGGCTCTTCCTCTCCTAGGACAGATATGGGGATCGACAGAAACAAGGCAAGGTGTAGCATTCTTACACCTAGCATGGGCAGGGTGGAGGAGATTTGTTGAAGCAATAGCACAGCAGTAATATAATTAATAATACAAATAAGATTACTGGACCTAAGATCTCTGGCCACATTTACTCATCTGATGATGACGACTCAAGCTTTCTGCCATGCGTAAACTAGTCAGCTTCCAGAGTGACTAGAGCAGAGCTTGCTGTTTTCTCAAGCTTCCACCATGCATAGACTGGTCAGCTTCCGAAGTAAGCAGAGCCGGGCTGTTGTCCTCTCCGCTGGGAACCCAGTCTCGTCGCAGGGTCAGCTGGGTCGGATGGTCTGGGTCCTGCTAGCTGGTCCTCTGGTCCTGGGCTGCCGGTTTCAGCCAGTCGTGGTGGATCCAAGGCACGATTTCTGAACTTTAACAGCAGTGGGAGTGGACAAAATTACAACATGGGGCCCATCACATATGGGTCCCAGAGTTATGATTCCATTTCTTAACCCCAACGAGGTCCCCAGGTTTGAAAGGGTGTACTGGGTCTGTCAGACCAATGGGCATTCTTTCTTGCACCCAGCCATGCACTTTCTGCATAGCTAGCCCTAAAGCCTGCATTTGCTTCCTTAGAGTTCTCCTAACTCACAGAGATCACCTTTAATTTGACCTGTGATTGGGGGTGGCCGGCCGAATAAAATCTCATAGGGTGAACACCCGGTTTGTTTTGTGCGGGTGCACCCGACTTGGAGGAGGACCACGGGTAAGACCTGATCCCACCTCAGGTGAGTTTCCTCACAAAATTTCTTCAGTAGCTGTTTTAGTGTCCAGTTCATGTGCTCCACTTTACCTGAGCTCTGCAGCCTACAGGCTGTATATAATTTCCATTTTATTCCTAATAGTCGAGTTAAGTCCTGCACTACTTCAGCCACAAATGCCAGTCCATTGTCTAACCCCAGAGTCAGGGGTAGTCCAAATCTGGGAATAACGTCTCTTAACAATACCTTGGTCGCCTCTCATGCCTTCTTTGTCTGGGTGGAGAAGGCCTCGACCCATCCTGAAAAGGTGCAGACAAGCACCAACATGTACTGATAGCCCCCTGCTCAGGACAGTTTGGTGAAGCCCATAAGCAGGTTTTCACAGGGATGGCTCTTGTTTCCTGAATTCCTGGGGGGTCAAGTGGGCCCTTGTCGAGGGTTGTTATGAGCACAAGTTAAACACCGTTCACAAACTGCTCAAGTGATAGCCGTAAGCTGGGACACATAGAAGTGACAACCTAATAATGTCTCTAGTGCCGTTTTTCCCATGTGAGTCCCTTGGTGGAACTGCTTTACAAATCTGGGGGCCACCATTTCAGTTATGGCTAGCCTCCCATTGGAGAATTTCCACCATCCTCCTTCAACGTAGCTCCCATTTTCTTGGGCAAAAAAAGCCCTTTCATTTGGAGTGTAGCTTGGGGTCTCTGGGAGGGGAATTTCTGGAAGGAGAGGCATAGCCAAGGCTTCCTCTTTAGAAGGCAGAGTCACCACTGCAGTCTGCTTTGCCTCTTGTCTGCCTTTCTGTTTCCTTTCACCTCTGATGTTCCTGCCCTCAGGTGCCCCCTACAGTGCATTACAGCCACCTGCTTCGGGGCCCACACAGCATCTAAGGGCTGTAGAATTTCTTCCTTGTACTTTCTTTCTTTCCCTCCATCAGTCAAGAGTCCTCTTTCTTTGTAAATAGCCCCATGAACATTCAAAATGGCAAAAGCATATTTAGAGTTTGTGTGAATATTGGTCTTTTGGTCTTTTGCTAGCCAATGAGCCCTTGTCAGAGCTATTAGCTCTGCTTTCTGAGCAGAAGTTCCTGTAGGCAAAGACTATGCCTCTGCTACTGAGTCCAAAGTCACTACTGCATACCCTGCTCGGCGGGCCCCTCTAGGATGAAGCTGCTCCCATCAGTGAAATATTCAATGTCCGGGTCCCCGAGGGGCCGATCTGTCAAATCTCTCTGGCTTGAGAACACTTCATCTGCTACGTCCACACAGCAATGAAGGGGGCAAGGTAGCCAGGTTTAGGGTATTTACAGTCTCTAAAGTTATGCAGGGATTTTCACATAAGAGCTCTTGATATCAAATCATTCTCGGATTTTATAACCATTGGTGCCCCCTTTTGTCCATTAAAGTTATAACCGAGTATGGTACCTGGATTATCAGTTGCCGTCCCAAAGTCAGTTTATTAGCTTCCTGTGCCAGTGAAGCAGTAGCAGCTAATGCCTTAAACAAGGGTCCATGCAAGTGCCACAGTATCTAATTGCCTGGATAAATATGCCACCGGGTGGTGCCATGACCCTATGACTTGAGTTAGGACCCCTATGACCATTCCTTTTCACTCATGGGCATATAAAAAGAAAAGCTTAGTTAGATCTGGCAACCCTAAAGCTGGAGCTTCAGTCAAGTCTCCTTTGATTTATTAAAAGGCCTTTTCCTGGGTGGCCTCCCAGAGGAGGGGCTCCTTCTTTCCCCTCTTTGTGGCTTCATACAATGGCTTACCCATGAGTGAGAAACATGGGATCCAGATGTGGCAGAACCCAGCTGCCTTTAGTAACTCTCTCATTTGTCACCAGGTGGTTGGAGTGGGAAGCACACAAAAGCCTGCTTTCATTCACTACCAAGCAATCTTTTCCCTTCGCTTATATAGAAGCCTAAATACTGGACACTTTCAGAGCAGATTTGATCCTTTTTCCCTGACACTTTATATCCTGCCTTTATATCCTGCCTTCCATAACAGGTGCAGGAGGTCTTGGGTCTCCTGAAAGCAGTCCTTCCAGGTTGGGGCTGCTAGAAGAAGATCATCAATGTACTAGAGCAAGACACAGTCACTGCTTGGTGGGGTGTAGGCTTTAAGGTCTGAGGCCAGTGCCTCTTCAAAGATTGTGGGAGAGTCTTAAATCCCTGTGGCAGTCTTGTTCAAGTATACTGTGATTCACCCCATTGCAAAGCAAAAACAGGCTGACTAATCGGTGCCAGCTGGAGACAGAAAAATGTGTCCTTCAAATCTAGGACTGTAAACCAAGTGGCACTCACTGGAATATGTCCCATTAAAGTATACAGGTTTGGCAGCACTGGGTGGATGGTCACCGTGGCCTGGTTTACTGCACACAAGTCCTGCACTGGCCTATATTCTCCAGACGGCTTCCACACTGGCAAGAGAGGGGTGTTCCATAGTGACTGGCATTTGACTATGGTTCCTCACCTGTGAAGTCAATCTAAGTGTTTGTGGACTCCCGTATGGCCTCAGGGAGAAGCGGGTACTGACGGACATGAACCAGAGTCGCTCCCAGTTTTAACTCCACTACAATTGGTGCCGGATTTACTGCCAGTTCCGGCAGGTTACTTTCAGCCCAAACTCCAGTAATTTTAGTAAGTAACCCACGCATTTAATTTACTCCTGGTTCTGGAGTCTTTCCTGCATATAGTCTCCATTCCTCAGCCCGTGGGACAGTAAGGGTTAACACCATAGCCTCTGAGTGAGCTAGATTTAAAGTTACATCCCCTTGTGGCCCAAATGTAATCTGTGCCTGCAGTTTTTGAAATGGGTCTCTTTCCAGCGAAGGAACTGGACAATTTGGGAGGTACAGGAATTCTTGTTGGACTCCTTGTCCTCCTATAACACGCCTCTTTGACTGACAGAAAGGCCTCTTCTCTGAGACTCCAGTGGCTCCTGCAATAGTTGCACAGTTCTTGGATAGCGGCCCTATAGGTCGGGTCACTGCTGAGTGCTCAGCCCCAGTATCTACCATAAAGTCCACTAGTTGGCCTCCACTTCTAATCTGAACATAGGCTCTTGGGTGCCCAAAGAGAAAGAGCCCGGTCTGTCCTAGTCCTCATATCCTTCAGCCCTGGCCAGTCCGATTAGGTCAGTGTCTGGTTCCTCCCAGGTGCGGCAGCCCCCTGCTGGTGGCCTTCCCATACCACAGCCCTGACCATTCTCCTTGTTATTCTCTGGACACTCATTCTTCCAGTGTCCTTTCCTTTTGCACTGCACACATTGATCTCTTTCTAGTCTCAGCTGACTCTCAAATCCCCATCCAGTCCGGCCTCTTCCATGCCCTCATCCATACCCGCATCCCCTTGCAAAACCAGCTTCCCTTCCCGTAAGGGCAGCTGCCAGTAAATCAGCCTTCTTCTTAAGCCTTCAATCAGCCTCCCTCTTTGCCTCCTGATCATTGTTAATGTACACCTTGGTGGCTACCTCAATAAGCTGAGTAGCATTCATACCCGCGAAACCTTCCATCTTCTGCAAATTTTGCCTGATATCACCCTGGGCCTGACCTACAAATGACATATTTACCACATGCTGATTCTCAGTAGTCTCAGGGTTGAACAGGGTGTACAGCCGATAAGCCTCACAAAGTCTCTAATACAACTGGCTTGGGCTCTCAACTGCTCCCTGGAGCACCTCCGAGATTTTTCCTATATTAACTGCTTTTCTCCCACCATCCTTCAGCCCATGAAAGATTGCCTCTCAGTACCGCTGCAGGTGCTGCAACTGGGTTGCATCATTTGGGTCCCAATTGGGGTTTGTTTCAGGGAACTGACCCGTGCATATGCCTGGGCATTAACTGTGTCTGCAGGTGCATTAGTTTTAGCCACCGGAGGGCTGCCTGTGTCACCCTCTGCCATTCCTCCATATTAAACAGGGTCAAATATGCATATGTCTGGGCATTAACTGTGTCTGCAGGTGCATTAGTTTTAGCCACTGGAGGGCTGCCTGTGTCACTCTCTGCCATTCCTCCATATTAAACAGGGTCAAAAGAAGCTGTTTTCAATCTGGTCACGTTGGATTGTGTGTCTGAAAAACGGACTGCATCAAGTCAACGAGAGCCTGTGGCTTCTCCATGTAAGAGGGAATATGATGCTTCCACTTTAGGAGGTCAGTGGTTGAAAAGGGCTGGTAAACGAAAGTTCACTCTCCCCTCTGGATGTGGCCATGCTGGTCATAATAGACAGGTCCCCTCGTCTCCCTGAGACGCATTTGCAGGACTCAGGTGCGGCCAGACCTGAGATGGCCTGCCTGACTTTCTGGGCTTTCCACTCTAACTTCCTGCAGCTCCAATTCCTCCTTCTTAGTTGAGGCTGGGGGAGTATACTCTCCCGGATTTAACTCCCCATGGACAGCTGGGGCTGCTGGCCTCACAGCTGAACTTGCAGAGGGAGCAGTTGGTCTCGGCAAAGGGGGGTGGCTTGGAACATGAGGAGGAGGAGGAAATTCTGTTTCCTCCTGAGGTGCCCGCAGAACTGGTTTATCTCGGCTTTCCTGTGACTTTCCCTTTTTCTCTGCAGCTGCCAGCATGGCTGATTTTACTTTCATTTTGTCTTCGGCTGCTCGGGCCACAGGCGTCTTACAATATGCTGCTGGGGGGTGCAACCACGCTGGTCAGTTTTGTATAACATTGAGCCATGAATCGATATAGGGAAATTGATCTGGGTACCCTGGCTGTCCTCCCACCCCGGTCACCACCTTAAACACCCGGCCAATCACCTCCCTATCTATATAGCACCCTCGGCCGGCAGCCGACCCCTAAAGAAGGCCATTCTGATTCACAGAGAGTTTTCAACTTCAGGGGGTCAGCTTAATTCCATAATCCGCTGCAAAACCTTTCTTAAAATTCTTTAGTATACATTCCAGTGGAGTGGGTTTCCACGATTTTCCTCCCATTTCCTCCCTCTACGACGCACACTCACTCTGACTTCCTTTTTTACCGAGCAGAGCGTCTCCTATTACAGGAGTTTTCGGGGCCGCCTGGCTAGGAGAGTCCCCTATTCCCAGCACGGCCGCTGCTGCCACGGGGCAGCTCCTACCAGCCGCTTCGCCGCTATCCCAGGTCGGCCCCAGGCTTCGCTGGGAGCGCCCAGTCCACGCTGAGATCTGCGCCTCCCACGTCACTCCCCGCACCGGCCCCTCCTGCAGCCGTCTCTTGCACGCCCTTTCACCCACTTCCCCTCCCCAGTTCCCTTTCCTAACCGGCCTGGCGGGCCTCTCTCCTGTGCCGCGTCGGTTGCGGCGTCTGCGGTACCCGAGTGAGCGACCCCCTCTCGCCGCCGCAGCCTCCCTGGGTCGGACTAGACGCACAGCCCGGCAGGTGATGGGGCTCCCCTCCGTCCTCGTGGGACGGGTCCTGCCTTGGGCCCCAAAAGCCGACCGCGGTTCATTAGCGCTGCTTCTGGGATCATCCCGCAGCCCTTTCCGCGCTCCTTTGCGCTGTCAGGGGAGGGGCCCCGGGGGCCTGGAGAGCCGGTCTCCCCTCCGGGCTGAAGTGCTCCCCGAGGCCGCCCTGGGGTCACAGATCGCCGCGACCAGAGCCCCAGACCCTCCGGCAAAGGAGACAGCCAATCTGTCCTCTCTTCTCCTCCTGGCTGCTGGCTCGCAAGAAAGGTTGCGGAACATCAGGAGGGCAAGGGACACCTCGGGGCATAGCAGGAGGGTCTTCACTGAGTGCACTCTGTCCCAAGGGACTCAACGTCCAAACAACTGGGCCCCGAACAAAGACAAGGTTTTGCTTATACACCTCCTCCTAAGTGGCACGAACGCGCACGTACAGAGGCAAGACAGAGGCCGTTAATCAAACAAAGCCAGGCTTGTAACTCAGGGTTAGCAATACTCCTTCCCATGCAGCCCAGATGGTCATTACCTGCTTAGTTCAAAGGAGTCTCACAAAGACTCATCCTGCCACCCCCACCATGGCATGTAGCTGGCTACAAGCCAGACCTGCTCAGGCTGTACTGCTTAGATGCAGAAGCAGGAACCTGCAATCATTAACTACAGGAAAAACAGAAACTCCTAAAACGTACAGAGCAAGAGGCAAGGTATAGTTTACATAGCAGAGGGGATGAGATTCGACAGGGAAGTTCACTTACACTAAAGGAGAGATAGGAAAACTTACCTCTTTTCATCCTTATGCTGAGGGAGTGCTGGGAGAGTCTTCAGAGCCCATTCCTCTGAGCTCCGGCCCTTAGATAACATCATTGAAACTTTGCGTGTTACTGCCTTTGACGTGAGTCAGCCTAACACAGGCAGCTTGTTTCTTTCTCTTTTTTGATTTATATTTTCTTTCTTTAATTTTTTCTTTTTTCTCGTGTCAACATTAGGTTGACAACTTGTGCTCTTTCCGGCTTTTTCACGTAGGCAGTAGTCACTATAAACTTTCCTCTTACCACTGCTTTTGCTGTATTCTTAAGGTTTCAATAACTTGTTACCATTTAATTAAGGTAATTTTTAAATTTTCATCTTATGCCATTGTTAACCCAGATATTACTCAGGAGCAGATTTCTTAATTTCTATGTATTTGTTCAGTTGTAAGGGTTTCTTTGAGAGTTCATTTTTAGTTTTATTCTCCTGTGGTCTGAGAAGATACTTGATATGATTTCACTGTTTTAAAAATTCATTGAGACTTGTTTTGTGACCTATTATATGTTCTATCTTGTAGAATGTTGCATGTACTGATTACAAGAATGTTTATTCTGCAGATCTTGGACAGAATGTTCTGTACACATCTGCTACATCCATTTGTTTCAGTGAGTTATTTAAGTGCATTTTTTCTCTGTTGACTTTCAGTCTCGAAGATCTGTCTAGTGCTGTTATGATTGTATTAAAGTCTCCCACTCTGATTGTTTCGCTCTCATTTTTTTAAATCTCTAATAGTACTTGTTTTATGAATCTAGTTCCTCTGGTGTTTGGTGCCTATAAATTTAGAATTGTAGTATTTTCTTATTGAATTGATCCTTTTGTAATTGTATAGTGATCATCTATGTCTTTTTTTTACTGTTGTTGCTTTGAAGTCCATTTTGTCTGATATCAAAATAGCTACTCCTGCTCACTCTTGGTTTCCATTTTTGTGAAATACCTTCTTCCAACCTTTTACCTTGAGTTTATGTAAATCTTTGTGTGTTAGGGGGATCTTTTAGAGACATCAGATATTTCCATTGTGATTTTTTAATCTATTCTGCCATTGTGTATCTTTTATATGGAGCATTTAGGCCATTTACATTCAATGTGAATATTTAGATATGAGTTACTGTTTTCTTTGCCATGTTAATTCTTACCTAGTTTTTTTTTTTCACTGTGTTATTGTTTTATAGGCCTGTGAGTTTCAGGCTCTTAAGAGGTTCCCTTTATGTGCTTACTGGGCTTTTGTTTCAAGGTTTGCAACTCCTTTTAGCATTTCTTGTACTGCTGGTTTGGTAGTGACGAATTCCCTGAGCACTGGTGATTCTGAAAATGACTTTACTTCTTTTTCATTTATCAAACAGTTTGGCAGGATACAAAATTCTTGATTGAAAGTTGTTCTATTTAAGGAATTTGAAGATAGAAGCTTAATCCATCTGGCTGGTGAAGTTTCTGCTGAGAAGTCTGCCATTAGTCTGATGGGTTTTTTGTTTTGTTTTGTATTGCTGCTCTTAGAATTATTTCCTTCATGTTAACTTTCGGTAGCCTGATGACTATAAGCTTGGTGAAGGCAGTTTTGCAATACATTTCCCAGGAGTTCTTTGAACTTCTTGGATTTGGATATCTAGGTCTCTAGGCAGGCCAGGAATGTATTTCTCAATTTTTCTCTCAAATAAGTTTTCCAAACATATTATTTTTTTTCTTCTTCAGGAACACCAATTATGCTGAGGTTTGGTCATTTTACATAATCCCATATTTCCTGGAGACTGTGTTTACTTCTTTTGGTTCTTTCTAAATTTATTTTTCTCTGATTTGATTATTTCAAAAATAGTCTTTTTTATTTCTTCTTTTTTCTTATTTCTACTTTATTCTTCTTCTTTTTTCATCTAATTTTTTACTTCAACTTTTTATTTTGTACTTTTTCTAGTCTCTTGTTTATTTTTTCTTCTACTTTTTTCTAGTCTATTTTTAAAACTTTCCATGGCATTTTGTAATTCCCTTACTATTTCCCTGCATTTTGTCTTTTATTTTCAGAAGTTCTGATTGGTTTCTCTTTATGATATCTATCTCTCTATAAAAATTTGTATTTATATTCTGAACTGCTTTTATACATTTGTTTATGATGATATTCACCTTCTTATTATATCTTCTTGAGTAGCTTAATAATCAACATTCTGAATTTCTTATCTGGTATTTTAAAGACTTCATTTTGGTTAAAGTTTATTGCTGGAGACCTAGTGTGACCTTTTTGGGATGTTATAGCACCCTGTTTTGTCATATTACTTGAGTTATTTTTCTCATTTCCTCTTATTTTGGTAGACTATTTCTTCTAACTAGTATTGAAATTATGTTTGTTTTAACTGTTTCTTTTGTTTGTTTTTAAATTTATTTTTTCCCTTAAGAATGAGACTTTAATGGTTATAATTAATTACAGTCTAATTTGGTTTTTGGTCCTTAGAGGGGTGAAGACTCTGTAAGAGTTCCGTGGTTATGGAGAATCTTTGTATGATGGCTTTCCTATGTGTTGATTGCAGTAGAAATCTGCTCAGTATGTGAGCAAGTTCACTGTCTTCTATGGGGTTAGAATGGTTGAGGTCTATTAAACCTTAGTTCATTCCTCTGTGGCATGCACGTATTTATTTATTTTCCCCCAGTGATTTATTTGCTAGTTTGATGGTTCAGGCTTCAGACCAGTAGGGGGCTTGTCCCTGGATAGAAACCAGCTGTGGCTAAATCAGGTGGTAAATGAAGTCCCAGCCTTGACAGAGTTGGCTGGAGGAGCTTTTAGTGAGTCACACTGAGGTCTTATCTGGGGGAAGGGTTGGAGCCACCTCAGCTGTCTTGCCAGGTCTGTAGGAAAGTTATGCACCTCTAAGACACTCCCGTATCCCAGGATTCCAGCTATTCAGATCAGACAGGCATGTCTTTTCCTCTGTACAAAAGTTGAAGTGTTAAATACAGAGGAATTGTGACTCTGTGTCTGGCCAAAACCTGAACCTGGAGAGTGCTCTTTCTGGGGGATGCAGTCAACATGATGTGTTCCAGAAATGCTGTCTATAGTTGCACCCGTACTGAGCTCTTATGGGAGAGACCCCAAGTGTGCCTGCAGTGGTGTACAAGGGGGAAAGACTTCCTCTTCTTCAAGTTTTTCACATGCACCAGGGATATCTGACTGTTGAGACAGAGCTGAAGACTTTCTCTGCTGAGCTCAGCACTGTAACTGCCTCTACTAAAAGAAGTTTCCCACCAATGGAGGGATCTGATTGATGTTCAAGGCCTGCCATCCAGATTCTCCTGTCCCACAGGGTGTTCCCTCAATGTGGTGCACTCCCTTCCCCTAGGAGCAGGAGAACCTGGGAGCCATACTACTGTGAGTGTTGTTGCTTCTCTAGGTCTAGCCGCCCAGTGAAGTTGACACACTTCAGGCTGGTGTTGGGGAATGTATGTGAGGGATCCGGTGGTGTGATGTGTCCTCAATTTTTCAGCAGTGAGCAGTGAACCAGGTCTGATGGAAGCAGCAGGGGAGTGATGGAGACTGAAATTCCTTAGATATTGATAGCCTTTGTGTACTGGCTTTCTTGAATGCTGGTTATAGCGGTAATGAACTGTTCACATGGACAGACTCAGGACCTCCTGGTCATCCAGAGTGGTGCAGGCACTGGTCATAGCTGAGATCACACAGTCATTTTCTCCTTTCTGGGTGCAGTGATAGTCTACCAGGAGATACTGTGATGGACTGTTTATTGGCTTCCTGCTTGGAGATGGTGCTTTCCAAAGAGCACCAGCTACAGTATTAACAGTGGGGTTTTTGCTTGGCTTATGTTGCCCAGGAATAGGGGCTACTGTGGATTCTCAGGCAGTGGGTGTGGCCATGTATCTCCCAAAAGATGCTGTCCTTTGTGTTAAGCTGCCAGGGCAGATGGCTGCATAAAGCAAGGTGAGGGCTGGGCCAGGTAGGTTTCTGCTCAGAGTATCCTTGTGCAGGGCAAGCAGCAGCCTCTCTGGGTATGGGAGACACAGATAATGGTGAATTCTATTCTTAATCTGCTGTTTAATTTTGTTTGTCATCTCATCACTCTTGAGAGTTTTTGAAACTATGATAATCAGGGATATTGGCCTGTAGTTTTATTTACTTGTAGTGTCTTTTCCTTGCTTTGGAAATAGGGCCTTCCAAAATAAGCTTGGATATATTTCTTTCTCTTTATTTTGTTGGAAATTTGAGTAGAGATTCTAGGTTTTTTTTAATTTTTGATAAAATTCAGTAGTGAAGCCATGAAGTTCTGGACTTTGATTCGAGATGTTGGAAAAATCACTGACTCGATCTCTTTACTCATTGGTCTGTTCAGATTTTTTTTAATTGGAGTCTCACTCTGTTGCTCAGTCTGGAGTGCAGTGGCTCGATTTTGGCTTTCTGCAACCTCTGCCTCCCAGGTTCAAGTCATTCTCCTACCTCAGCCTCCCGAGTAGCCGGGACTATGGGACTGCGGGTGAACACCACCACACCCAGCTAATCTGTGTATTTTTAGTAGAGACGGGGTTTTGCCATGTTGGCCAGGCTGATCTTGAACTCCTGACCTGAGGTGATCCACCCGCATCGGTCTCCCAAAGTGCTGAGAATACACATATGAGCAACCACGCCCAGCCCAGATTTTTTATTTCTTGGTGGTTCAGTTTTGATAGGTTGTATGTCTTTAAAAATTTGTCTATTTATTTTAATTTATTCTTAACCAAACAGGTTCTAAAATATTTGCAAGATTACTCACAGGAAATCTATTTATGACAGAAGTCTTTGTTATATCAAAATATTTACGAATTGGCACAAAGATGAATTATTCAGTGCATATTGTTAAAAGGAAAACAACAACAAAAACAAGATAACTTATTAATGGTACAAAAAGGGGTTAAATGATTTTGGAAAAGTAAGTAGAAAATAAAAGAAGGAGGGAGTAAGAGCGGACAGAAGGGAGGAAGGCAAGCAAGCAATGATGAACTGTGTAAAATTTTCACTAATTAAAAGACTATTATATTGAAGAGGTGCCTATTAGGCAGCCTTTTGATGTTAACCATGTAATATACACCATGAACAACCTTGTAGAACACACAAGAGCCCCCTCAGAGAACTGGATGGGTCAGGTCTCCCATCCAGTTGCCTTAGGGGTTAGGAACGCTCCCATGTTGTTCTCTGGTTTTTGCTCCTGAGGACACAAACAGCCAGTGTTTCCTCCCCGGATGAATAGAGAGGCCCCTGGGGAGGGTGTGTCTGGCAGCTCACTCTGCACCTGCACCGCGGAAGGTTTTAGATGGTCCCTCTCACACAATAATACATGGCGGCGTCCGAGGCCTTCAGGCTGCTCCACTGCAGGTAGGCGGTGCTGCTGGAGCTGTCGGCTGAGATGGTGACGTGGCCTTGGAAGGATGGGCTGTATCTGGTATCAGAGTTCCCAGGATAGATGCTCCCCATCCACTCCAGTTCTTTCCCGGGCATCTGGCGCACCCAGTGGATCCAGTAGCTGGTAAAGCTGTATCCAGAAGTCTTACAGGAGATCCTCAGAGACTCCCCGGGTCTTTTCACCTCTGCTGCAGACTGCAACAGCTGCACCTCGGCAAAGACACCTGTGTGGGAGACACAAAATTTGCATCAGGGGCTCCCTTCTGCCCATTCTTCTCTGTGACCTCAAACCCTGGGCAGGACTGACCTTGGAGAACAGCCAGGACGAGGGAAAGGATGACGGTTGACCCCATCCTGGAGGAGGACAGAAAAGAAAGCACTGAGATCCCAGCTGGGTGGTGAAGGAGACTCACTGTGGAGGAGAGCCCTGGGTTTAAGTGGGGAGGCCCCCACTTGAATTTGCATAGTTGCCGCCCTGGCCTGAAGGGAAGAGTCTACAAGGTTTATAACCCAGAACCGCAACTGCAGAAAAACGGCTGAACTGAGCCTCTTGGGAGAGGCAGAATAAGGTCTTAATAATGTCTTACAACCCCCTGTTGTCCCTCCGCACTCTTGTCCATGGTCCTACAAGACCCAAACCAGGGCCTCCCTTCTTCCTACCCTTCTCTGTGACCCTGTGAAGGTGATAAATCTAGATGAAATCACGTGTGTTTTAAAAAATGAGAAATAGAACCAGGAAATGCTATGAAGACAAAATTCAAATGCACATATGCCTGATAATAAGAACTACAAAAAAAAAAAAAACACCTAGTTTCTACTTGCTGGCAATTTCCCATGAGTGCCATTATGGTCTGGGCACCCAGCAAAGGCAGGACCACCCTAGGGCTTCAACAGTCCTCAACTTGATTAACTTGCCAGACCTTCACCCATGCCAAATCACACATTTTTTCTGGTCATTTTGTCTTCTACATTTCTACAGTCTGCCAATTCAACATAAATAGGGAATATTTGTTTAGGTCTCTGAATTGCTGATGGAACTGAAGGGATTGCCATTGCTGCACCCAACTCCTGGTAGTTCTGTTTTAAGTCCTTTGTGTCAACCCCAGCACCTTCTTGTTTAGTTCTTTCATTTTTTAACATTCATTTTATGATATCCACATTGCTTGGAGGAGGCCCTTAACTATCCCCTGTGTCTGCCCCATTATCTTGTGAACCACTCTCATTTCCTTATCATCTAAAAGATTCAAATGAAAAGACAAGGCAATACAAACTACACAGTTTCTAAAATATTTGCCAGATTGCTCACAGGAGTTGTACCTGGGGTGCAGAAGCAAAAGGACTTCTCTTTATCACAGCACAGGCCATGACCTAGGTAAGGTGCATGCGAAGCAATGTCCAGCAGCATCAACAGAAACACACAGCAGCAGGACCTGGATAAGATGCATGCTAAGCAATGACCGTCGGTATCAACATAAACACATAGCACTATGGCTTCCATATACAGCATTGGGCTCCTCATCTGGAGAGCCCACTTTGCATTTTAAAGAGAGAAAGGGCAGTCTCATTCTCAGGGTAGAGAAACTTTACATGATCGGGATCCAGTGCTTGAGGAAAGCTGTCCCATCAGAAGCATCCTACTTGAGGTTGGGATCAGCTAGAGCCATCTGTGATGTGTCTATTGTGAGCTGTGGGTCCAGCATCTTCCCAAACATGCTCCTCCCTTATGCAACACATGAAGCCAAAGAGAATCTGCTACATCAGTCAGTCTCCTAGTCCATTGGCTAATGTTGTTCACGATCTGATGATATCTATTAATGATATCATTCATATCACAAAATGATGCCACTTTCCACACTATCCTCCCTGTTCTAGTTGTCAAGTGGATTCCCCTCCCCAGTCCAAACCCTGGGCTACCATCTGTGTAGCTCTTGTGTGTTGTGTGTTGTTTCTGGACAACTGTACCCTTTGGCAGTGAATGGGAGTCTAGCAGCCTTGGCTCACAGGGCACACTGCAGGGCTGGATGTGCATCTTTTTACTATTATTTTAGCTATCACAGATATGAGTTGCATACTCAGGTTGTTCTTCATTATTTTTACTTGTTCTTGTTCAGGGAACAACTCCTAGGGAGCTGTGTCCGTCGTTTCTAAATTCCATGGATTACTTTCACTTCCTGCTCCTTATTGGAGTGCACACATCATCTCATGCCATGTGATTCTATAGCCATCCAGGCACTGAATGTCTTTTATCCTACACTTTCTCATCCTTTGATATTATAAATGCTATAGACATGTGTCAGTAGTCAGGGTCTTTCTAGCAATTTACACCTCTGATGTAATTGTGTTGAGTGTCCCAAGACCATCCTCAGGCCCCATAATCAGTACAAATAAAGGACTCAAGACAAGCTGTTATTCTCGTGGGTGCAGCTTTATTATAGCAAATGAATATGAATTAAAATGAGCAAAGGAACCAGTGGGAAGGCCCTGAGAATCCAGGCACAAGCTCCCAGGTGTTCTTTCCCTGAGAAGTCTCTTGTCCCCAGTTCTCCCAGCAGTGATGCATGACAATACGTGTGAAGCATTGTCCACCAGGGAAGCTCACCTGAGTGCTGGTGCCCAGTGCTGTTTATTGGGGCCCATCACAGATGTGTGTGGCACCTGCATAACTGACCTCCAGTGCTCAGACGCTGGCCCCTTCAGCAATAATAGGCATTCCCCATAAGTCATTATGGAAACAGCTAGCATAGTGTGCACCCAGGCTACACACACAGAGACAGAGACACACAAGCAAAAATACATTTCAACTAATAATAATAATCATAATACTAAGAATAAAAAGAATAAAGAGGAATGTTTTGGAAGTCATTGCTATGTTTATGACCTTGATGGTGATGGTAACTTTGCATACTTAACTCAATGAATTAAGTATGTTAAATAACGTATAGTCTTATAGATGTAATCCTTACCTTAATAAAATGGTTTAAAAATATTTCCAGGAGGAGTATGCCAAAAAAGCAGATATCATCTCCCAGGAGCTGAATATGGATGTGGCTTGAGAAAGCACTTTTTCAGTAATCTTCAGGGTTTGCACAACACAAGCCTGCTCAGTAAACACTTTCCTGTACATAAGTCCAGGTGAGGTGGAAACAGGCTGTTGGAATAAAAAGCAAGATGCAGAAGAAAAGAGAGAGGAAGTGGTGGACAAGATATGAACCCACGTAGGGTCAGTGTGGATGGGAGGCACCACTGAGAGCCTGTGGATGGAGAAGGATGTGGACCAGGGACAGCAGGAAAACAAGGCAGGGAGGGTTCTTCCTGAGCCAAACCAGATGTTTCACGGAGGCTGTGATCAGGGGCCATGCACAGGCACAGGTGGGTGCCATGGAGTAGGGGAGCCACTGGGGTATAGACCCAGGACAGAGCATGAGAAATTCAGACATTCCCAAGGCAGCAGGCACAGAAATAATGACTGACAAGCCTCTATCTTGGGCTCCCATCCATATATCAAAGATAAAGTTAACTGATTTTTCCACCTGGGAAGAAATGACTGAATCTCTGAGTGAGGAAGGACATGAGTGGTGCAGCCAGGGGAAGCAATGCTGGACCTGCCAGCAACCCTCCTCCCCTCACACTGCCCTGCATGTCCTCCCATCCCCAAAGCATGGAGGTTCTCATCCTTGTCCAGTGGTGGGAGCCACAGTCAGCTCCTAGACCCCTCAGGGGGCTTCCTGACATGATCAGCTGGGTCTAACAAAAACAGGGCATTTACAATCAAGTTCTCCATCTACCTGTCACCAATGTGTTTATGAGGCTTTAGAGTAAATGAAATAAGTGAAAAAAGACTTTACAAGCAATAGAAAAATCAACAAACCTAAGAGTTTTTTCTTAAAAAAGGACAAATTCTTAGCTAGATTAAGAGAAAAAGAAAGAATCCTTTAATAACTAAAATCAAAAATAATTCAGAAAGCATAAGAATTGATAAAACTGAAATTTAGAAGCAATTAGAGATGATTCCTCTGACATTTTCAAAGTTGTCTCAATCCTTCAGGTAGTAATGGCATTTCTTGTCTCAGAACCCAAGAAGAGTCCTGAGACACACAATTACTTGTTTAAATTATCTTTATCACTCTCTGATAAAATACTCACACATAATAATCTAGCTGCATGAAGATAAAAAATAACTAGTTTGAAATTAGAACAAGTCCCAAGTAAATCAAAGTTAGCATGTGGTTCATAATGTAATAGACAGGAGACATGGCTGAATATGAAGAATGTGTTCACATCTATTTTGTGTCAAGATCAGGAAAATATTTTTTATATTATTTAGGTAAAAGCCCCATTGAGAGCACTGATTTAAGATTATATATTGGTGGGTAATACCTCAATAATAAAAGTAGAGGTTATTAACCTTTAATTTGTATTACTAGTACAAAGTTTCATTCAGGATATATCCTTCTATGTGTTATGAAATCAACTCAGAAGGCAGAAAACATTGCACTTATTAAAGCTTTTTAATAAATTAAAAATTATAATTAAGTATATATGTTTCTAGATGGTGTACAACTTAGGAATATTTTTAACAGAGAGGGTTCTTATGTCTTCTGCAGATCCTATCAAAATGGACAAGAGAAGAAACTCCCAGATGAATTTCTACCTACTAGAGAACTGATTAACATAATTTTTTGAGTTACTATTTTTTATTATACTTTAAGTTATGGGATACATGTGCAGAATGTACAGGTTTGTTACATAGGTATATATGTGCCATGGTGGTTTGCTGCACTCATCAACCCATCATCTACATTTGGTATTTCTCCTAATGCTATCCCTCCCCTAGCTTCCCCACCCCGTGACAGGCCCCTGTGTGTGATGTTCCCCTCCCTGTGTCCATGTGTTCTCATTGTTCAATTCCCACTTTTGAGTGAGAACATACAGTGTTTGATTTTCTGTTCTTGTGTTAGTTTGCTGAGAATGACGGTTTCCAGCTTTATCCATGTCCCTGAAAATGACATGAACTCATCCTTTTTATGGCTGCAGAGTATTCCATGGTGTATATTTTCCACATTTTCTTTATCCAGTCTATCACTGATGGGCATAAGGGTTGTTTCCAAGTCTTTGCAATTATGAACAGTGCTGCAATAAACATATGTGTTCATGTGTCACGTAAGACACAGTAGAATGATTTATAATCCTTTGCTGATATACCCAGTAATGGGATTGCTGGGTCAAATGGAATTTCTGGTTCTTGATGCTTGAGGAATCGCCACACTGTCTTCCACAATAGTTGAACCAATTTACACTCCCACCAACAGTGTAAAAGCGTTCCTATTTCTCCACATCCTTTCCAGCATCTGTTGTTTCCTGACTTTTTAATGATGGCCATTCTAACTGGTGTGAGATGGTATCTCATTGTGGTTTTGATTTGCATTCCTCTAATGACCAGTAAGGATGAGCTTTTTTTTTCATGTGTCTTCTTTTGAGAAGCAAGTGTTCATATGTTTCGCCCACTTTTTGATGGGATTGTTTGTCTTTTCCTTGTAAATTTAAGTTCTTTGTAGATTCTGGATATTAGCCCTTTTGTCAGATAGATAGATTGCACAAACATTCTCCCAGTCTGTAGGTTGCCTGTTCACTCTGATGGTAGTTTCTTTTGCTGTGCAGAAGCTCCTTAGTTTAATTAGATCCCATTTGTCAATTTTGGCTTTTGTTGCCATTGCCTTTGATGTTTTAGTCATGAAGTCTTTGCCCATGCCTATGTCCTGAATGGTACTGCCTAGGTTTTCTTCTAGGGTTTGTATGGTTTTAGGTCTTATGTTTAAGTCTTTAATCCATCTTGAGTTAATTTTTATATAAGGTCTAAGGAAGGGATCCAGTTTTAACTTTCTACATATGGCTAGCCAGTTTTCCCAGCACTGTTTATAAAATAGGGAATCCTTTCCCCATTGCTGTTTTTGTCAGGTTTTTCAAAGATCAGATGGTTGTAGCTGTGTGATGTTATTTCTGAGGCCTCTGTTCTGTTCTATTGGTCTATATGTCTGTTTTGGTACAAGTACCATGCTGTTTTGGTTACTGTAGCCTTGTAGTATAGTTTGAAGTCAGGTAGCGTGATGCCTCCAGTTTTGTTCTTTTTGCTCAGGATTGTCTTGGCTATACGGGATCTTTTTTGGTCCCATATGAAATTTAAGTAGCTTTTCCTAATTCTGTGAAGGAAGTCAATGGTAGCTTGATGGGAATAGCATTGAATCTATAAATTACTTTGGGCCGTATGGCCATTTGGCAATATTGATTCTTCCTATTCATGAGCATGGAATGTTTTTCCATTTGTTCATGTCCTCTCTTATTTTGTTGAGCAGTGGTTTGTAGTTCTCCTTGAAGGGGTTCTTCACATCCCTTGTAAGTTGTATTCCCAGGTATTTTATTCTCTTTGTAGCAATTTTGAATGGGAGTTCACTCATGATTTGGCTCTCTTTTTGTCTATTATTGGTGTATAGGAATGCTTGTGATTTTTGCACATTGACTTTATATCCTGGGACTTTGCTGAAGTTGCTTATCAGCTTAAGGAGTTTTTGGGCTGAGACGATGGGGTTTTCTAAATATAAAATCATGTCATCTGCAAACAGAGACAATATGACTTCCTCTTTTCCTATTTTGAGTACCCTTTATTTCTTTCTCTTGCCTGATTGCCCTGGCCAGAACTTCCAATACTATGTTGAATAGGAGTGGTGAGAGAGAGCACCCTTGTCTTGTGCCAGTTTTCAAAGGGAATGCTTCCAGCTTTTGCCTGTTCAGTATGATATTGGCTGTGGGTTTGTCATAAATAGCTCTTATTATTTTGAGATACTTTCCATCAATACCTGGTTTATTCAGAGGTTTTAGCATGAAGTGGTGTTGGATTTTATCAAAGGCCTTTTCTGCATCTATTGAGATAATCATGTGGTTTTTGTCATTGGTTCTGTTTACGTGATGGATTATGTTTATTGTTTTGCATATGTCAAACCACCCTTGTATCCCAGGGATGAAGCCGACTTGATCCTGTTGGATGAGCTTTTTGATGTGCTTCTGGGTTCGGTTTGCCAGTATTTTATTGAGGATTTTTGCATCGATGTTCTTCAGGGATATTGGCCTGAAATTTTCTTTTTTTGTTGTGTCTCTGACAGGTTTTGGTATCAGGGTGATGCTGGCCTCATAAAATGAGTTAGGGAGGAGTCCCTCTTTTTCTATTGTTAGGAATAGTTTCAGGAGGAATGGTACCAGCTCCTCTTTGTACCCCTGGTAGAATTCAGCTGTGAATCCACCTGGTAGTGGTCTTTTTTTAGTTGGCTATTATTAATTACTATTAATAATATTATTAGTAGGCTATTATTAATTACTGACTTAATTTCAGAACTTGTTATTCATCTATTCAGGGATTCTATTTCTTCCTGGTTTAGTCTTGGGAGGGTGTATGTGTCCAAAAATTTATCCATTTCTTCTAGATTTTCTAGTTTATATGCATAGAGGTGTTTATAGTATTCCCTGATGGTAGTTTGTATTTCAGTGGGATCAGTGGTGATGTCCTCTTTATCATTTTTTTATTGTGTCCATTTGATTCTTCTCTCATTTCTTCTTTATTAGTATGGCTAGCAGTCTATCTATTTTGTTAATCTTTTCAAAAAACTATCTCCTGGATTCATTGATTTTTGAAGGGTTTTTCCTGTCTCTATCTCCTTCAGTTCTGCTCTGATCTTCGTTATTTCTTGTCTTCTGCTAGTTTTTGAATTGGTTTGCTCTTGCTTCTCTAGTTCTATTAACTGTGATGTTAGGGTGTCGATTTCAGATCTTTCTTGCTTTCTCTCATGAGCATTTAGTCCTATAAGTTTCCCTCTAAACACTGCTTTAGCTGTGTCCGAGAGATTCTGGTATGTTGTGTCTTTGTTCTCATTGGTTTCAAAGAACTTGTTTATTTCTGCCTTAATTTCATTATTTACCCAGTAGTCATTCAGAAGCAGGTTGTTCAGTTTCCATGTAGTTGTGTGGTTTTGAATGAGTTTCTTAATTCTGAGTTCTAATTTGATCGCACTGTGGTCTGAGAGACTGTTTGTTATGATTTTCATTTAATCCAAATGCTAATGGAAGCTAAAAAAAGTGATTAAATACACCAAACGCTCTAGCTCAATCTAGTTTATAATATTATCTAACCATGGAGAGCATTATCATTGTTCATATAAGACAGAATGAATCCTACTCAACAATCTTCTAGGAATGTTTTAAAAATGGCATCTCTACATAAAAATGATCAAATCTTTAATAAAATGTAAAACTCCCTTGGCCAAAGGTTCTCCCACTAGCACTATGGAATCATGTTCCACTCCTCAGGGTGCATCAGTTATTACCCTATGACTTGGCAGCTAAAAGGCCCATACGTTTATAGAGTTTACCCCCAGAGATCATCTTTGTCCTATTGCATGCATGTGTTACAAAATACTGAAAGTGATTCCTGTGTGATATCCACTCCAATCATGAAGAGTTTGAGGCTGCCTTTTTGTTACATCTTTTCCACAGACTCTTGTGATCTTCAGCAAGGAAATTGGAAGGAACATCAGCAGAAAATACTCCTCTTGAATCATATTGGAAGGAATCTTATCAGATACTTTTAACTAACTCGCTGCAGAAAATATTCAGGCAGTTAATTGTTGGGTTCATGTTTTACAACTAAAGAATAAATTCAGGCCAGATGCAGTGGATCATCGCTATAATCACACCACTTTCAGAAGCAAAAATGAGGGAAATCCCGTGAGACGAGGCAATCGAAGCCAACCTGAGCAACATAAAGAGATGTTATTTCTCTGAAAAAATATTTTAAAGAATAAGCAGGTGAGGGGTGGCGTTCCCCTCTACTTCTAGATACTCAGGAAGCAAAGATGGGAAGATTATGTGAGCCAGGTGTTCAAAATTACAGTGAGCTTTGATCATACAACTGTTCTTCAAACTGTGCAACAGGGTGAGAGCCTGTCTCTAAAAACAAATAAAAAAGAATCAATAAAGAATTCCACACAACTGTAAAGCTACTCAAATAGGAGATATTAAACTGAGCATCCTTATAGATTCTCTGGGGTTTTGGATGTTTTTAAGCAGATAGCTGGCCTAAGACCTGCAGAATAAGCTGATAGTCCTTTGTTGTGAGAAGCTTCTACCCAAGACATTAGACCAGGACCCCTCTCTAATTCCCCAACCCCTCCTCCTTTTTCTCAATATTATTTGCTTATATTTATAAAGTCATTGCATTCCTGTAGACCTCCATGTTGTCCACCTGCATTGAACCCTTATCTTTTTGCTTATTCATTATTTTTATTCTTGCTACATAGAATAAGTTGTCACAATATTTTTGATGCATGACTGCTGAGGACTTAAGGCTCACTCCTCTATCATCTCCTCTTTTGTCAAACAAGGTGAATCTAGTTTGCAATCACAGGAGCTTCTTCATGTGATGCCATTGGGAGTTTCAAACCCTATAAACCCCTTTCTGTGAGTGGGAAGCCTCACTCTGCCCCCACCACCAAACCATTATAAAAACCCTGAGTCAGTCTCCATTCCTCCTTTACCAAGCCATTTTAGACAGTCCTGAGAGAACTGCCCTGCTCTCAGCAGACACCTCTACAGTGCAGATAATAAACCTCTCCATATTCACTTGCTCTGAGTGTACGACTTCATCAGACAAAACATCCACACTAAATCTCAGTTGAGATCTCTTGACTTTGCATGGTGTCAAATACTACTGATGCTGTGAGCTCAGTGTCACGGTTTCTATCAACAGGACACACTGGATTCCTGAAACAACTCCAGGATAGAGCTGGACATATGATATGCATTGGCTTTGTGTCCCCACCTAAATATCATCTCAAATTGTAATCCCCACATGTCAAGGGAGGGACCAAGTGAGAGGTGATTGGATCACGGGGGCAGCTTCCCCATGTTGTTCTCATGATAGTGAGTTCTCACAAGACCTGAGGGTTTAAAAGTGTATGTCACTTCTCTCTCTCTCTCTCTCACCTGCTGCCATCTGAGACGTGCCTTGCTTCCCCTTCACCTTCCACCATGATTGTAAGTTTCCTGTGACTTCCCCAGCTGTGCAGAACTGTGAGTCAACTAAACCTCTTTTTTCATAAACTACCCAGTCTCACGTAGTTCTTTATAGGAGTGTGAAAATGAACTAATACAACATGCCTGGTGGGTTTGATAAACTTTCTTAATGTCGTAGAATTAGTCCATTATTTTGCTGTATTCTAATGTTTCTCTAAAAATACAGAGATGCCTAGGGCTCGTTGCTGTGTATTTCAGGTGTCTCTGACATTTCATGTATTTTATTTATCTCTGTCTAACTCCTTTTCTACCAAATTATACATGTTATAATTAGTGCTATCTTTAATTAGGTTAAATTAAAAAATATCTTTATGAAGTGTTCAATTTTACTAATATTGTCCCAAACATAATCATTATCAACGTAGATAACAAGTCAATTTCCTTAAAATTTTCTCTTGTTCTGTAATTTCTCCTTCCTAGACCTTCCCTTTTCCTACAATATTCACAGTGAGCTACTGATTTTTGTGTAAGTTTAGATTACTTTTCATTTTATGAAATTTATAAAAGTTGTATCTTATGTAAGTACTTTTATTTGTTTGGCTCATTTTACTTATGAGAACTACTTGTGAATTTTGCCATGCTGTTGACAGTAGCCAACATTAGTTGCTTGTAGTAGTGGGTAATATGCCAATGGATGAGTTTTCCTCAATTTCTTTACCAATTAAGCTGATGACTGACATTTGAGTTGTTTTTCATGCTGGGTATTATAAGCTGATGCTACTCAGCTTAGAGAGGTACACAGCTGGGAAACACATGGTTCTTTTTTTTTTATTGTGTTACTTATGTTTATTAAAATAAAAATGTACTTGCTTTTAGTCAGGAAGGCAATGAAAAGAGTTTTAATGAGAATCACCCTCATTATGATAAACATGGAATATTTTAATTAATAAAAATAAACTTGGAGTCAAAGTAAACCTTATGCATTTTATGAACAGTAATAGGTTGGGAATGAATACAAGCAGCAAAGTAGAAACACAGTATTTTTTCAGGGAAAGATGAGACATAAATATCAGAAGGCCCCCTCGCCTGCCCCACCCTCCCAGCTCACAGTTCTTTAACTACAGCGTGGATGACTAGAGTCAGAATCTCCTTCTAAGGCATTTCTCTGTTCTGCAGAAGACCAAGCATAGGCTGGGCTCATGCTGGAGCTGGGTAAATGTTTGTGGACAAAAGAACTAATTAATTAATGATGCCCCGTCCTACATTTCAAAATTGGGCAAGCAAATATTATCTCTACATCCATTTGGTGGCTGAGAAAAGTGAAGCTCAAAAAGCAGAGGTGACTTGTCTGAAGTTAGACCATGAGAGAGTGGGGGGCTTAAAGTATGAACCCAAATACCCAGTATCTTGATTGACCCCAGGCTGCCTCCTCTGCAGGACAAGAGCAGCATATAGAAGCAATGATAAATAAGCCTGATAAAAAGATTGTTTTCTTAAAAGATCATTCTTCAGGATCCTGATGACCTAATGAGATAATCAATATGATGGCAATTTATAAGCTCCTATGAGGTAAGCCAATGTTAGCGGAAGTTACTTCCCAGGGCTAATGACCAGTTGAGCAGTCATGACCCTGAGTGTGACATTACTGAAACCATTCTTTAACCCAAACTGACTAGAATTTTTCAAGAAACCTCCAAAAGTTAGCACAGTTGCGAGTTACAGAAGGTTCACACTCGGTTTGATGTGACTTTAAACCTGAGGCATCTGCCCTGTGATCACTGACTTCTCCTGAATCCTATTAAAGCCTTGATTCTTGGAGCCAAAATTCTCCTGGGAGAAAATATGAAGGCAGCTTTTTGTCACTGTCATTGTGGTTAACTGATGATCCCTGGGTATAGCACTAATATGAAATATAAGGGAAGTAAAAAAGTTTCACTATTTCCAGGTGTTTCTAGAAAATAAGGAGGTGATGGTGAACTGTGATTTCAGAAAGAAGAGGACAGAGCACTAACACACTGACTAAGCCATACTACATTGCAGACCCCAAGCGAGCTCTTTACTCACAGTATCTCCCTCACCTTTCTTTTTTTGTTTATTATACTTTAAGTTTTAGGGTACATGTGCACATTGTGCAGGTTAGTTACATATGTATACATGTGCCATGCTGGTGTGCTGCACCCACTAACTCGTCATCTAGCATTAGGTATATCTCCCGATGCTATCTCTCCCCCCTCCCCCCACCCCACAACAGTCCCCAGAGTGTGATATTCCCCTTCCTGTGTCCATGTGATCTCATTGTTCAATTCCCACCTATGAGGGAGAATATGCGGTGTTTGGTTTTTTGTTCTTGCGATAGTTTACTGAGAATGATGATTTCCAATTTCACCCATGTCCCTACAAAGGACATGAACTCATCATTTTTTATGGCTGCATAGTATTCCATGGTGTATATGTGCCACATTTTCTTAATCCAGTCTATCATTTTTGGACATTTGGGTTGGTTCCAAGTCTTTGCTATTGTGAATAATGCCGCAATAAACATACGTGTGCATGTGTCTTTATAGCAGCATGATTTATAGTCCTTTGGGTATATACCCAGTAATGGGATGGCTGGGTCAAATGGTATTTCCAGTTCCAGATCCCTGAGGAATTGCCACACTGACTTCCATAATGGTTGAACTAGTTTACAGTCCCACCAACAGTGTAAAAATGTTCCTATTTCTCCACATCCTCTCCAGCACCTGTTGTTTCCTAACTTTTTAATGATTGCCATTCTAACTGGTGTGAGATGGTATCTCATTGTGGTTTTGATTTGCATTTCTCTGATGGCCAGTGATGATGAGCATTTTTTCATGTGTTTTTTGGCTGCATAAATGTCTTCTTTTGAGAAGTGTCTGTTCATGTCCTTCGCCCACTTTTTGATGGGGTTGTTTTTTTTTTCTTGTAGATTTGTTGGAGTTCATTGTAGATTCTGGATATTAGCCCTTTGTCAGATGAACATTGATGCAAAAAACCTCAATAAAATACTGGCAAAACGAATCCAGCAGCACATCAAAAAGCTTATCCACCATGATCAAGTGGGCTTCATCCCTGGGATGCAAGGCTGGTTCAATATACGCAAATCAATAAATGTAATCCAGCATATAAACAAAGCCAAAGACAAAAACCACATGATTATCTCAATAGATGCAGAAAAAGCCTTTGACAAAATTCAACAACCCTTCATGCTAAAAACTCTCAATAAATTAAGTATCGATGGGACGTATTTCAAAATAATAAGAGCTATCTATGACAAACCCACAGCCAATATCATACTGAATGGGCAAAAACTGGAAGCATTCCCTTTGAAAAAATGGTTCTTATTCTTACAACCTCACAAGCAACTAAGCTTGAAAAGCTGCACATTAATCAAGTTTATTAAATACATCAGGTAATAAAAGGTATAGATTTATGTGTGTTGTGGGGTGGGTGTACGTCAGTTTCTGTGTGAGAGAGAGAAGGCAGGAAGGAAGGCAGAAAAAAGAGAGGAATATTACATAATTGACCACAGTTTATGAGGTCCTCAAGAAATTACAGGGAATTAGTCCTTATGGACAAGGCTGACATAGATGGAGAGGACAACTTGACACACCTAGCTATGGTTATATATTGATATAAATATCATTTTCTTTTTTTCTCTCTTTTTTTTAATGGAGTCTCGCTCTGTTGCCCAGGCTGGAGTGCAGTGGCACATCTTGGCTCAACGCAACCTCTGCCTCCCAGGTTCAAGCGATTCTCCTGCCTCAGCCTCCCGAGTAGCTGGGATTACAGGCGTGTGCCACTGGGCCTGGCTAATATTTGTATTTTTAGTAGAAACGGAGTTTCATCATGTTGGCCAGGCTAGTCTTGAACTCCTGACCTCAGGTGATCTGCCCGCCTCAGCCTCCCAAAGTGCTGGGATTACAGGCATGAGTCACTGCACCTGGCCCCAAAATATCATTTTCTAGTCATACAAACACTCACATGTGTTAGAACATGCATTAGAACAGATGTAGTGGAGGGTGTCTAGTGGTGAAATATGATGGTGACACAAAACCCCTCATCCAGCCCCTTTTCATCCCAGCTTCACCTGCCCTAAGGCTGAGCCTTGAACCTGCTCTTTCTGAGTCCTCACAATGGTCCTGAGCCCCCTGCTGTACCGAGCACCCTCTGGTGTCCTGATTTTCCTCGATGGTTCCTGAGAGCCCCCGGCTGACCTGCGTGCCTCTACAATGGTCTTGAGTGCCCCTTGGTGTCCTGAGAGCCCCCTGGGGACCTGAGCAACCCCTTCTGTCCTATGCACCCCCACAGGGAGGTTTGGGTGTGAGCTCACACTGTGATTCCCTCACTGTGTCTTTGGCTTAAAAATACATGGCTATGTGCTTGTTGCTCATGTAGCTCAGCTGTAGGAAGAACTGCTTTTTTGGACACGGATCTGGGGATGGTGACTGGACACTTGAGGAGTGGGTGGTAATGTGTGCTCCCTTCATGACCTATGCACCCAATCCACTCCATTCCCTTCCCTGGGGGGCTGATGGATCCAGCTTCAGCAGGAAGACCTCGTTATCATGGGGAACACAGACACAGCGCAGGTAAGGGAGAGGGTCTGTGAGGGCTTCACCAGGCCAAGAGTGCGCTGAGAAACACAGTTGTTGGCATGCACAGGTTCTGGGCAATACATTGAAATTCTCAAATATGTACATTTTTATGAGAATAAACAGCTCACTTGTGTTCAATTTGTGAATCTCCTAGAGCAATGCAGCAGATTCTGAGGTTAGATTCAGACAAATATAGGGTCACGTTTTTCTCCATAGTTGGAACCAAATTATAAAGAGAAACTTATGTCAGTAGAATGGGCATTGAACTATCTCTGTCTATGATAATGGTGATGTTCAGAATAGGATTGGGATGTGACAACCTGAAGGGTGTCCTAATTATTAACCCACAATTAGACCTCAGCAGCAATCACTGGCAGTGGAGGTCACCCACATGGAGAAATGTCTGACTCACTGAAGCTGCACCTGGGGGTCTCTGCAGGCTCTGAGTTGTACAGGAACAGCTCCTCCCTCAGACTCAGAGTGAGGACAATCTCTGCTCTTTCTCTGGGGGAGGTGAGGGTTAGTATGAGGAAAGAACCAACCTTACTGTAATCAAGATCTCTGTTCTTAGACAGAAACCAAAGAATATGAGAAAAAACTGATCTCAGTTTAAACAGAACAATTCATCATGAGGAAGGTAATAATATGTCTGGATGCTGCACAGAATTAAGAAACAATGAATTTGGGATAAGGTTGAACATTATTTTGCAAAGTCTGTTTTTTTTTTGTTGTTTTTTTTTTTTGATGGAGTCTCACTCTTGTTGCCCAGGCTGGAGTGTAATGGTGTGATCTTGGCTCACCATAACCTTCACCTCCCGGGTTCAAGCGATTCTCCTGCCTCAGCCTCCCTAGTAGCTGGGATTACAGGCATATGCTACCATGCCTGGCTAATTTTGTATTGTTAGTAGACATGGATTTTTCCATATTGGTCAGGCTGGTCTCGAACTCTCGACCTCAGGTGATCTGCCCGCCTTGGCCTCCCAAAGTGCTGGGATTACAGGCATCAGCCACCACGTCCGGACCAGACTCTGTTCTTAATTATCTATGTCATCTGAGAAAATGAAGTAAAATCATGGTTTTTATATAAAAATTCACAAACTGGGTGCTGGCCCTGAGAATCCACCTCCCATCTCTCCAACATCAGGGAGCCCAATAGACCAGGCAGCCAGCTGCTGCACTGCACTCTAACACCTGTCACCTGGTGTGTGCCAAAGACACCCAACCTGGGAGCTCCTCCCAGACAATGGCTGTGCACAGCGGAAGTACTGAGGCATGGCTGCTGCTGGGACACATGGGAGATTCCTGATGGACAACTGAGCTCTGGGAGGCACCAGTGGCCTCGCTGAACTTAGCTTGGACCCAGGGTATTTAGGTAAGCTCCATCAAACTCCCACTCTTCTCCAGCACTAGTGGTGAGATTGACATTCTGGGGTGGCAGTGTCTACAGCCTCCCTGGCCTCCTGTGCATTTTTATGCCTCCATTACTTACATCTGCCTTTGGGACAAATGAGAATGTTTCCACTTCTTATAATAAATTTTTCTAATCCAGAGACCTCAGGGATGGGCACAGAAACATAAATGTCAAGAGGCTCCCAGGGGAACTGTTGGATGCAGAGAAAGCCACAGACCCTGAAGGAAAGTAGCCCATGACGACCGTCTGCACCTGCCCTAGAGCTTCCCCTGTTTTCTGTGGGTCTTGAGTGCTCCCTTTATCCCAGCCTCCTCCCTTATCATTACAGGAACCTCTGTGTCTGTGTTCACACTGATGTCTTCTTACCTGGTGCCTCACATACAGTAACACACAGCTGTGCCCTCTGCTCTCAGACTGTTCATTTGCAAATACAGTGAGTTCTTGGCATTTTCTTTGGAGACGGTGAATCTGCTCGTCACAGATTGTGCATAACATATCTGACTTCCATCACACTGTATATCTACTACTCACTCCAGCCCCTTCCCTGGAGCCTGGGAAACCGAGCTCATTCAGTAGCTACTGAAGGTTAATCCAGAGGCTGCACAGGAGAGTCTCAGGGAACCCCAGGTTGTCTTGGGTCCTCTCCAGACTCCACCAGCTGTACCTCACACTGGACACCCGTAAACTCGTAGAGATCCTGGTGAGAAACTGCCTGACATATCCACTGTTTCTCTCAAATATATTCACTCACACTCTATTTCTCTGGTTTACCTTTTAAAATAACAACTGTGAAACCCAGCTCAGCCCAGACTCCATGATGGGTCCTCTGTCTTTAGTCCTGATCACAAAACGGAAACCCCTGGGAATCCCAGGGCTGGGGCTTCTCTCCCAAACCTACGGGGTCAGGACTGGGCTGGTTTTCATCAACAAAGGGAGAAACCTGTTTGCATGTCTCCTACTGTATAGCAAGCTCTGGGATGGGAATCCTGAGGAGGGGCAGGGGTCAGAGCAGACAAAGTGCCTTGGGGGAGATTGGTAGTCATCTTATCACTCAGGAAAATATCATTTTATATTATGTGATCATGCCTTGATAACTATTTAGCAGTCATCATCTTATTTCATTTCTACATATTTGCAGAATACATTTAATGCAAGTGTCAATGTTACATTTTAAGGAATTTACATTACACACAGAACAGAGTGGCTGTACAATATGGTCAAGATCACACAGCTGGACAGAATTAGTCCCATTATCCATGCCTGTGCCTCTGACCACTAGAGAAGACTGCTCCCCTGAGACAACTCCAGGGCAGTGTGGGACATGCCTAGTGAGGTTTGCAGGATTCCACCCCTGCCAGGATATCTCTGTTTTCTTTTAGTGTATTCTGTTGTTTATCTGAAATATATATAGAGAGAACCAGTGTTCATACATGTGTACTTTCAAAAGTCAGCGATGTTTCAAGTGTTAATAGCCATCTATTTTTTGCTCCTCCTCAACCAACACATTCATTTGTTTCTTTGTTACTGCTTTTTTAAGTACAAAATTAACAAATAATTAATTCAAATATATACTGCACAATTTGGAATATGTTAATGTATGTGTGCAACCCTTTAATCAGGGTTTCAATTAAGTCGTGTGCAATTAAGTTAACCTCTAAATCTTTCTGTCACTTCTCTGTAATTTCATCTCAACACCCCATTACTTTCAACACCCAATTCTCACCAAATTCTCTTCTCTGTTACTTTAGAATAGTTTTACCTTCTACAGTTTATACAAATAGAAGTTTATGAAGTGCACTGTTAATACTTTAGCTACTTCCACTCAGCGCAGTTATTTGTGAATGTAGCCATGACTTTATGTGAATGAGGATGCCTTGATTCTAATGCTGCATTGTACTTTACTTCATAATCTTATGTCAAATTGTTTAACATTCACCTGTAATGGATATGGATATTTGATTTGTTCTCTTAGTTTCTGGCTTTTATATAGAAATCTACTCAGTGTGGGAATGTGAAAAATGAGGAAACTATGATCTTATTCTGTCCTCATTAACAACAAACCTGAAAAACTGTGAATAAAGGAAGAAGAAAAACCTGTAACATTTGTGAGTTAGTTTCACAGAGAAAGCAAGAAGACTGAAATGTGAGGAGAGAGAGGCCTGCAGAGAGGACTGGGGCCCACATGTTAGTGAACCCAGGGCAGGTGCCACTGGATGGCATTGAGAGAGGAACAGGCTAACCTGGAAATATTTAGTGAGGATTTTTTTTGGATGCATGTGCTAATGGTATTAGAGTGTGAATCTACTAGTCCTTGCAGGCTTTTCCCAGGAATTTGAAAAATCCACAGTCAACTCCCTTATCTGCTGTCCTGTGGTGCTGACAGGAAGGGAAGAACAGCGAGGACTGTTGAACGCCTGGATCCACCTCCACTGTCTCCAGGGGAAATCCAATCAAACCTGTGACCTATGGGGTGTGGTGGAGTCAACAGAAACAAAAGAAAACAGAGGATTCCCAGGAAACTCCATCTAGAAGAAATCCTTAATCTGCAGGGTAAGTACAAAGGAGGAGAAGCTGAGGACACTGGAGAGAAACCATTATGGTTGGGAAGACACTCTACCCCTGGTGGAAGAGGTACAGACAGGAAAATTTGGAAGGTCACCCTCAGAACCATGATTACTACTCAAGCCTAAGAAGAAGGCTGATTTGGAAGGTTGGAGAACGTCCCCATTTGTTCAAGCCTCTTCTCCACATGGTCAACTAGGTCTGTAGGAAATGACGCAGCTGCATCAGCTCCATTCTGGCCTCTGTCATGTGACAGTTTTTTGTGGATTTGCTTTCTGCTCTCTCATTATTTGTTGCCTCTCTCAACTCCTAGCTCCATTCTCCTTTTAATTCTCACTTTATTGAAGAGATTCTTACTTAGCTTAGAACATTAAAATCCATGGAAGTAATTTTCATCTCAAACCTACCAAATCTAATGAGCTCTCTCCAGGGTTGCCCATCTGTTTTTTTCTTCCTTTCCTATGGGGTATGGCCCTTGTTTCTACCTGAGTCCAGCTCTTATTTTCATATGCATGAGGAGTCCAACCATCACACACCCAGGGACATCTTGGGGGAATGTCCCCTACCATCTGTCTCCTCAGCCGTCATGTGCACAGTGGCCACTCTGTCAGCTGCTGTATGTGCTTTAGGGCTTTCTGTTTAAAAATGTCTTTCTCTAGCCCCCCAAACAAAATTCCTGGACCTTAAATACTTTCAAGATCCCTTTGTTGTTAATATTGTTTTATTCTGTTAAAATCCACTGGGAACCTCAGTGACAATGGAGGTGACCAACCTACCCATCCCATTGTCTGACTTCTGCCTGACGGACCCACCCATGAGCTTTACTCCACTGCTCTGCAGCTGATGGGACCATTTGGACCTTTATTAATAAGAGGTGTGTAATTTATTAGAGAATGACTGAGATCAGCAGGTGCCTGAGTGCCTCAGAACACAGGTGTGGTCCTGCAGTAGAGTCTGTGTAACTGAAATCACATGTGTGTATAGCTCGTGGCCTCAGCCCAGAAGCTGATGCCAGCTTCTGGCCATTCCTGGGTAGCCCGATGAGGGGTGTCCAGAGAAGGATGGAGGCAGGATATGGGTTTTAGAAAGTGATGTGGTGTTAGGGGCATTGTCAGCCAAATTTCACTGAAAGTCTATTCTGCTCTTTGTACTTGGGGAAAACTGGAAAGAAGGGAATAAAACTCAGACCCCCTGTAGCTCCTCATTTAGGAAGAGATTTAGTGCAAATTTAGAAGGTTGAAGGAATAGACTATACTTTCAGGGATCATTTCTATAGTTCATTCGAGGAGGTTGAAGAAAAATAGTGATGTCGATGTGGTTTTCTTTGACATACTTAGGAGACAGCAGAAGATGGTCAGTGGTCAGTCTCCATCCAGGTGGTACTCACTGTCCATTTGTTATGTCCAAATAAAAGATAAAAGACAACTTTTGTGGCACAGACACCAGGGTTGGTTTCAGAGACCTTTCCACCAAAAATGGCCAATGGTGGCTCACACCTGTAATCCCAGCACTTTGGGAGGTGAGGCGGGAGGATCACGAGGTCAGGAGATCGAGACCATCCTTGCTAACATGGTGAAACCCCATCTCTACTAAAAATACAAAAAATTAGCCAGGGTTGGTGGCGGGTGCCTGTAGTCCCAGGTACTTGGGAGGCTGAGGAAGGAGAATCACTTGAACCCTGGAGGTGGAGGTTGTAGTGAGCCGAGATCGTGCCACTGCACTCCAGCCTGGTGACAGAGCGAGACTCTGTCTCAAAGAAAAAAAAGAAAGAAAGGGCCTTGACACATTTTTTTATAAGAGTTACTATTTTTGCCTACTTTATATGGAAATCTGAGATGTGCCCAGCCTCAGGGGCCTGCTTCTCCTTCTAGGAGACAAAGCTAACAGAGTTATGTAGTATTAGTCTGTGTGGGTCTTCACAAGAAGACAACAGGAGTGGGTGGCATAAACAACAAATACTGACTTTCTTACAATTCTGCAGTCTGAATGTCCAAGATCACGGTGCTGGCAGGGTGGTTCTTGGTGCGGCTTCTTCCTGGCTTGCCCAGGGCCACCTTCTAGTCCACTGTGTGTCCACATGGCCTCCTTTCTATGTGCACGTGAAAAGTGAGAGGTCTCTGGTGTCTCTTCCTCTTCTTATAAAGACAACATGTCTATTGCTTTAGGGTCTCACACGTATGACCACATTTAACCTTAATTATATACTTAAAATTCCAATATAGATCCACTGGATTCAAGATTTCAGTATATGAATTTCAAAGAGGGCACAATTCAATTGACGACACAAATAAAGAGATGGTGAGAAGCATTAGAACTTTTTTTTAATCAAGAAGGAAAAAAGGGGCCATTCAGGAACTCGTAGGAAAGTTCCTAGTATTGTTGATACTTCGACTGTAAGAGGAAAATTTGTCTTCTTCCTTTTATTTTTTTTTAGACGGAGTTTTGCTCTTGTTGCCCAGGCTGGAGTGCAATGGCACGATCTCGGCTCACAGCAACCTCCGCCCCCCAGGTTCAAGCCGTTCTCCTGCCTCAGCCTCCGGAGTAGCTGGGATTACAGGCATGCGCCACCACGCCTGGCTAATTTTGTACTTTTAGTAGAGACGGGGTTTCTCCATGTTGGTCAGGCTGGTCTCGAACTCCAGACGTCAGGTGATCCACCCGCCTCGGCCTCCCAAAGTGCGGGGATTACAGGCATACACCACCGCACCAGGCCTGTCGTCCTCCTTTCTTGCCTGCCACAAGGATGTGAGGAAGCAGAACCACAGATAAGAAAGAAAGAGGAGCCCTGGAGACAGCTGAGGTGCTGGCGAGGAGGGAGAGCCCTGAGCAGATGAGGAAGCCCCGCCCTCCCTGCACCTGCTCCTGACCCGGCCTCATGCTCTGTGGGCCCCGCGCGCCCCCTGCTGGTCCTGAGCGGCACCTGCGCCCGCCCCCTCCGCCTCCCTGCGGTCACAGAGCTCAGCTTCAGGGAAAACTGGTTCTTGGACGTTTCTATTGACATGGTGACTCAACTCCTGAGGGACGGGGTGTAGTAGCTCCTCCCACTATAATAGATGTATCCAATCCATTCCAGCCCCTTCCCTGGGGACTGGCGGACCCAGCTCCACCAGTTACCACTGCTGATGGAGTCACCAGAGACAGCGCATGTGAGGGACAGGGTCTCCGAAGGCTTCACCAGTCCTGGGCCCCACTCCTGCAGCTGCACCTGGGACAGGACCCCTGTGAACACAGAGACCCACTGTGAGCCCTGGGCTCAGATGCAGCCTCCCATATCTTCATATCTGCATCCTGGAGACACTCACTTCTGGGAGCTGCCACCAGGGGGAGGAAGAACCACAGGTTTTTCATGTTCTTTTCACACGAGGTCCATGACTCTCAGAAAGCATTTCCCGTGTAAGCAGAACGCCGAATTTAAGGAAATGTGTGGTGGTTTCCTGTGGGCGCTTAAGTGAGGATTTGCATGTGGGTGGTGCCTTTGTATGGAGAGATGAAAAGGGATGAGGGAGGCCGCAGTCTTTCGGGTTCACCCTGGGAGGAGGATGCTGGCTGTGCCCTCTGAGAACTCAGTTCTCTACCTGTGGCCTCCCCTCACCAAGCACAGAGTCCTCTTCATCCAGATAGGAAATGTGTTGAAGGAGCTGTTCTGGGAGATGAGTGTGATCATGGATCAAGGACAGATTTTGGAACAGGGTCAATATTGTTCTACACTTAAAGACTCATGTAAAACCATCCACACACCCAAGTCATTCGAATTGTCATTTATACCTTCAGACACATTGAAACAGCAGCTGAGTGTAATAATCTCAGTGAGTTCAGACAAACCTGGATGCATCCAATGTTTATCGTAGTTCTGAATATCCATCGTAGATATCTTACCATATGTAAGAAATGGTGTATGACCATTTCTTACATAATGGGAGTTGACTGTAAAAATAGCATGAAGATGTGTAAATATAATGCCTAGGTAGATAAACTGCTGAATTAACAAAGCCTGGAGCCAATTATATTCTGGCATCTTGTTATTTAGTTGTGAATTTATTTTCAGTTGGTTAGTTCAATTTCCCAAAATTCAATTTCTGCTAAAATAGTCACATACAATAACCTTGAGATATTAAAATGAAAAAAAAAACTAATTTGAAAATGAACCCAGCTTCCAGAAGTGAGAATTACTTTGTGGTGAATGGTAAGAAGGGTGGAGACACAGCTGAATACCAAGATTGTGTTCACAATTGTTTTAATTAGGGGAACTTCTATACATCCCTTCTATTTATTAGAAACTCCCATTGAGAACCTTGAACTAACATAATTTGTTGATAGATTACACAAAAACAATGAAGCTGAAGGTTATTAAGCAGGAATTGCTATTATAAAATTAGCTTTCCTTTAGAACATATTCCTGTACCTGATGTGAAATTAGCCCAGGTGCACTGATGAGAGCTTGTCAGTTAAGCAAAGAGCAGGAAATGGGCTCACATGTGTCTGGAGCAGGGCATGGCTTTGGCATGTTTTGCTAACAAAGTGGCTTCTCACATCTTCTGGAAAACCCATTAAAATGGGCAAGTTAAGGATCTCTTATGAGCACCCGTCTATTCCACATTCTTGGCTAATATAAAGGTGGATGTCGATGCAAAATGAGATAAGATGGAAGTTAAGGAAACTGCTGCATCACTGCCTCAGCTCAGCACAGCTGCCTCCCACATCAGGATTTCTGACACTCTCAGGATGTGGGTTTCCACATGGTGTATCTCGCACAGTAATACATGGCCATGTCCTCAGCCTTTAGGCTGCTGATCTGCAGGTATGCTGTGCTGGCAGAGGTGTCCATGGAGAAGACAAACCGTCCTGTGAAGCCCTGGGCATATGTTGGGTTCCCAGTGTAGGTGTTGAACCATCCCATCCACTCAAGCCCTTGTCCAGGGGCCTGTGGCACCCAATTCATACCATAGGTGGTGAAACTGTAACCAGAAGCCTTGCAGGAGACCTTCACTGAGGCCCCAGGCTGCTTCACCTCATGGCCAGACTGCACCAGCTGCACCTGGGAGTAGGTACCTGTGGAGAGGACACAGGGGTGGGTAAAGCCTCACTTGAGTGGCCTGGTTTCTTCCTCAGCCCTGAGACTGGGGAGCCCCTTACCTGTTGCTGCTGCCACCAAGAAGAGGATGCTCCAGGTCCAGTCCATGGTGAGGAGCTGTGCTCTAGGGGATTCTCCCAAGGAGGGATGTTGTTGTTGGGTGATGCTTTCAGGGTACAGAGATACTATATTCCCCTCAGTTATTTGCATATTCATGAAGGATGCTATTTAATAGACCAATTCCTGACCCAGTATGAGAAAGAGAAAATCCATGACACACGGACGACACAATTGTAGAAGCTGAGGGTTCGAGTCGTAATCCTGTTAGAGGCCATGCATCCCCTACCCATCCCTGAACTCTGTGTTGACAGAGCTTCCTCCACTGGGGAACAACTCCCCGAGGACAGCACCTCACTTTGAACCCACATTTGAATGTCTCAGGGGCAACGTGAACCATTTCTAGACCTTAATATGTGAATGCGTTATTTTGGGAATGAGTGTGTCTCTCCAAAAATTGCACTTATTTATAAGTAATAATCTCTTCCTGACCTCCAGCTGCTATTATTAAGATAACTAGCAGAGTTTGAAATCGCCATTATAAAAGTGGTTCTCATTACAACATCCAGTTTGATAAATGCTCACAATTGAATAGGATATTTATACAAACATCAGCAGTCCTTGTGAAATACTTATTTTAGATATTTTTAAAGGAAGTCCCAGGCCCTGAGAGGAACCTCTCCCCAGCCTCATGTGCACCTGCTCTGGGGCGGAAGACTGTGCTCGATGTGTCCTGAGCGCCCCCTGCAGCCCTGCCCCCACCCTGCAGGGAGGTTTCTATCTGAGCTGACAGAGTATATTCCTACCAGTGTCTCTAGCCCAGTATAAAGTGGCTGTGCCCTGGCTCAGAATTCTGCTTTATTTACACCATATGCTTCTCACACCATCTTTTGAAATAGTGAATCAGCCTTAGGAAACCCAGCGAACTCTGCAGGGACACCCCAAGAAAAGATCTCACGCATCACCAGGGAGCCGTTTCCTGGAGCTCGAGAGGCACTGAATCATTGGACACATGGTGAACCCAAACACTCTTCAGGGGTTTGGGGGGACTCTTATTTCCTTTAGGGTTCTGCAGTTGATTATTGTACCTGATAATACCTGTAGGCGCAGGTGCATGTGGATAGAAGCCCACTCCAACTCTACTATTCAACTCAGACACACACACACACACACACACACACACATACACATTGTGGCTAATTTTTACATTAGTGGGCCCCATGTTTGCCCTTTTTTCTGGTATTTTTCTCATGAAAAGCACTCCCTACACTGGAACTAAGACTGAATATGTGTCTACTTTCTGCAAACAGAATTAAAGAAAACAGAATACAAGTGCCTTGCCAAGATTAATATAACTATGTAATTTAATGATGTATTTGAAAACCTCCTGGTCATACAAACACACATACGTGCACAACAGCCCAGCAAAGACTCATACATGTGCCCATGCAAAAGTGAATGCATACGTAAACACCAAAACAACACACCCATTTGTTTCATATTATTCTAATTATTTAATTGAATTTAAATTGTGTTTGCAGTTTGAGATTTTAGTACAAAATAATGCTGATCTACGTGTATGTCTGCCTATTCCAATATTAAAAAGACAAATATATTTAAATACATGTTTTGGTAAAACTGTATGTAAATGCCATTCTTGTCAAGTATTGAAACAGGAATTAAAAGAAATTAAAGAATGTGTAAGCAGAAACTCAGTTGTATGTAAGAAAACCCAATTCTCCCTGAAAAAGAGAAAGAGCTGGAGTCCTTTAAAATACTAACTGCCTGTTTTTCTGTGGCTAATGAGCCTTACCTCTCCTCCCTTCTCAGGCATTTTGAAGACCCTGATTCCCTAGCAGTGTAGCTGCAAGGTCACTAGAAAGATAAACTCAAGTCGCAAAACATGTTTTTCCTTGAAAAGGAAGAAATGATGTAATACATGTTTCAATTGAATAACTGTCTTTGTTTCTCACTTCTGTAGTATGCTTCACCCTGCACAGATGTCCCCTCTCCCACCCCACAAAATGCTTAAAAGGTAACTGAACTCTGTTCTGGGCTCAGTCCTTTGGATGTTAATTCGACTTGGCCGGTGCACCTAAATAATAAATATCCTCCTGAACCTAAATAATAAATATCCTCCTGAACAGAGTCGGTCTCTCTGATTCCTTAAAAAATCCCAGAACAGTATGGCACTTAAATGTGCAATGGTATTTATTTTAAATATCAGTCTGTTGTTAATAAATTGAATAACTAATAAGACAAACATCACTTTTAAAACTGTATTACCTTATTTGTTGAATTTAGATGGTAATTTTCAAACTAGGCAAGATAAAATTTTTTACTTGAAAAGTTTTGAAAAAAACTTCTTTGGCATGAATATTCAATACAAACTGTAGTCTTTATTTGCCAACATGCCTTTATAATAGAGAACATCCAGCAATATGAAGCTAAACCCAGCCCATGCTTTTTAGGGCTCACTCACAATGGCAGCTTCCTAGAGGGTGGTCTGAGAGAGTGTAAGCACATGGGGATTTGGGCTTCATCATCAAAGTGAAGAAGTAATTTATGAATTTTACAATATGTAAAGCCAGAAAATTAACTTTCCCCTCAGGGCTTACTGTAGTGTGTAGCCCCTCCCCCGTAGTCTAAGTTAGAGAATACTAACTGCCTGTTTTTCCTTCTGTGCTCAGTGAGCCTTATCTGTTCTCATTGGTTTCACATTCCTTGAGGCTCAGAGGGTTCTTGCTTACCTCCCCAGCACAGCTGCAAGGTCATAAGATTGTTAAGTATATGTTACAGAACCATGTATTCCCAAGGATGTAAGACATGAAGTAACAAATAACTGCCTTTGTTCTCTCTTCTGTAATTACGCTTCCTGCATCATGTAGCTCCCAGCCACTGACTGTGTAAAAGGTGGCTGCTTTCTTTGTCCAGGGCTCAGACTTTCCTGGATGCTAGTCCAACTGAGCCAGGTGATCACCTTTTAATAAAGGACTCTCCTGAACTCTGTTTGGTCTCTCCCATCTTTGATCGTCCTGCAACAAAAGCACTAGGGAGCCCCAGGGCTGAGCACACAGAAGGCAGCAGGAGCTGCAGAGCCCACTCTGTCGTACTTAGGGAAGGGAGGGAATGGAATGAGGGTGATGTCTGCAGGACCTTAGAAAAGGGTGAGGAGGGCAGAGAGTCTGCAGGTAGATGAGCATATTCTAAGGAGAACTGTTATCCTCCTAAACTTGGTTGGCTTCAGTTATTATGAAGAGAAGGAAACTGTTCACCAGACTTGGAGGACAGAAAGTAAAGGGAATTTTTATTTCCTGCATGGTGACTGAGGAAGATAAAAGACTTTTAAAGTAAAAGGGAAGATGGAGAAATAGTCTGAAAAACAGGACACCAGGAGCCAACCAAAGTGGAGAACAAGAGCCTTTAAAGTGGTGTTTAATTTCCATTCCACTTTCAGCTGATGAAAGAAAAAGAAACAAAACACCATGCATATGGTGAGTTAATGTTAGAAAACATATATAATTGTTTGAGTATCACAGCACAAAAACACTAAACTCTATTCATGGAAACAATGTGTATCGAGGATACACATTTTTTAAGACAGGGTCTCACTCTGTCAACCAGGCTGGAGTGCAGTGGTACAATCACATCTCACTACAGCCTCAACCTCCCAGGATTAAGGGATCCCCCCACCTCAGCCTTCCAAGTATCTGGGACCACAGGCAGCATCACACCCAGCTATTTTTTTTGTATAGAAAGGATTTCATTGTGTTGCCAGGCTGTTCTAAAACTCCTGAGCTCAAGTGATCTGCCTGCCTCAACCTCCCAAAGTGCTGAGATTGCAGGTGCAATTTTTACAATTTTACTCTTTTAATAATAGTATTTTAATAAAATATATAAATAACCTATTTTAAAAATTGTTCTGACAGATCATTGCTAGCGTTACTCAGAAAACACGCAGCATTAAAACTTCAAATAGGCTGGGCATGGTGGCTCACGCCTGTAATCCCAGCACTTTGGGAAGCCTAGCGGGGCAGATCACCTGAGGTCATGAATTCGAGACTAGCCTGGTCAACATGGTGAAACCCCGTCTCTACTAAAAGTACAAACATTAGCCAGGCATGGTGGCAGGCACGTGGTGGCAGCTACTCAGAAGTATGAGGCAGGAGAATTGCTTGAACCCGGGAGTTGGAGGTTGCCATGAGCCAAGATCATGCCACTGCACTCCAGCCTGTGCGACAAGAGGGAGACTTTGTCAAAAAAAAAAAAATTCCCGGTTCTAAGTTAATGTTTTGGAAGTAACATTTGTAAAGAAATCATGGATTTACAAGGAAGTAATGGTTCTGAGCGTCCCCTGGTGTCCTGAGTGCCCCCTGGTGGCTCGGAGCACCCCCTGGTGTCCTGAACACCCCCTGGTTGTCCTGAGCGTCCCCTGGTGTCCTGAGCGCCCCCTAGTGGTTCTGAGTACCTCCTGGTAGTTCTGAGCGACCCATGGTAGTTCCAATCAGCATCTACCATGCGATTCCCTCCTGTCTCCCTGCAGAGGATTTTGTGTCTGGGCTCACGCAGATGTTCCTGCTCCTATGTCACTCACAGTAATACAAGGTCTTGTCCTTGGCTTTCACATTGGTCATTTTAAGGTAGACTGCACTTGAAAGGGTGTTGCTTGGGACTGTTAATTTACTTGTACTCATGGAGAGTAACCCTGATAACTCACTGTTGCCACCCACACAAATCCCTGTCATGAAGCCTGCTGGACCAAGCTCATGCTGTAGCCAGTACAAGTGAAATCAGAGGCTTTGCAGGAGAGTCTGTGAGAACCGCTGGGCTGTACAATGTTTCCCCCTCTGACTCCATCAGTAAGCTTCAACAGGACTTACATGAACACAGAGGAAACGTACTGACTGCAGCCCCATGCAGAGCAGCCACAGCTGGACCTGATTCACAATGCACACTAATACTGAGAGTGATGAGAAGGGAAGCCCAGATCAGTGCAGACCTCATGGTGTGGACACTGAGGAAGGGACAGACATGGGGTGGCTCTTCACCAAGGGCCTGAAAGAACAGAGGATGAGCTGCGTTTCATGAGATGGGAAGAGGCACATTTCCATGTCATTCTTTTTGTGATCATGGGTGCACTGCTCAGTTTTTCTCATCCATCCTCTGTGTCTCCATTTCAGGGAGGGTAGGGTCAAAGGATTCCCGGGTCTAGATGCACAGGGTTAATCTGCCCATTACTTTCTCTTATTCTCTAATGTGGACACTGTTCAGGTATCTTCATAGTAGCAAACATTAACAGCAAATACATCCAGTAAGAACATAAAAATACATTTCCAGAGAAAATGGACGTCTGTCTTTAATCAGTGCATTTGGAGCTGCAAACTACTGTTCTTAAAGTAAGGCAAAGTTAAATTACAATGAAAAAATGGAGATCTACATTTTGTCAGTAAAGGGTTTTATAATTATCATTATCTTGAGATCATGTTGCCACAAAACATCTCATCACGGGTCAGGTGAGAGGTAGCTCTGTGCTGTGTCATCCTAACACAGGAATCCAGACGGAAGGAGGGACCATCAATAAGATCCCCATTGCTATAGAAAAGAGAAAAAAGCATGCAGAATAGAACTCTGTTTCTTGGAGATTTCTCCTGAAAAAGTCACATGTTATTTCTTCTCACCTCCATTGGCAAAAAAAAAAAAAAACAAAAAAAAAAAAACAAAAAAAAACTCATGTGGCCATTAGAAAATTTAAGTAGGTGGGATGGAAGAGTCAGAATGCATTCATAAAAAATGAACTGAAAATATTTGGAGAACAGCACCAATGACTACCATGAATGCCAACATACATCCCTAACAACCCAGTGCTGTTACCCTCCAAACTTTTTATGTCTTGCAAAGTATTAGAAGTTCATATCTGAAGCCATACCACTCAGAGGGAATGCAAAATACATAATGACATCTCCTTTAGGATGTCCTTAGAGAATTCAAGGAAAAGAAGTTAAATAATTTAAAAGTGCCTTTGGGTACAGCTATTTAGCACTAGACGGTAAGATTAGACATAGATTGTAAATATAATAATAGGGTTAGGGATAGGATTAGGATCTGGTTCAGAGTCAGGGCGGGAAGTATGGTTAGAGGTGGGGTCATGGTCAAGGTCAAGCTCAAAGTCAGGGTCAAAGTAAGGGTCAGAATTAGGGACCAGGGTAGGGATCAGGATTTAGGTTCAGGGTCAAAGTCTTGGGACAGGGTTAGGGTTAGGATCAGAACCAGAGCTTTGTTGTCCTCAGGACCCACCCGAGCGTGGGTCACCATGGCTTTGGAGTAAAAATAGTATTGAAAAATTGAAAAGTAGGCATATTAAAACTTGCAACACTATTTAAGCTTAGATATATTATTTGTATCTCATCAACATTTTTTATTTTGTTGAGAAAGTCTAAGGTTAATTGGCAGCATATTTCTAATAGTAGATAGAATAATGTCTGTTTTATAAACATTGACATCCTACATTACATGTGTGAACCCTGAAAATCTGAGAGAGCTCTCAGATTTTTTAGAAAGTTTATTTTGCCAATCTTGAGGATGTGCACCCGTGATGCATCCTCAGGAGGTCCTGACAACATGGGCCCAAGGTGGTTGGGGCGCAGCTTGGTTTTATACACTTTAGGAAGACATGAGACATCAATCAGTATGTGTAAGATGAACATTGATTCAGTCCAGAAAGGTGAGAAGGCCAGACAGGGGGCTTCCAGGTCATAGGTAGGTAAGAGACAAATGGTTTCATTCTTTTGCATTGCTGATTACCCTCTCCAAATGAGGCAATCAGGTATGCATTTATCTCGGTGAGCAGATGGGTGTCGTTGGATGGAATGGGAGGCAGATTTGCCCTAAGCAGTTCCCAGCTTGACTTTTCCCTTTAGCTTTAGTGATTTTGGGTCCCCAAGATTTATTTTCCCTTCATAAGGTTTTCCTATGAGCATTAATTATTCTTTGTTTATTTTATTACACAAATAAGGCACAGATTTTTAAAAAACCATCGACTTTGTGGCTACCTATATAGACATAATTACACAGAAGCTCAATTAAATTTGCAAACATTCCAGAGTTTGGGTTTCCGATAATTCTTTGTGATTCTTTAAAAAGTAAAGTATTTTTTTCCCATAAAGCATAGCAACATTTAAAATCACCTGTAGAATGTCCTGCCATTTTTGTTTTTCTAATTTCCTCATTTGCTGCAAAGCCTCGCTGAGGAAATTGACTTTGAATATCCTTTTACACTCTTTTGTTTTAGAAAGCATTGTGGTAAAACATTGAATCATCATGGTCATAAGTTCTGTTCACATTCTTTCTTTCTTTGAATATTTTTTCCTGGTGGCAAATATTTGATTCTGTTGTATTATGCCTAAAAGGTAGGCATGGGAACAAAATAAAGACAAGAAGTCTTTGGAATAAGTCATCCCATCACAATGAATCAATTTGCCATTGGAACATATTTTTACAAAGTCACTCTTTTGAAAATATTTAGCTATGAATTGAAACAGAGTCTGTATGGTTAATGTTTTTCCTGGTCTAAGGCGAAGAGCATTTCAGAGAATGAACCCAGGACACAACCACAGCACAAGAAAAAAATATGATAATTAAGTTTACACATATGTGTTACTACTGTAACAGAAAACATGTAAAGAACATTTGTTTTGATTTATATATCAGTCTGCACTGTTTAATTTTTTGTGTCATAAATGCTCTTATTTTAAAAAACGGAATAGTTAACAGTGTCAATTACTAGTAAGTCATGGTATAAATAATTAAACAAGGAAGTGTTCAAAAAAAGTGTTTTAAATAAAGTTTTATTTTACATCTTTTTTTTACTTACACAGAAATTGTCAAAAAAAGCAGAAATTTCCCATGTAGCCGCAACCTAGTTTCCTCTCTTAACATCTTCTATCAGTGTGTCTCACATGGCTTATTAATATCTTACATAATTTGTCACAATTAATGAACCAATACTGATAGACTATTATTAACTAAAGTTCATATTTCATTTGGGTGTTACTCTGACCCAAGATCCCATCCAGGATCCCCCATGACATGTAGTCATCATGTAGGCTCTTCCTGGCTGTGACAGTGTGTCAGGCTTTCCATCTCATGATGATCTTGATAGTACTGAGGAGGATTGGTCAGGCATTTTGTAGAATGTTATTTTACCTCCTTGTCTGCAAGAGGGCCCGGCAGTGTCCGCAGCTGCCAGCAGGCGGGCGTGCTGCCACTACGATGTGAGCAAGAGGGCCCTGCAATGTCCCTAGCTGCCAGCAGGCGGCGTGCCGCCACTATACTGCAAGCAAGAGAGCCCTGCCGTGCCCCGGCGCCAGCAGTGGGCGCTGGACACCACTGTCACCTACAGGGCCCTGCAGTTGCCCTAGTCGCCAGCAGGGGGCGTAATGGCACAGCACCGTGTGCAACTGGGTCCTGTAGTGCCCGGCTGCAAGCAGGGGGCGCTCGAAAAAGGCTTTTCAGATTACTCAGGTTCCACCCGTCTCTGCGCCGCGCCGCCGGGGACGTGTGTCTCTACACTTCACCGTGCCACCCCCGCGCGCCCCGCCTGTCGCCATCCGACTGTGCGCCTGCAACACGGCCCGCCACCCTCAGCCCAGCGACGTACGTCTCTGCGCCTGCACCGCGCCTCAATCCCGCCCGCCCAGCCACCACTCCCCTCCGGGGATGCGCCGGCGTGCGTCCATGCCCTGCGAGGCGCCTC